>NC_000023.11:49878679-50228964 GCF_000001405.40 Homo sapiens | reverse complement strand
TGTGTATATTTATATATATATTCTACATATATTTATATGTATTTATATATATTCTATATATATATTCTATATATATATTCTACATATATATTCTACATATATATTCTAGATATATATTCTATATATGTATTCTATATATATTCTATATATATATTCTATATATCTATTCTATATATATATTCTATATATGTATTCTATATATATATTTCTATATATTCTATATGTTTCTATATTCTATATATATTCTTTATATATATTCTATATATATTCTATGTATATATTCTATATATATTCTATATATATTCTATATATTCTATATATATTCTATATGTATATTCTATATATATTCTATATATTCTATATATATTATCTATATTCTATATATATTCTATATATTATCTGTATTCTATATATATCTTCTATATATATTCTATATAGATATAACCTCTATACATATTCTATGTAGATATATCCTCTATACATATTCTATATAGATATATCCTCTATATATATTCTATATAGCTATATCCTCTATATATATTCTACATAGATATATCCTCTATATATATTTATGTAGATATATCCTCTATATATTATGTATATATATCTTCTATATATGTATGTATATATATTCTCTATATATGTATTCATATATATTCTCTATATATGTATTTATATATATTCTACATATGTATTTATATATATTCTATGTATTTATATATATTCTATGTATGTATTTATATGTATTCTATGTATAAGTATTTATATATGTATTCTATGTATATGTATTTATATATGCATTCTATGTAGATATTTATATATATATTATGTATATATTCATATATTATTTATATATTCTCTATATATTATATATATTCTCTAAATATTTATATATATATTCTCTCCATATATTTATATATATATTCTCTCTATATATATTCTCTCTATATATTTATATATATTCTCTATATATATTTATATATATTCTCTCTATATATTTATATATATATTCTCTCTATATATTTATATATATTCTGTCTATACATTTATATATATTCTCTCTATATATTTATATATTTTCTCTCTATATATTTATATATTCTCCATATATATTTATATATTCTCTATATATATTTATATATTCTCTATATATTTATATTTATTCTCTATATATATTTATATATATTCTCTATATATATTTATATATATTCTCTCTATACATATTTATATATATTATCTCTCTATATATTTATATATATATTCTCTCTATATATATTTATATATATATTCTCTCTATATATATTTTTATATATATTCTCTCTATATATATGTATTCTCTCTATATATATTTATATATATATTCTCTGTATATATATTTGTATGTTATCTCTCCATATATTTGTATTTATATCTCTCTCTATATATTTATATATATTCTCTCCATATATATTTATACATATATTCTATATATATATATTCTGTCTATATATATTTAGATATATATTCTCTATATATATTTGTATATATTCTCTGTATATATTTATAAATATTCTCTGTATATATTTTTATATATATCTATGTATATATTTATATATATTCTGTGAGTATATTTATATATATATTCTGTGTGTATATTTATATATATTCTGTATGTATATTTATATATATTCTGTACATGTATTTATATATATTCTGTATATATATTTATATATATATTCTGTATATATATATTTATATATATATTCTGTATATATTTATATATATTCTCTATATATATTTATACTTATATTCTATATATATATTCTACATATATTGTATATATATTCTATATATTTTTGTATATATTCTATATATTTGTATGTATATTCTATATATTTATATATATTCTTTATATTTGTATATATATTCTATATATTTGTATATATTCTATATATTTGTATATATATTTTATATATTTTCTATATATTTATATATTCTATATATATACTATATATATTCTATATATATACTATATATATTCTATATATATACTATATATATTCTATATATATACTATATATTCTATATATATACTATATATTCTATATATATTCTATATATTCTATATATATTCTATATATATACTATATATATTCATGTATATATTTATATATACTCTATATATATATTCTATGTACATATTCATATATATATTCTATGTACATATTCATATGTATATTCTATGTACATATTCATATGTATATTCTGTGTACATATTCATATGTATATTCTATATATATTTATAGATATGTTCTATATATATTTATAGATATATTCTATATATATATTTATAGATATATTCTATATATATATTTATAGATATATTCTATATATATATTTGTATGTATTCTATATATATTTATATATATATTCTATATATATATTCATATATTCTATATATATATCTATATATTCTATATATATATTTTTATATATTCTATATATATTTATATATATTCTATATATATTTATATATATTCTATATATATTTTTATATATTCTACATATATATTCTATATATATTTTTATATATATTCTATATATATATTTTTATATATATTCTATACATATTTTTATATATATTCTATATATATATTTCTATATATATGTTTATATATTTCTATATATATATTCTATATATATAAATATATATATTCTATATATATAAATATATATATTCTATATATATAAATATATATATTCTATATATATAAATATATATATTCTATATATATTTATATATCTATATATGTATATTCGATATATATTCATATATATAGAATATATATTTATATATATCGAATATATATATATTTATACATATTCTATATATATTCATATATATTCTATATATATTCGTATATATTCTATATATATTTGTATATATATTCTATATATATATTTTTGTATATATTCTATATATATTTATATATACATTCTATATATATGATCCCAGGTCCTCTTGTCTTTTTAATCTCCCTAGGTTATCTCATCCAGATATATGACTTTAAATATCATCTAAAAGCTGGCCCTAAACTCCAGTTTCATGAATCCAAATTACTACTCCACATCTCCACTTGGATGTCTAATAGACACCTCAAATTCAGCATGTTCACAATAGAACTTTGAATTGTCAAGCCCCTCCCCAAACCTGATCGTTTTCTCAGTATCCCCCCTTTCAGAAATTGATACCACATCAAACCTTTTATTGAAGCCAGAAAGCTGGGTATCGTCTATGATTCTAACTTTTTTCCATCACCTTTGTTTATTTGACCTCAAAATATATCTGTATTTGTCAATGTATCTCCATCTCCGCTGCCACCTAGGCTCTTATTTGGCTCACTGTCAAGAGCCTCAAAGCTTTTTTCCCGTTTCCAAAATTTACCTTTCTCTGATACAAATACAACACAACAACAAGAGCAATCTTTTTAAGAAGGAAAAATGGTATCGTGTCCCTCCCTTCTTCAGTAATTTCCCACAGAATTTAAAATAAAAATCCTAACTACCTACCCTGGTCTACAAGGTCCTGCCTACGTCATGAACCTCACTTCATAAACTGCATTTTGCATTCCCTGCTCTCCAACCATAATAGTCTTCTTTCAAATATTTGAATTTACCAAACTCTCTGTACCTGGTATTTTTGTACAAGATGTTCCCGCAGCCTGGAACATTCTTCCCTCTATTTTTGAAATTGCAAGTTTTTTCTCAAGGATCAAGTCTCAGCTTAAACGTCCCCTCTTCAGAGAGGCCTTCCCTGCCCATGTTATTTAAAGGAGGATTCTTCTCCCACTCCATTATACTCAGTCCCTTAACTTTTTAAGGAGTAATACTGCAATTTGTAATTTTTAATTTCTCAAGAATGCAAGGTTCATAAAACGTAGGACCATACATGTTGTGCTCTATCTCCAGTGATAAGCATTAACAAAAGCTCATGTTTATAAATTATTTACTATATGTTTGAAACTGTTCTAACATTCACAAAAATCCTGTAAGGTATTAATATCCCCATTTGCAGATGAGGATCCTGAGACATGGAAAAGTTTAATAACTTTCCCAAGATCACACAGCTAATAAGTGATCAGACTGGAATTTAAACACAAGTAGTCTGATTCCAGAGGACAAACATAACCACCACTCCATATCTGCCTCCTTGATAGATAACTGAAAAATATTTGTTCACTAAGTAAATGAGCATCTTCTTGTAAAGGTCATCATTGTAGACAAGTATCCCACTGGGATGCACATAAAGGAAATGTAGCAATAACACAAGTCACCGTAAGTCTTTAGTCATGAGAGGAAAAGGTCTATCCACCAAAACAACAGCAACACAAAAATCACAAAAGAAGCAGTTTCATTTCTCCTATTTTTTCCTAGCTTTTCACATCAACAACAACAAAAACTTATTGAGTAAAAGTTGTGATTTTTCCAAAAATGTTTAAACGTATTTTTCCCTTAGCTGGCATACCTCCAGTTGACTTAAACTTTTCTTTGGGTACCATCCAGAGAGGACACTGAGGAAAGAGAAGACAGCCCTTTGACTCCACAATTTGTCAATATTTCACTCGTCCCAGGTATACAACATTCTCATAAACTCTCCTTTCTCCTCCCTATACCTCTGTATTAAAGTGTAATAGAAAAGATCTATTATAATCTACCTTACTTTTACATGAAAGTATATTACAGGTGGATCCAAGATTTGAATTTAAAATGGAACCATGAAAATACCAGACAAACTATAAAAGAATATTTTTATAATTTTGCAGAAGGAAAAAAAACTTTCAAAACAAGATGATAAATTGTTAGTAGCTAAAAATTTTAAAATTTATATTTGGCACAACAAACAGCAAAGCAAGGTTAAAAAAAACCTAACAACAAACTGGCAAATGAAAAAAAAGACAATACCAATGACAAAAGAATACTTTCCAAAATGTAGAACAAGCTCTCTAGATTCCTCCTCTCTGGACAGGGCATCTCTGAAAGAAAGGCAGCAGCCCCAGTCATGGGCTTATAGATAAAACTCCCATCTCCCTGGGACAGAGCACCTGAGGGAAATGGCAGCTGTGGGCACAGCTTCAGCAGACTTAAACGTTCCTGCCTGCTGGCTCTGAAGTGAGCAGAAGATCTCCCAGCACAGTGCTCGAGCTCTGATAAGGGACAAACTGCCTCCTCAAATGGGTCCCTGACCCCCTTCCCCCCTGACTGGGAGACACCTCCCAGCAGGGGTTGACAGACACCTCATACAGGAGAGCTCTGGCTGGCATCTGGTCGGTGCCCCTCTGGGACGAAGCTTTCAGAGGAAGAAACAGGCAGCAATCTTTGCTTTTCTGCAGCCTCTGCTGGTGATATCCAAGCAAACAGGGTCTGGAGTGGAACTCCAGCAAACTCCAGCAGACCTGCAGCAGAAGGGCCTGACTGTTAGAAGGAAAACTAACAAACAGAAAGGAATAGTGTCAACATCAACAAAAAGGATGTCCACACAGAAACCCCATCCGAAGGTCACCAACATCAAAAACCAAAGGTAGATAAATCCACGAAGATGAGGAAAAACCAGTGCAAAAAGGCTGAAAATTCCAAAAACCAGAATGCCTCTTCTCCTCCAAAGGATCACAGCTCCTCGCCAGCAAGGGAACAAACTGGACAGAGAATGAGTTTGATGATTTGACAGAAGTAGGCTTCAGAAGGTGGGTAATAACAAACTCCTCCGAGCTAAAGGAGCATGTTCTAACCCAATGCAAGGAAGCTAAGAACCTTGATAAAAAGTTACAGGAACTGCTAACTAGAATAACCAGTTTAGAGAAGAACATAAATGACCTGATGGAGCTGAAAAACACAGCATGAGAACTTCGTGAAGCATGCACAAGTATCAGTAGCCAAATCAATCAAGCGGAATAAAGGATATCAGAGATTGAAGATCAACTTAATGAAATAAAGTGTGAAGACAAGATTAGAAAAAAAAGAAAAGGAACGAACAAAGCCTCTAAGAAATATGGGACTATGTGAAAAGATGAAACCTACGTTTGATTCGTGTACCTGAAAGTGACAGGGAGAATGGAACCAAGATGGAAAACACTCTTCAGGATATTATTCAAGAGAACTTCCCCAACCTAGCAAGACAGGCCAACATTAAAATGCAGGAAATACAGAGAACACCACAAAGATACTCCTTGAGAAGAGCAACCCCAAGACACATAATCATCAGATTTGCCAAGGTTGAAATGAAGGAAAAAATGTTAAGGGCAGCCAGAGAAAGGTCGGGTTACCCACAAAGAGAAGCCCATCAGACTAACAGCGGATCTCTCTGCAGAAACCCTATAGGCCAGAAGAGAGTGAGGGCCAATATTCAACATTCTTGAAGAAAATAATTTTCAACCCAGAATTTCATATCCAGCCAAACTAAGCTTCATAAGCAAAGGAGAAATAAAATCCTTTACAGACAAGCAAATGCTGAGAGATTTTTGTCACCACCAGGCCTGCCTTACAAGAGCTCCTGAAGGAAGCACTAAATATGGAAAGAAAAAACCAGTACCAGCCACTGCAAAAATATACCAAATTGTAAAGAACATCAACACTATGAAGAAACCACATCAACTAGCAGGCAAAATAACCAGCTAGGATCATAATGACAGGATCAAATTCACACATAAAAATATTAACCTTAAATGTAAACGGGCTAAATGCCCCAATTAAAAGACACAGATTGGCAAAGTGGATAAAGAGTCAAGACCCATCGGTGTGCTGTATTCAGGAAACCCATCACATGTGCAGAGACACACATAGGCTCAAAATAAAGGGATGGAGGAATATTTACCAAGCAAATTAAAAGCAAAAAAAGCAGGGGTTGCAAACCTAGTCTCTAAAACAGACTTTAAACCAACAAAGATCAAAAAAAAACAAAGAAGGGCATTACATAATGGTAAAGGGATCAGTGCAACAACCAGAGCTAACTATCCTAAATATATAAGCATCTAATACAGGAGCACCCAGATTCATAAAGCAAGTTCTTAGAAACCTACAGAGACTTAGACTCCCACACAATAATAGTGGGAGACTTTAACACCCCACTGTCAATATTAGGCAAATCAACGAGAGAGAAAATTAACAAGGATATTCAGGACTTGAACTCAGCTCTGGACCAAGTGGACCTAATAGACATCTACAGAACTCTCTACCCCAAATCAACAGAATATACATTCTTCTCAGCACCACATTGCACTTATTCTAAAATTGACCACATAATTGGAAGTAAAACACTCCTCAGCAAATGCAAAAGAACGGAAATCATAACAGTCCGTCAGACCACAGTGCAATCAAATTAGTACTCAAGATTAAGAAACTCACTCAAAACCACACAAGTACATGGAAACTGAACACCCTGCTCCTGAATGACTACTGGGTAAATAACAAAATTAAGGCAGAAATAAGTAAGTTCTTTGAAACCAATGAGAACAAAGACACAACATACCAGAATCTCTGGGACACAGCTAAAGCAGTGTTTAGAGGGAAATTTATAGCACTAAATGCCCACAGGAGAAAGCAGGAAAGATCTAAAATCAACACCCTAACATCACAATGAAAAGAACTAGAGAAGCGAGAGCAAACAAATTCAAAAGCTAGCAGAAGACAAGAAATAACTAAGATCAGAGCAGAACTGAAGGAGACAGACACATGAAAAACCCTTCAAAAAATCGAAGAATACAGGAGCTGGTTTTTTGAAAAGATTAACAAAATAGATAAACTGTTAGCCAGACTAATAAAGAAGAAAAGAGAGAAGAACCAAACAGACACAATAAAAAACAATAAAGGGGATATCACCACTGATCCCACAGAAGTACAAACTACCATCAGAGAATACTATAAACACCTCTATGCAAATAAACTAGAAAATCTAGAAGAAAGGGATACATTCCTGGACACGTACACCCTCCCAAGACTAAACAAGGAAGAAATCGAATCCCTGAATAGACCAACAACAAGTCCTGAAATTGAGGCAGTAACTAATAGACTACCAACCAAAAAAAGCCCAGGACCAGACGGATTCACAACCGCATTCTACCAGAGGTGCAAACAGGAGCTGGTACCATTCCTTCTGAAACTATTCCAAACAATAGAAAAAGAGGTACTCCTCCATAACTCATCTTATGAGTTCAGCATCATCCTGATAACAAAACCTGGCAGAGACAGAACAAGAAAAGAAAATTTCAGGCCAATATCCCTGACGAACATTGATGCAAAAATCCTCAATAAAATACTGGCAAACCAAATGCAGCAGCACATCAAAAAGCTTATCCACCACGATCAAGTTGGCTTCATCCCTGGGATGCAAGGATGGTTCACGTCAACATACGCAAATCAATAAACGTAATCCATCACATAAACAGAACCAATGACAAAAATCACATGATTATCTCAATAGATGCAGAAAAGGTCTTCGATAAAATTCAACACATCTTCATGCTAAAAACTCTCAATAAACTAAGTACTGATGGAATGTATCTCAAAATAATAAGAGCTATTTATGACAAACCCACAGCCAATATCATACTGAATGGGCAAAAGCTGGAAACATTCCCTTTGAAAACCGGCACAAGACAAGGATGCCCTCTCTCACCACTCCTATTCAGCATAGTATTGGAAGTTCTGGCCAGGGCAATCAGGCAAGAGAAAGAAATAAAGTGTATTCAAATAGGAAGAGAGGAAATCAAATTGTCTCTGTTTGCAGATGACATGACTGTATCTTTAGAAAACCCCATCGTCTCAGCCCAAAATCTCCTTAAGCTGATAAGCAACTTCAGCAAAGTCTCAGGATACAAAATCAATGTGCAAAAATCACAAGCATTCCTATCCACCAATAAGAGACAGAGAGCCAAATCATGAGTGAGCTCCCATTCACAATTGCTACAAAGAGAATAAAATTCCTAGGAATACAACTTACAAGGGATTTGAAGGACCTCTTCACGGAGAACTACAAACCACTGCTTAAGGAAAAAAGAGAGGACACAAACAAACGGAAAAACATTCCATGCTCATGGATAGGAAGAATCAATATCATAAAAATGGCCACACTGCCCAAAGTAATTTATAGATTCAATGCTATCCTCATCAAGTTACCATTGACTTTCTTCACAGAATTAGAAAAAACTACTTTAAATTTCATATGAAAACAAAAAAGAGCCCGGATAGCCAAGACAATCCTAAGCAAAAAGAACAAAGCTGGAGGCATCATGCTACCTGACTTCAAACTATACTACAAGGCTACAGTAACCAAAACAACATGGTACTGGTACCAAAACAGATATATAGACCAATAAAACAGAACAGAGGCCTCAGAAATAATGCCACACATCTACAACCATCTGATCTTTGACAAACTTGACAAAAACAAGCAATGGGGAACGGATTCCCCATTTAATAAATGGTGTTGGGAAAGCTGGCTAGCCATATGCAGAAAACTGAAACTGGACCCCTTCCTTATGCCTTATACAAAAATTAACTGAAGATGGATTAAAGACTTAAACGTAAGACCTAAAACCATAAAAACCCCCGAAGAAAACCTAGGCAATACCATTCAGGACATAGGCATGGGCAAAGACTTCATGACTAAAACACCAAAAGCAATGGCAACAAAAGCCAAAATTGACAAATTGGATCTAATTAAACTAAAGAGCTTCTGCACAGCAAAATAAACTACCATAAGAGTGAAAAGGCAACCTACAGAATGGGAGAAAATTTTTGCAATCTATCCATCTGACAAAGGGCTAATATCCAGAATCTACAAAGAATTTAAACAAATTTACAAGAAAAAAACAAACAACCCCATCAAAAAATGAGCAAAGGATATGAACAGACACTTCTCAAAAGAAGACATTTATATGGCCAACATATGAAAAAAAGCTCATCATCACTGGTCACCAGAGAAATACAAATCAAAACCGCAATGAGATACCATCTCATGCCAGTTGGAATGGCGATCATTAAAAAGTCAGGAAACAGATGCTGCAGAGGATGTGGTGAAATAGGAACACTTTTACACTTGGGAGTGTAAATTAGTTCAACCATTGTGGAAGACAGTGTGGCAATTCCTCAAGGACCTAGAATGAGAAATACCATTTGATTCAGCAATCCCATCACTGGGTATATGCCCAAAGGATTATAAATCACTCTACTATAAAGACACATGCACATGTATGTTTATTGCAGCACTATTCACAATAGCAAAGACTTGGAACCAACCCAAATGCCCATCAGTGATATACTGGATAAAGAAAATGTGGCACATATACACCATGGAATACTATACAGCCATAAAAAAGGATGAGTTCATGTCCTTTGCAGGGACATGGATGAAGCTGGAAACCATCATTCTAGGCAAACTAACACAGGAACAGCAAACCAAACACCACATGTTCTCACTCATAACTGGGAGTTGAAAAATGAGAACACATGGACACAGTGAGGGGAACATCACACACCCGGGCCAGTCAGGGGGTGGGGGCCTAGGGGAGGAATAGCATTAGGAGAAATACCTAATGTAGATGATGGGTTGATGGATGCAGCAAACCACCATGGCACATGTATACCGATGTAACAAGCCTGCACCATCTGCACATGTATCCTAGAACTTAAAGTATAAGAAAAAATGTACGAGAACTCTATGATCAATAAAATAGATGAACTTCCCATCAAAAAATTGGCAAGAAAATGAACAATTAGAAAAGAAATACAAATGACCACTAACCATGAAAATATGTTCAATTTCACTAAAAATAAATGCAGATTAAAACAACAATAGATTATTTTTGTTTAGGACACTGGCAAAGGTTTAATATATTGATAATAACTTCTGTTGATGGGGGAGTGGGTAAACAGTCATTTGTATTCACTGTCGATGCAAATAAAAACTGCCATAAACTTTGGGAGGGTTATTTGAAAATATCTGTTGGATTTCAAATGTTTGAACCCTTTTACCCAGAGATTCTACTTCTATTAATCTTTACTACAAAAATGCTTAGTTTCAGAAATAAGACCGAAAATTTCCCAAATCTGGGAGAGATATAAATCTAGACTGAAGATGCTAAGCAAATCGTAAACAGGATAAACCCAAAGTAATTAACATAATAAACACATCATAAAACTTCTGAAACTTAACAACACAGAAAAAAACTTTGAAGGCAGCAAGAGGGTAATGAAATATTTCTAATAGAAGTAAAAATTTCTGAATAACAGTAGATTTCTCATCAGAAACTGTGCAGCCCAGAAGAAGATGACACAATATTTTCCAAAAACTAAAAGAAAACAGCTCTAAACTCAGAATTCAATATCCAGGGAAAATATCCTTCAACAGTGAAGGGAAAAATGGCCGGGTGCGGTGGCTCATGCCTGTAATCCCAGCACTTTGGGAGGCCAAGGTGGGCAGATCACGAGGTCAGGAGATGGAGACCATCCTGGCTAACACGGTGAAACCCCGTCTCTACTAAAAATACAAAAAATTAGCCGGACGTGGTGGCGGACGCCTGTAGTCCCAGCTACTCAGGAGGCTAAGGCAGGAGAATGGCGCGAACTGGGAGGCGGAGGTTGCAGTGAGCCGAGATTGTGCCACTGCCCTCCAGCCTGGGCCACAGAGCAAGACTCCGTCTCAAAAAAAAAAAAAAAAAAAAAAAACAAGAGTGAAGGGAAACTCAAGACATTCTCAGATGAAGGAAAATTAAGAGAATTTGTTGCCAGTAAATCTACCCCAATAGAATAGAAAATTTACAAATTAAAAAAAAAGGTACAAAAGAAGGAATCTTAAAACATCAGGAAGAAAGAACAATAGAAAGAGCAAAGTATGGGTCAATTCAACAGACTTTCCTTCTGATCCTGAGTTTTCTCAAATATGTTTGACAGTTATGGCAAAAATTAGAACATGGTCTGATGTGGTTCTCAATGTAGGTACAGGAAATGTTAAAAACAGTAATATCAAAAAATAAAGGAGGATAAAGAGATGTAAAGGAAGGAAACGTTTCTATACCTCTCTCAAACTGCGAAATGATAACTCCAGAAGAATCTGAAAATACACACACACACACACACACAGAGTAATACCCAGAGCAACCACTGTGAAAGCCATGTGAAGAGAGACACTCAAAACCACTATAGATGCATCCAAATGGAATTATAGTGAATGTTCATGTAACTGACTGGAAGGCAGAAAGAAAAAGAAAATATAAAAATGAAAACTAGAAGGAATAACCAGAAAACAAAAAATAAAAATGGCAAACTTAAGATATGACAGATCAATAATCATATTAAATGTAAATAAATTAAGTAAAACAATTAAAAGACAGATATTGGCAAAGTGAATTTTAAAAAGCACACCCCAGGCCGGACACAGTGGCTCATGCCTGTAATCCCAGCATTTTAGGAGGCCGAGGCGAGCGGATCAGGAGGTCAGGAGATCAAGACCATCCTGGCTAACATGGTGAAACCCTGTCTCTACTAAAAATACAAAAAATTAGCTGGGTGTGGTGGCCCGACCCTGTAGTCCCAGCTACTTGGGAGGCCGAGGCACAAGAATTGCTTGAACCTGGGAGGCAGAGGTTGCACTGAGCTGAGATTGCGCCACTGCACTCCAGCCTGGGCAACAGAGTGAGACTCTGTCTCACACACACACACACACAAACACACACACACACAAGGCCTGGCGCGGTGGCTCACACCTGTAATCCCAGCACTTTAGGAGGCTGAGGCGGATGGATCACAAGGTCAGGAATTCGAGACCAGCCTGACCAACATCAACATGGTGAAACCCCGTTTCTACTAAAAATACAAAAATTAGCCAGGCGTGGTGGTGTGCACCTGTATTCCCAGCTACTCAGGAGGCTGAGGCAGGAGAATCACTTGAACCCGGGAGGTGGAGGTTGCAGTGAGCCGAGACCGCACCATTGCACTCCAGCCTGGGTGACAGAGGGAGACTCTGTCTCAAAAAAAAAAAAAAAAAAAAAAAAAGAAGCACACCCCAATGACATGCTGTCAACAAGAAAACCCCCTTCAAATACAATGATATAAGCAGGTGGAAATTAAAAAGTGGGAAAAGATATATCATGCATACATTAATTTTAAACAAACAAAAGTGGCTATATTAATATCAGTTAAAGTAATATCAGAGCAAAGTAAATTAACAGGGTCAGAGAGAAACATTACATAATAATAAAAGAGTCAATCGACCAAGAAGATACAGAAATCTCAAACGTGTATGTACCAACCATCAGATCTGCAAAATACACGAAGCAAAGACTGACAGAATTGAAAGGAAAAATAGACAAATCCACATTTACAGTTGGAGACTTCAACATCCCTCTCTCAATAATTGATTTTTAAAAATCAGCTAGATAAAAAATCAGCAAGGGTATAGAGGAATTCAACAACAACAGCAACAAACAGAATCTAATTGACATTTATAGAACACGATCCCCCCGCAAAAAAAAAAAAAATACACATTCATTTCAAGTGCCCATGGAACTTTCACCAAAATAGATGATGCCCTCAATTGTAAAACAAATCTCAGCAAATAAAATAAGAATTGAACTCATAACACAGTATGTTCTCTGACCACAATGGGATCAAACTAGAAATCAGTGACAAGAATAACAGAACAACAGGGCCAGGCGTGGTGGCTCATGCCTGTAATCCTAGCACTTTGGGAGGCCGAGGCGGGTGGATCACGAGGTCAGGAGATCCAGACCATCCTGGCTAACACAGTGTAACGCTGTCTCTACTAAAAATACAAAAAATTAGCCGGGCGTGGTGGCAGGCGCCTGTAGTCCCAGCTACTCGGGAGGCTGAGGCAAGAGAATGGCATGAACCCGGGAGGCGGAGCTTGCAGTGAGCCGAGATCGTGCCACTTCCCTCCAGCCCGGGCGACAGAGCAAGACTGCATCTCAAAATAAATAAATAAATAATAACAGAACAATCTCCAAACACTTGGAAACGAAACGACATACCTCATGGATCAAAGATGAAGGTTTAATCAAAATAAAAAAAAAACACTGAACTGAATGAAAACGAAAATACAACACATCAAAATTTGTGGGCCAGGTGTGGTGGCTCACACCTGTAATACCAGCAATTTGAGAGGCAAACATGGGGACAATAACCTGAGGCCAGGAGTTCAAGACCACCCTGAGCAACGTAGGGACATTCTGTCTCTATTTAAAATAGATATATTCATTTTTAAATTTATATATAATAAGTGTACATATTATATACATAAATATATTGTATTATATATTATATTTCATTATATATTTTATTATACATAAAATACAATATTATATACTATTTAATAAAATATATATTGTACATATATAGGGAGAGAGACAGATGATATATATAGAATAGATGATACCATATATACATATATACGTGGGTCACAGCTAAAATATATATATATATATATATATATATATATATATGGGCCACAGCTAAAACTGAAAGGTAAATTTATAACACTATTTAATATTAGAAAAGAGGAAAAGCTTAAAAGTCAATACTCTAAGCACCCACCTCAATACTAGAAAAAGAAGAGAAAAATAAATCCAATGCAAGCATAACTTAGGAAAAAATAATGATAAAAGCAGAAATCAGTGAAATTAAAAACAGAAAAACCAATAGTAAAAATCAATTAAATGAAGTCTGGTTCTTTGAAAAGATTAAAAACCTGGCAAACCTCTACCAAGATTGACAAAGAAAAAGAAGACACAAATTAGCAATATCAGAAATGACATAGATTAATAAATTTTACAGATCTGCTGTACAACAGAGTGCCTGTAGTTAACAGCATTGGGCACTTCAAAATTTGTTAAGAGGGTAGATATCATGTTAAGTGTTCTTGCCAAGAAAACACCCAACAACAACAAAGGAACACAAGGAAACTTTGGCTGGTGTTGGATGTGTCTACTACCTTGATTATGGTAATGGAATAATGAGTGTTTATATATGAACAAGTTCGTCAAATTATACACATTAAATATATGCAGTTCTTTGTATTAATATATCAATTATACCTCAATAAAAGTTTTTTTAAAAGAAATAAAACAGGGGATTATGCTACAGACCCTACTGACATAAAAAGGATAAAGGAATACTTTAAACAACACTACACACATAAATTTGACAACTTAAAAGAAATGGATGAATTCCTTCGAAAGCACACTGCTATAACACACCCAATAGGAAATACATCATTTGAATAGTCCCAGTTTTAAATAAATTAAATTATTAATTTTTAAATTTCCCAAAAGAAAAATCTCCAGGCCCAGATGATTTCACTGGATAATTAAACAAAATATTTAAAGAACAATTAATACCAATTCTACATATGTCTCTTCCATAAAATAGAAAAGGGAACAATTCTCAACTTCTTATATGAGAACACTTTTACAGTGATGCCAAAACCATCCAAAGATAATACAAAATAAGAAAACTCCATGGCCAATATCCCTCATGAATATAGAAACAAAATTCTTAACAAGATATTAGCAAACAAATTTGAGCAACATATTAAAAGTATTATTTAATATATACCATGACCAAGTGGGATTTATCCCAGGGATGCAAGGCTAGTTTGAAAAATCAATCCATGTAATCCAACATAGACATTGTCTTATACACTGAGAACTACAAAACATCATTAAGAGAAAGACCTAAATAAATGGAAAGATGTCCCGTGTTCATTGATCAGCTTACTTAATATTGTTAAGATAGCAATAATGCCCAGATTGATCTACAGAATCAAGACAATCCCTATCAAAATCTGTGTGGAACAGAGATAACATATCAGCCCTAAGAATATTGTCATTTGAAAATCCTGCTTACAAAGGTTGGCCTTTGGCTAGCATCTGGGAAGTTGGATTTGGAGAGGATTACCACAACACCAATTGATAAGATGAGCTCACTTTGCCTTATGGCTTATGGTGAACACAAGATTTCCTCCTAGAAATCTGAAATTTTGGTATGTGTTAGGCAGAAGGTGCCTGTATGACCAGTCCTCAATAAAAACCCTTGCCACTAATTCTCCAATGAGCTGCCCTCACAGACAACATTTCACACATGTTGTCACAGCTTGTTGCTGGAAAATGTTATGTTGAGAAGCCAGTCACAAAAGACCACATATTGTATGATTCAATTTATATTGAATATCCAGAATAGGCAAATATATAGAGACAGAAAGTAGATTAGTGGTTGCCTAAAGCTGGGATGTATAGGGGTGGAGGGGTGGCTGGGGTGTGATAGATAAAGGGTATAAGGTTTCTTCTGGGGATGATTAAAAAAGCTCTAAATTGATCATGGTGATGGTTGTCCAACTCTGTGACACAGGATACTAAAAAAAATTGAGTTGTACACTTTAAATGACAAGTTACATGGTATATAAATTATATTTCAACAAAGCTGTTATAAAAAATAACATAGTAGCTAATAAAGTATATCAATTCCTAAAAACTGTTACATTGAAGAGTGGCAAGGATAGATTCAATGAAACCAGTTAGTCAGTTACTACAATAATCCAGGTAGTTTGGATCAGCAGGATTCAACGTCCTTGGCCTTGACTAAGCACCTTTTTATGGTCTCATGCTAGCAATTCTTCAAGAACCATTACCACTTATTTTCAATTATGTAAATATCGTTAAGGATTTACTAGTATATATGAACCTGTGCTATCCTTAGCAGGGTAAGTGAAAATGGGCAAAACGCAGTCATTCTCTTCAAGAAGTCCTGTTTTTGGAAAGATAAAGCTCATAATGAAACAAATACACCACAAGGCAGAATGTGATGTGTGAATTATAAATTCACTAGGTGAATGTAAAACTGTTGAGAATTTCAGAAGACACATATGATTGAGTTCACTCTTATTATCAACACCATCACTATTGTCATAATCATCTCAACATCACCAGAAGTTACTGAGTGTGTAAACACATGAGCCACTGCTAGGTTGTACACACAAGTTACTGCCTTCCTTGAACCCATACACATCTTCATGATGGAAATATTAAGGAAATGTATCAATAAATACGACATACACAAAAATGCAGTTTTTAGGATGGGGAGTGATTCTGTCAAAGAGAAATCACCAATTTCCCTTTTAATTGGATGAATGCCTTCTCAAGACGGCTTTTATATGGGGTGTTCTCTTACTGCATAGGAACACGTTTTCCAACAGCTGCGATCTCCTAGTGGCCACATGAAGTCATTACCCCGATTCATCATCCTGACTTGAGAGCAAGACGCAAAGGAGGCTGGAGTGCAGTTGGTGAGATCACTCCTCATTGCAGCATCAACCTCCTGGGCTCAAGCGATCCTCCCACCTCAGGCTCCTGAGTAACCGGTACTACAGGAGGGTGCCACAACACCAGGCTAATATTTTGTTTGTTTGTTTGTTTGGTAGAGACCGAGGTTTTGCTATGTTACCCAGGCTGGTCTCAAACTCAAACTCCTGTCCTCAAGCAATCCTCCTGCCTCAGCCTCCCAAAGTGCTGGGATTACAAGTGTGAGCCACCGCACCCGGCTGTAATGTTTAAAACATGCATTCACTGATATACTATGTGCAGGGCAGGATAAAGATTTTTTCACGAAATAATACTATAGTGAAGGTTTTTGTGTTTTGTTTTGTTTTGTTTTTTTCTTTTGAGACAGAGTCTTGCTCTGTCAGCCAGGCTGGAGTGCAGTGGCGTGATCTAGGCTCACTGTAGATTTTGCCTCTGGGTTTCAAGCGATTCTCCTGCTTCAGCCTCCAGAGTAGCTGGGATTACAGGTGACCGCCACCATGCCCGGCTAATTTTTGTATTTTTAGTAGAGACAGGGTATTGCCATATTGGCCAGGCTGGTCTTGAATTCCTGAGCTCAAAGCAATCCACCTGCCTTGGCCTCCCAAAGTGCTGCAATTACAGGTGTGAGCCACTGCACCAGGCCTCAAGTACTTTTTTAAAGGTTATTTTGTCAGATGTTCCAGACAAGTTTGTTGGTTTGACAGGGAGGAAAAAAAATCTGATTAAAGGCTAAGTTTCCTCAGCCAGTTTTCCACCCACATCTCCAGCGTGACTCGTTATATTTCTATATTTATAATATATAATCAATATGTAAGGCAAAAAGCTCTGGTCATAGCTAACAAAACAAAATCTTTATCATTCCCTGCAGACAGTATATCAGTGAATGAATGTTTTAAACATTACAGCCAGAATTTAAACACAAGCAGTCTGATTCCAGAGAACAAACATGACCAGTACCCCATATCTGCCTCCTTGATAGATAACTGAAAAAAATCTGTTCGCTAAGTAAATGAATATATTCTCGTAAAGGTCATCATTGTAGACAAGTAACCCATTGGGATGCACATAAAGGACACATAGCATTAACACAAGTCACCCTAAGTTTTTAGTCATGAGAGGAAAAGGTCTATCCACCAAAACCACAGCAATACAAAAATCACAAAGCAAGCAATTTCGTTCTATTTTTTTCTAGCTTTTCACATCAACAACAACAAAAAAAATTATTGAGTAAAAGTTGTGATTTTTCCAAAATTTTTTAAACATATTTTTCCCTTAGCTGGCATACCTCCAGTTGACTTAAACTTTTCTTTGGGTACCATCCTGAGAAGATACTGAGAAAAGAGAAGACAGCCCTTTGACTCCACAATTTGTCAATATTCCCCTCCTCCCAGGTATACAACATTCTCATAAACTCTCCTTTCTTCTCCTCCCTATACCTCTGTATTAAAGCCTAATAGAGAAGGTCTGTTATTATCTACCTTACTTTTACATGAAAATAGATTACAGATGGATCCAAGATTTGAATGTAAAAATGAAACCATGAAAATACCAGACAAGCTACAAAAGAATATTTCCATAATCTTGCAAAAGGAAGAAAAACTTTCAAAACAGGATGAGAAATTTTTTAGTAGCTAAAAATTTTTAAATTTCTGTTTGGCAAATGTCAATACTCTAAGCACCCACCTCAATACTAGAAAAAGAAGAGAAAAGTAAATCCAATGCAAGCATAAGGTAGGGAATAATAATGATAAA
The DNA here is from genome assembly GCF_000001405.40 of Homo sapiens. Taxonomy (NCBI): domain Eukaryota; kingdom Metazoa; phylum Chordata; class Mammalia; order Primates; family Hominidae; genus Homo; species Homo sapiens. Next base: position 50,209,870 of record NC_000023.11, on the reverse strand, counting down.
AGCAGAAATCAATGAAATTAAAAACAGAAAAACCAAGAGTAAAAATCAATGAAATAAAGTCAGGTTCTCTGAAAAGATCAAAAGCCTAACAAACCTCTAGCAAGATTGACAAAGAAAAAGAAGACACAAATTAGCAATATCAGAAATGACATAGATGAATAAATTTTAGAGATCTGCTGTACAACCCAGTGCCTATAGTTAACAATATAGTATTGGGCCAGGCGCAGTGGCTCATGCCTGTAATCCCGACACTTTGGGAGACCAAGGCGGGTGGATCACTTGAGGTCAGGAGTTTAAGACCAGCCTGGCCAACATGGTGAAACCCCATCGCTACTAAAAATACAAAAATTAGCCAGGCGTAGTGGCGGGTACCTATAATCTCAGCTACTCAGGAGGCTGAGGCAGGAGAATCTCTTGAACCCAGGAGGCAGAGGTTGCAGTGAGCTGAGATCGCGCCACTGCACCCCAGTCTGGGTGACAGAGTGAGATACCATCTCAAACAAACAAACAAACAAACAAAAAACAATCCAGTATTGGGCACTACAAAATTTGTTAAGAGGGTCGATATCATGTTAAGTGTTCTTAACAAAAATACACCCAACAACAAGGGGACACAAGGAAACTTTGGGAGGTGTTGGATGTGACTGCTACCTTGATTATGGTAATGGAATCATGGGTGTTTACATATGAAGAAGCTTGTCAAACTGTACACGTTAAATATATGCAGCTCTTTGTATTAATATATCAATGATACCTCAATGAAAGGTTTTTTAAAAGAAATAAAACAAGGGATTCCACTACAGACCCTACTGACATAAAAAGGATAGGGGAATACAATGAACGACTCTACACACATAAAGTTGACAACTTAAAGAAATGGATGAATTCCTTGGAAAGCACAAACTGCCACAACACACCCAATAGGAAATATATCATTTGAATAGTCCCAGTTTTAAATAAATTCAATTATTAATTTTAAAATTCCCCAAAAGAGTAATCTCCGGGCCCAGATGATTTCACTGGAGAATTAAACAAAATATTTAAAGAACAACACCAATTCTACATCTGTCACTTCCAGAAAATAGAAAAGGGAGCACTTCCCAACATATTATATGAGAACACTTTTACTGTGATGCCAAAACCATCCAAAGATAATACAAAATAGGAAAACTACAGAACAATATCCCTCGTGAATATAGAAACAAAATTCTTAGCAAGATATTAGCAAACAAATTTGAGCAACATATTAAAAGTATTATTTAACATATACCATGACCAAGTGGGATATCTCCCAGGGATGCAAGGCTAGTTTGAAAAATCAACCCATGTAATCCAACATCGATATTGTCTTGTACACTGAGAACTACAAAACATCATTAAGAGAAAGACCTAAATAAATGGAAAGATGTTCCGTGTTCATTGATCAGCTTACTTAATATTAAGATGGCAATACTGCCCAGATTGATCTACAGAATCAACACAATCCATATCAAAATCTGTGTGGTTCAGGGTTAACATATCAGACCTAAGAATATTGTCATTTGAAAATCCTGCTTACAAAGGTTGGCCCTTGGCTAGTATCTGGAAACTTGGATTTGGGGAGGGTTCCCACAACACTAATTGATAATATGAGCTCACTTTGCCTTATGGTTTATGGTGAACACCAGATTTCCTCCTAGAAATCTGAAATTTCGGTATGTGCTAGGCAGGAGGTGCCTGTATCACCAGCCCCCAATAAAAACCCTTGCCACTGATTCTCCAATGAGCTTCCCTCACAGACATTTCACACATGTTGCTACAGCTCATTGCTGGAAAAAGTTTTGCTACGAAGCCAGTCACCAAAGACCACATATTGTATTATTCCATTTATACTGAATGTCTGGAATAGGCAAACCTATAGAGACAGAAAGTAGATTAGTGGTTGCCTAAAGCTGGGAGATATAGGGGTGGAGGGGTGGCTGGAGTGTGATGGACAAAGGGTATAGGGTTTCTTCTGGGGGTGATTAAAAAAGCTCTAAATTGATTATGGTAATGGTTGTACAACTCTGTGACACAATATACTAAAAAAATTGAGTTGTACACTTTAAATGAGTGAGTTACATGGTATATGAATCATATTTCAACAAAGCTATTATAAAAAATAACAGAGTAGCTAATAAAGTATATCAGTTCCTAAAAACTGTTACATTGAAGAGTGGCAAGGATAGATTCAGTGGAATCAGTTAGCCAGTTATTACAATAATCCAGGCAGTTTGGATCAGGATGACCCAATGTTTTTGGCCTTGACCAAGCACTTCTATGTGGTCCTGGGGCTAGCAATTCTTGAAGAACCATTACCACTTATTTTCAATTATGTAAATATCATTAGGCATTTGCTAATATATATGAACCTGTGCTACCCTTAGCAGGGTAAGTGAAAATGGGCAAAACACAGTCATTCTCTTCAAGAAGTCCTGTTTTTGGAAAGATAAAGCTCATAATGAAACAAATACACCACAAGGCAGAATGTGATATGTGAATTTATAAATTCACTAGGTGAATGTAAAACTGTTGAGAATTTCAGAAGACACAAATGATTGAGTCCACTCTTATAATCAACACCATCACTATTGTCATAATCATCTCAACATCACCAAGAGTTACTGAGTGTCTAAGCACATGAGCCACTGCTAGGTTGTACACAGAGACAGTTACTGCCTTCCTTGAACCTATACATATCTTCATAATGGAAATATTAAGGAAATGTATCAATAAATACGACATACACAAAAATGCAGTTTTTAGGATGGGGAGTGATTCTGTCAAGAGAAATCACCAATTTCCCTTTTAATTGGAGGAACACCTTCTCAAGACGGCTTTTTTACGGGGTGTTCTCCTACTGCATGGGAATACGTTTTCCAACAGCTGCGACCTCCTAGTGACCACATGAAGTCATTACCCCGATTCATCATCCTGACTTGAGAGCAAGAGGCACAGGAGGCTGGAGTGCAGTTGGCGAGATCACTCCTCATTACAGCATCAACCTCCCATGCTCAAGCGATCCTCCCACCTCAGCCTCCGGAGTAACTGGGACTACAGGCACGCGCCACCACACCCAGCTAATTTTTTTTTTCTTTTGGTAGAAATGGAGGTTTTGCTCTGTTGCCCAGGCTGGTCTCAAACTCAGACTCTTGCCTTCAAGCAATACTCCCACCTCAGCCTCTCAAAGTGCTGGAATTACAAGAGTGAGCCACCGTGCCCAGCTGTCATAAAGTAATACTATATTTCATTTTTATTATTTTTTCTTTTGAGACAGTCTTGCTCTGTCGTCCTGGCTGGAGTGCAGTGGCATGATCTCGGCTCACTGCAACCTCCCACTCCCAGGCTCAAGTGATCCTCCCACCTCAGCCTCCCGAGTAACTGGGACTACAGGCGGGCACCACAACACACTGCTAATTTTATTTTATTTCATTTATTTTTTGGTAGAGACGGAAGTTTTGCTATGTTGCCCAGGCTGGTCTCAAAGTCCTGCCCTCAAGCTTTCTTCCCGCCTCAGCCTCCGAAGGTGCTGGTATTACAGGAGTGAGCCGCAGCGCCCAGCTGTTACCAAGTAATAGTATATTTTATTTATTTATTTATTTATTTATTTTGAGATGGAATCTCGCTCTGTCGCCAGGCTGGAGTGCAGTGGCGCCATCCCGGCTCACTGCAACCTCTGTCTCCCGGGCTCAAGTGATTTTCCTGCCTCAGCCTCCCAAGTAGCTATAGACGCATGCCACCATGTCCCGCTAGTTTTTGCATTTTTAGTAGAGACGGGGTTTCACCTTGTTGGCCAGGATGGTCTCGATCTTTTGATCTCGTGATCCGCCTGCCTCAGCCTCCCAAAGTGCTGGCACTACAGGCGTGAGCTACCGTGCCCAGCTATTTAATTTTTTTTTCTTTTGAGACAAGAGTCTCACTCTGTCGTTCAGGCTGGAGTGCAGTGGCACGATCTCGTCTCACTACAACCTCTGCCTCCTGGACTCAAGTGATTCTCCTGCCTTAGCCTCCCAAGTAGCTACAGACGCATGCCACCATGCCCAGCTAATTTTTGTATTGTTAATAGAGACGGGGTTTCACCATGTTGGCCAGGATGGTCTCGATCTCTTGACCTCGTGATCCGCCTGCCTCAGCCTCCCAAAGTGCTGGGATTACAGGCGTGAGCCACTGCGCCTGGCTATTTAATTCTTTTTCTTTTGAGACAAGAGTCTTACTCTGTCGCCCAGGCTGGAGTGCAGTGGCGCCATCTTGGCTCACTGCAACCTTTGCCTCCCAGTTCAAGCCATCCTCCTGCCGCAGCCACTGCACCCAGCTGTAATGTTTAATACATTCATTCACTGATACACTATCTGCAGGGCAGGATAAACATTTTGTCACCAAGTAACTGTATATTTAAGTTTTTTTTTTCTTTTGAGACAGAGTCTTGCTCTGTCACCCAGGATGGAGTGCAGTGGCACCATCTTGGCTCACTGCAACTCTGCCTCCCAGTTTCAAGCGATTCTTCCGCCTCAGCCTCCCGAGTAGCTGGGACTACAGGCGCGCGCTACCACGCCCGGCTAATTTTTGTCTTTTTAGTAGAGACGGGGTTTCGCCATGGTGGTCAAGCTGGTCTCGAATTCCTGAGCTCAGGTGATCTGCCCGCCCCGGCCTCCCAAAGTGCTGGGATTACAGGCGTGAGCCACCACGGTCAGCCTGAAGTACTTTTTAAAGGTTATTTTTTCAGATGTTCCAGAAAAGTTTGTTGGTTTGACAGGGAGGAAATAAACTAATTAAAGGCTAGTTCCCTCAGCCAGTTTTCCTCCCACATCTCCAGCCTGACACAGGATATACTTCTATATTTATAATATATAATCAATATATAAGGCAAAAAGCTCTCGTCACGACTGACAATACATGTTGTACCTTTAACAAGCCACAAATGGACTGGAAGAAAAGCTATTAGCAGAATGTTCTCCACCTATCGGAAACTGAAAGAAAACAATACAAAAATAAACCAATCAAAATGTAGATGAGGAACAGAGAGAGAGAGAGAGAGAGGCGACCAACCGCCTCAGCCCAACTGTCTCAGAATGACGGAAATGCTTCCACAGAAATGCACCTCAGAACAACTGGTACGAGAGGCGGCCGGATTGACCCCACCATTCTCACCAGCAGGGGGAGATCACGAATCAGCGCTTTTTTTTTTTTTTTTTTTAGTCAGACTTAAAACCACCAGATGGGGCCAGAAGATCAGAGTAAATACCTTTCTACTTTTCTTTTTCTCAGGGAATTTCTCTTCTATCTCCAGACCCTGAAAGAAATAAAAGGCATGCTAATCACCACACACACACACGCGCGCGCCCCGCCACCCCCACCCCCAAGACGATGGAAGTGGCCAGTGCTGCCAAGCACCCCCACCAGTCACGTGGCCTCTGCGCTCCAGCGAGTCATTTATAATTAAAGTGGTAGGCATTTCATAAGGCTGTGCGTGAATTGAGATAATGCATGTAATACACAGTACCAGGCAAATTCTCAGTCCCCACTCCAGACCCGTAGAATGAGAAACTGAAGCCCTCCAGGTGATTCTGATGCACGCCAAAGTGTGACAATTACTGCTCTGGGAAAGAAGCCTGCCCACTCAGATAGCTAACCAAGTTTTTTGGTCATTTTTACAGATCCCATGACGCTGTGATTTCTGAATTATGTTTTCTGCCCTAAAAATTCCAAAACCTTGTGTCTTGAGCCCACCTGTGTGCCCAGTATTGTGGTGGATGCAATGAAAAAGAGATAGATAACCTTCTAGGCTTGCAATGTAGGTAATCTAGGAATAGGAAAAGGTAATTAACTCTACAAGGCCAGATTTAGTAAATGTCAGATGAATTATCCTGACAATAAGCAAATGTTCTAGGAAATCAGGGGAAGGAAATTTCATAATTATAAAAGGGAAGAGCCTGACCAGAAATAGCCACTGCCAAGCCAAGCCCACCCCTCAAAATTAGCCATAAGTCATTTTCTACCGCAAGGTTATGGAACAGAACTTTAGCTGCCTAATTAAGCCCCTGCCTATAAAAGAACCCCTAACATTCCTAAGACTCCACTTATCTTTAGCAGTTGCCCCCTGAAATTTTTTTATGATAATGTTTATAGACTTTAAAAGTCCTTTATTTTCCCCCTCCACTCCTCCAATCACTCATAGGAAAGAAAAAATATGTACAATGCAGACAAAACACAAACACTTGACAGAAGTAATTATACAGTTCCACTGCCAAGATGTTCAAAATGACTAATTTTTCACTTTAGTATGGTTGCATGAAGCTGCTCTAAATGTCATTGTGTACTCTCATGGCAGGAAAACCAAATCAGGAGAAAAAGAAGTGGTGTTCCCAATTATATTGGTCCACAGTAAATGATGTCTGATAATCATTGGCATCACTGCCCATTTTCTAAATGGTCATTGTGTCATCACATAAAAGGTAGGCTAAATCTGAGGCTGGAAGACACCCAGCAAGACTACCAGACAGACAGTGATTTCATGAAGGCTGATGGTTCACTTCATTTAATTTCCTTTTGCCATTATTCATGATAATTATATTATAAACGCAGGTCCCATTTTTATTATCTTCATAGTTTTTTCTAGCCAAATGCAAACCGAGAGTGTATTTAAAGTATTGATTTGCACTCTTATTCACAAGTTTGTGTGAAAGAGAAGAAGTTTGGGTAGAATAAACAAGGTTACAAAATAGATGATGGTGCTTAGAAAAAAAATGATGACCAAGGCTTTTGTGTTTAATATCTCAATATTTGGCTATTAAAGGCAAACCTAAGTGCAGACTATTCACACACCTTCACACACTAATACAATATATTCCTTACTTTGACTATTTGAATATCCCTTATCCCTCACCTGCCCTCCACCCCCTCTACTCAGTACAGACCAATTTGAGAGCCTCGAGAAGAGAAGGAAGAGGCAGTAAATGTACCGTGACCTATGACTGAGCCAGGTCTGCCTTGATTCTTCCCTTACATTTTGCTCATTGGTTTCACATCCAAATGCTGCCCTTACCTGCTCCTGGTTAGCCTCCAGGATGACAGGATTCAGGTGCCCTGGGAGAGTGCTCTAATCATCCATAGTAGTTCTCTCTTTGTCATCTGGGGATTACTAAGACATTTTCCAGGCATGAATCATGGTTGTTCCTTTCCGGGCTGGGAGACACAGAGTTTTTGTTTTTGTTTTTGTTTTGTTTTATTTTTAATCTCTTAGAGATATGATTTCTTGTGCTTGGAGAATAGGTAAACATTTTCTTCCTTTGCTTCATATTCCACAGAGATGAGCCAGACACAGGAGCTCCAACTTTGTCTTTAATCATCAAAAGTTGCCCCTTGACAAAAGGATGGTATAGGAAAAGCAACAAAGACCCTCTTCATGATCAAACTTTAGTCAGGCTTCTCTAAGCCCACTTCTCAGCTAGGCCTCAACTTTGGCCTATAAGAACTGCAACTTTCGGCACAATTTCATCCACCTGCCCCCCAATACATACACACACTAAGAGACTTGAACAAACACCAGCGTAGTTTCTATCAGCTCAAGGCCATTTCCCTAGGATGACAATCTCAGCCCTTTTAAAATGCCTTCCTGAGACAGTTCAAAGCTGCCAAAAGGCCATTTCCCTAGTATGACAATCCTAGCCCCCCTTAAAATGCCTTCCTGAGACAGTTCATTGCTGCCAAAAGAATTTACTGTTTGTTCAGGCCAAAACCTGACTACAGGCCCTGACTCCCTTCCTTACAGCATGTACTTTAGAAAACTTGCAATTGTAAATTCTTTCTCTCTTCTTTTAAGATGTATCTTCTACAACCCAGGACTGTCTTTCTCAACAACCTGGAAGCCATCCCTTTGTAATGTAATGATCAAGAAAAATAGGGTCCATGTCTCCCTGTCTCTATGGGAAGGTAGGAGCTTAGCTTTCTTTTCTTTTCTTTTTTTGATTTTACTTTCTTTCATTTCTTTCTTTATAGTTCTTAATTATGTTTTTCTTTATAAACCTGACATTGTGAACATAGGGAACCTAACTTTAATAAGCACCCATTAGCAAACACAGATGCCCCAATACATTGACCAAGCTCACCCCCACTCAATGTCCTTCGGTACTTTTCCTTAGCACACCCTGCCTTTTGTTTCAGTGGAGTTGAGATCTGTTCATCAGAAGTCTCTCTCCTCTACTGCAGTGGCCTGAATAAAATCTGTCTTGCCGCCTCTAACAAATTCCAGGCTCTGTTTCTGTTTGACACCATGAGCTAACAGGATCAAAATAATATAGCGGAGTTAGAGATGCAATCTCAGGGGCAACAGGAAAAAGAATAAATGGAGGTAGAACCAAGAATATGGAACTCTTTTAGGGGATCATCTCAACTGATTGTTAATTCAGATGCATTTATTTACATGCATGCAGTATTAAAGTGGAGACATGGAGAAAAGACAAGGAAAGATGAGACTTGGGCAGAGTGAGAGACATTTGGTTGTGGGATAATATTTCCAAACTGGGGCTAAACTCAGTAAGATGAGATGAAGGCATCTCAAAGTGTAATGGATAAATCTCTAACACATACTGCAGCCAACAAACCAGCACTGGCCAGATTGAAAAGATTAAGTGGAGCTTAAGTCTTTTCATGGCCTAGGGAGTCTGTAAAAGACAGACCCTGTCTCAACTAGATCAGCCTTTCTCTGGACAACTTATTTCTCATAGGGAAGGTCAGAGCCTGCTAGACCACTTAGAGCACACAGAATCCTTAGAGCCCTCCATCTTTGTGCTGTCACTGTTCTCTATAGAAACGGTGATGTCAAGAAGAGGTAACTCTGGTACCAGCTGGCAGTCAAGGCTGTAGGAGGGCATGGAGAGTTGAAGAAAAAAGCAGTATCTTGAGGCAGACTGGAAGAGTCATCACAGCATCCAAATCAACAAGAAAACATCATTCCAGGGTCCTACATGATGGCGTACTCTGATACTACAATGGTAGGGACATCTGACTTCTTTTTGACTAGCTAAGGGGGCATCTTAATGGTGAGGTGAAACTACAGAAGCTGCTGAGGCAGCCTCCAAGTTTCTATTTTCATACTTTTATTTGGGATACCCAGAAAAGATTTTGATCAACATTTCTCTGTTTCTACGTAAATCTAAAGATCTCTTGCAATATAACTCTGATTCTCTAGTAGGGGTATGATTAGATTGTTCTGGAGGTCTCGCAGGAAATGAAAAGAGAAGGGATATCTTGATGGACTGTGAGCCAGAGAAAATGTGAGAAAAATGGTGTGTACCCTCATAGAGATAACAGAAAAAGTTTGTCGCACCACAGGCAGCCTGATGTGCTTTTGATGGGAATAGGTTTCTGAGTTTGCCAACATGCCCACCTTTGCTTAGGTTGTGACAGTTCAGGCATTGTGACCCAACAAACTCTGTTGCCACACCCCAGGGTCAGAGGCAGCAGGGGAAAGCCTGGCCCCTCAGTCTGGTCCAACAGCTGACAGGGGTGGCAGCCAACTGCAGGTGCCCAAGAACTTGGCACTTCTCAGTTCCATCTAAAGGGGCACATCTCCCTTCTGGGTGTCACGTTTTCAGCCAAACATCTAAAAGAACTTCATCATCAAGGTAATGAGTTCATAAATTTTATTTTTCACAGTTCTTTTGGACTTGGACTTAGGCTGTTTCTGAATCACATGAGGGACTCTATGCCTCCACCTCTTTTTTTACTAGGCTAGTGTTCCCTATGTAGCTCTTGGAAAAAAAGAAACTCCCTCTTCAGAGTGAGTCTTTTCCTATAACTTTTTCAAGGTTTCACAGAGATTCCTGAAGGAAGAGTTCAAAAAGATCTTGGTTGGAGGCAGGGATGGTAAAGAGCAGGAATGTAGTATTATCATGTGAAAGGATAGCCATTAGAGAATAGCTATTATTAATATGCTGTAGGGGAATAGAGAAGGGGTGGAAGGAAAGAAGGAGGGAGAAAGAGAAGGGGAGGGAGGGGGAGGGAAGAGGGAGAAAGGGGAGGGGGAGAAAGGGGGAGGGAATGGAAAGGGGAGGGAGGGAGGGGAGTGGGGAGAGAGGGGAGGGGAAGGGCAGAAGGGAGAGCGGGAGTGGGGAGGGTGGGAGGGGGAATTCAATAGCCCTCTAATACTTGGCAAAAAGGATTTCTCTTGTTAAAATTTAAAAAGAAATCAAATTCAAGCCCCAGATACCAAAAACAAGTCTACTGAGCTCTTAACTGTGTGTTCTAAGCATAAATCTCAGGTCTTACGTAGCAAAAATCAGTCACTGGCTTTTGTCATTTCCTTTTTACTTTTAGTTCCAGACTGGGTTGGGAGGTGGTGGCAGGGGGTGATGGTGGAAGGAAGTTGGCAGAGATTATTTTTTCTTTCTAAAATAAATTAAACTTGATCCTATTGGATCAGGGTCTGGTCTTCCCTCAGATTTCTGTCTCTCGGTGTTATATTTATGGTTATTAGACTGGGTTTTCTCAGCATTCAAAATCTTGTTCTATATATTGAAATTGTATATGTTGTTTTAATAAAAGGGCTATTTATTTACTGCTATTGACTTTAGTATTTTCCAATGGCTCTGAGTGATGTGTTATAGCTATTTATCTAATTTCACTTTCTTTAGTGTAATGGGAAAGACTGGTTGAACTGGAGTTAGCTAGAATTAAGTTAGAGGGGGTAACGTGAGCTGGAGTTTTTTGAAGGTACTCGAGGGGGTAAAGAAATGTGGAGATCAGAGACATTTAGTTAGTAGAGTTGGGTAGAAGTAAATCACTAAATGTAATCCCCAAAGTCACTAGATTTCCTTTTAAATTTGATTCCCAGGTCATCATACTCTCATGATTCCAAATACTTGGTGTGGGGAGTCTAAATTAAAGGAGACTATGGATTTTGCTAAAAGATAATGATCCTAAGCATCAAGTTCAAACATCTCAATGTGTCCCCCACTGCTCACCCCACCAGTTCCTAGCCTAAACCTATATATGAAACACAGAAATGGATTTCAGAACCCCTCCAGAGATTCTTATCCAAATTGACCCGGTTTCCAAAAACCATATATAAGCATTTCAGCTTTCTTTTCTTTCTCTTTCCAGATGTCTGATGATATTGACTGGTTACGCAGCCACAGGGGTGTGTGCAAGGTAGATCTCTACAACCCAGAAGGACAGCAAGATCAGGACCGGAAAGTGGTAAGATAAAAAATGACTCATGCCGAGGAGTAGGAAAAATTGGCATATGGGTATAGATATCCTGGGGCCCAAGATAAACTAATGGACGATGATACCCTGACTTCTCCAAGCAACCAAGCTCAACAAGGTCTGTCAGGGGCCAGCATGCTCATACATCACACAGAGATAAAAATCAAGGGAGGGGCAGGGTGTGGTGTGATGTAAAGGACCTGGGGAGGGGAGGCTGGGGAGGAGCCTGAGGGAGGAGTGGTGGTTGCCTGGCAACCAGCCTCTATTAGTTAAGACCTCTTAAGTCATAATAATATTGCCTAGCTAACAATGTTACCCTAGGACCCCTCAGGAGGGCAAAATGCTTCATGGTCTGTTTCCCAAACTTCAAGTAATTCACAGGGCTTCACAGTCTTCAATCATGTTCAAATGTCACGCATACTATTATTTAATTAATATGTATTTTTACAATGTTTTAAAAATTGACTTACATTTTAAAAATTACAATCATGCTAAGAAATATTATCCATAATATCCCAGGTTTGATGTTCTAGTATGTATTCTCCCTAATGCACAATAAAATTCACCTATTAAATGCAGAAATATTTATCCATACACTACTTAAAATATTCTATATTATTGATAATAAAATAAATTTTGAGAAACACTAGTGTAGTAGCAAGTGCTCTAAACTGGAAGCCAGGAAAATTGAGTTCTAATACAAGCTCCACATTTAAGTTTGTGTCAGTTGGGCAAGCCATTTCTCTTCACAGTTTTCTCAATTAATACATGTGGATATTGTACCTCAGGCCTCACTCTGACAGGAGGTTGGTATTCTCATTTAAGAAATGTGCTAATGCTAAGATTCTGTCTGCCTAACAATAATCACAGTATTAACATTTATTGGGTACTCACTATGTGCCAGGCAATCTGCTTTTACATGCTTTCCATATAGTATCTCAGTTAATCCTCACAAGAACCCTCTGAGGTAGGTGCTATTATCATCTCCAAGAAAGAGAAATTATGCCCCTTTCTCTAGAGTTTTTCTAAATTCACCCTTCTAATTTGATGCAGATATGCTTTGTCGATGTGTCCACCCTGAATGTAGAAGATAAAGATTACAAGGTGCGTATTCTCTGCTCAGAGTCAGAATCGGTGGGAAGCTGCTGAGAAGGGTTATCAGTGAAGTATGAAGAATGGAAAATGTTGGGGGGAGAGAGGGGAAAGGAGGAGGGGACTCAGGGGGAAAGCCAGCATTCTCATGAGCCCAAGATCCCTGGTTCTGAATTTACCGTCACTCTTGATATCAAGTCTCATTTTAGAAGCCACTTAAGTTGCTGGTAGGACTGAAAGAGATAAAACATGGAAGATAGCATGTCAGAAAAGTTGTTTTTTATTTTTTTATTTAAAAAAAAAAACCCATCCAAAGGGTGATGAATATAGTTCTTGAGACTGGTGGCTTTGTGAGCATCTTCAGAGTGGGGAGTAGTAATTTGTGGAGGGAACTTCGTCTCATTCTTCAAAGATTAGCTAGCCTCACAAGCCTACCTCTCCTGCAGAAAGAAAAAAGATAAAAGAAGTCATAACATTCATGATTTGAAGTCATAGCCTAGGGGGGCAGCTTGGAGAAATATCCAAAAGTAACTGTTTAAGAATCTCACCCTTTAATTCCATAGGATGCTGCTAGTTCCAGCTCAGAAGGCAACTTAAACCTGGGAAGTCTGGAAGAAAAAGAGATTATCGTGATCAAGGACACTGAGAAGAAAGACCAGTCTAAGGTACACTTAACCTCTGAGATCCCACCACTTCTAATTCTCAGAGCTCAATGATGAGTCTGAGGACTCTGGATCAGACATGGTAAGACACTTACTGTCAAACAGGCTCATCAATTTGAATACTATGACATTCTAGAGAACACAGGCGTAAGTTCAAGACCACAGTAAGTTCAACACCCAGGTACTTAATAATGGCACTAATCACAGAGGCTCAGAATGCCCTCTCCTGATTTCCAGCTACCCATCCAATCATAATCACACAAGACTATTTGTAATGTTCTTCGCTGGCTGGTAATGGACTTGTGTGCCCCACATTGCCCAGCATCCAGCAGGGAAGAAAGAGGGGTATGGAGCAGAGACAATCCATAACCACCAAGAATTTGAGTGCCTCATCCTTACCCTGTTGTCTAAGAGATTACCTAGGCTGTTGAGTAGCTTAAAGTTAGAAGCAATTAAACTTGCATGCCACTGTGACATACAAACTCCTTTTGGTTTTGTTTAAGTATCCAAAATTATATCTGTTAGGGTCCTGGTTTTGGGAGGGCACTGGAGCATACAACAAGTCACCCTCTCATACCTACAAGCCTGGAGTGGCTGGTAATAGGGCAGGATATTTGACTTTAATGCAGAGGAATCAAATGTTTCTTGTTCTGTGTCTCCAGGCTCATATTATAACCAAAACATTATTTCTGACCCCAGACTCCAGAAAGGAGTGGCCCCCAAGGAAGGAAAAACAAGTTTACATTACAGTATCCAAAGAGTTTTCAGTTTACTTGGGTATGGCCAACTCAATTTTGGAGTCTTAAGAAAGGGATAAATTATACCTGGCATTAATTTTTGAAAAAGCAGCCCATGTTTCCTACATACAATGCAGATCTGCTTGATTGTAACTTAAGCTCATTTGCAAAAAGTTGACTTTATCATGACCTCACATTTCCAGAAATTCAGTGAAAAGAGAGGAGATGAAGCAATAGAAGGAGCAGAGGGCTTGGTAGTTAGTGTTGGGTGGAATATGTGTATATAGTACATATACACATATCTGGACATGGGCATACACAGTCACAGGCATAGGTATACACATATAAATTTATACAAAATGATACACACATCAATGTATACATTTATATACATTTACAAAAAACAATTTATACAAGCAATTATAAATACATGCTTGGCTACATTTGATATTGACATACACAAGCATTGATGTAGCAAACTTAAACTGATCATAAACAATGACACACATATACAAAGATATACAAAGTCATACAGAGTCAGATGCAGTGACATGCCCACACAGGACACACATAAACACCCATATTACACAATGCATGAACATACATTCACACACATTACATGCATAAGACTTGATCAAAACATAGTGACCATACAGACTCAGTTATTGGTATACACACTTATAAATATACATATGTATGCAAAGACATATATGGTCATATACAGTCATGCTGACATACACACAAACTTACACTAAGCGACACATATTTACTAACACACTTGTTTGTTCGTATTGATACATACACTGTTGACACAAATGCAATAACACACCTACTCACACACATACTCAAATACCAGGGTATGTACAACATTGACATACACATGGTCAAATATTGACATAACATATAAATATAACATAAATTTATACCCAATTTATGAACATACATAGTCATTATACAATCACCTGTTTACACATATTCATGTTTTAACATACATATACATTAATATATTAAAATTGTATCTATTATATTAATGAATGTGTATGTTAATATGTGAATTTATGCTTTAACATACATAAATGCATTTATAGCTGCATGATACATACTAGTGAATTTATATTACACACATATATGCAGATTACTGAAATTGACACTTGCTCATTTACATATTCAGAGACACACTGACATAGACACTCATATTTTGACATTCACACATGTACAAATATGCATACTAACATGCACATGTCAGCCTATACAGTAGACATATACAATAGGTAATGATGTCAACACATTATTACACATGCTTAGACATAGTCACACATATGCACACACACACAGAAGCACATTTTCACACACTAACAATACAGAATGGCACATTCTCACGTCTTTGAGATGTTCACACATGTGAACTGCTATATTTCCATGCATATATACACACACAACAGACACACTGACACATTTTTGACACATTGAGATACAACATATTCATATGAGTTGGCAGACATATATTGATAACCCTTCTATAAAGTATACACATGTATATACTTTGAACTTTTGTTGCTGCCACTTCTGCTTGAATGTGTACTAATGGATATAACTGGATGTTACGTTCCCATACAAACTCCAAAAGGTCAAATCCCTAATCTGATACATCTTCTAAATAAAATAAGGGAAAAAAGTAGCCTACCCAAACTCTTATGGATAGGTCTTCTTCTTTTTTTAGACAGAGGGATCTGTATGCCTTTTCAAACAAGCTCCCTCTGATCCTGTAAGTGTCCTCAACTGGCTTCTCAGTGATCTCCAGAAGTATGCCTTGGGTTTCCAACATGCACTGAGCCCCTCAACCTCTACCTGTAAACATAAAGTAGGAGACACAGAGGGCGAATATCACAGAGCATCCTCTGAGAACTGCTACAGTGTCTATGCCGATCAAGTGAACATAGATTATTTGATGAACAGACCTCAAAACCTACGTCTAGAAATGACAGCAGCTAAAAACACCAACAATAATCAAAGTCCTTCAGCTCCTCCAGCCAAACCTCCTAGCACTCAGAGAGCAGTCATTTCCCCTGATGGAGAATGTTCTATAGATGACCTTTCCTTCTACGTCAACCGACTATCTTCTCTGGTAATCCAGATGGCCCATAAGGAAATCAAGGAGAAGTTGGAAGGTAAAAGCAAATGCCTTCATCATTCAATCTGTCCATCCCCTGGGAACAAAGAGAGAATCAGTCCCCGAACTCCTGCGAGCAAGATTGCTTCTGAAATGGCCTATGAAGCTGTGGAACTGACAGCTGCAGAAATGCGTGGCACTGGAGAGGAGTCCAGGGAAGGTGGCCAGAAAAGCTTTCTATATAGCGAATTATCCAACAAGAGCAAAAGTGGAGACAAACAGATGTCCCAGAGAGAGAGCAAAGAATTTGCAGATTCCATCAGCAAGGGGCTCATGGTTTATGCAAATCAGGTGGCATCTGACATGATGGTCTCTCTCATGAAGACCTTGAAAGTGCACAGCTCTGGGAAGCCAATTCCAGCATCTGTGGTCCTGAAGAGGGTGTTGCTAAGGCACACCAAGGAGATTGTGTCCGATTTGATTGATTCTTGCATGAAGAACCTGCATAATATTACTGGGGTCCTGATGACTGACTCAGACTTTGTCTCAGCTGTCAAGAGAAATCTGTTCAACCAGTGGAAACAAAATGCTACAGACATCATGGAGGCCATGCTGAAGCGCTTGGTCAGTGCCCTTATAGGTGAGGAGAAGGAGACTAAGTCTCAGAGTCTGTCATATGCATCTTTAAAAGCTGGGTCCCATGATCCCAAATGCAGGAATCAGAGTCTTGAATTCTCCACCATGAAAGCTGAAATGAAAGAGAGGGACAAAGGCAAAATGAAATCAGACCCATGCAAGTCACTGACTAGTGCTGAGAAAGTCGGTGAACACATTCTCAAAGAGGGCCTAACCATCTGGAACCAAAAGCAAGGAAACTCATGCAAGGTGGCTACCAAAGCATGCAGCAATAAAGATGAGAAAGGAGAAAAGATCAATGCTTCCACAGATTCACTGGCCAAGGACCTGATTGTCTCTGCCCTTAAGCTGATCCAGTACCATCTGACCCAGCAGACTAAGGGCAAAGATACATGTGAAGAAGACTGTCCTGGTTCCACCATGGGCTATATGGCTCAGAGTACTCAATATGAAAAGTGTGGAGGTGGCCAAAGTGCCAAAGCACTTTCAGTGAAACAACTAGAATCTCACAGAGCCCCTGGACCATCCACCTGTCAAAAGGAGAACCAACACCTGGACTCCCAGAAAATGGATATGTCAAACATCGTTCTAATGCTGATTCAGAAACTGCTTAATGAGAACCCCTTCAAATGTGAGGATCCATGCGAAGGTGAGAACAAGTGTTCTGAGCCCAGGGCAAGCAAAGCAGCTTCCATGTCCAACAGATCTGACAAAGCGGAAGAACAATGCCAGGAGCATCAAGAACTTGACTGTACCAGTGGGATGAAGCAAGCGAACGGGCAATTTATAGATAAACTAGTAGAATCTGTGATGAAGCTCTGCCTTATCATGGCTAAGTATAGCAACGATGGGGCAGCCCTTGCTGAGTTGGAAGAACAAGCAGCCTCGGCAAATAAGCCCAATTTCAGGGGCACCAGATGCATTCACAGTGGTGCAATGCCACAGAACTATCAAGACTCTCTTGGACATGAAGTAATTGTCAATAATCAGTGCTCTACAAATAGCTTGCAGAAGCAGCTCCAGGCTGTCCTGCAGTGGATTGCAGCCTCCCAGTTTAACGTGCCCATGCTCTACTTCATGGGAGATAAGGATGGACAACTGGAAAAGGTAAGTAATGCATTAAGGCACAAGAAGAAAGTTGGAATGGGCAGAGGCAGGGAGGCAGCATTGTACTTAGAGCCCAAGATCATTCGAGTTTCAAGTCTATTCTTTACCGTGTGCTTCATGAATTACTTTCACCTCATAAAAAGACACAAAAACGGTGAACCACTAGCTAAGTGGACACCTCAAAGCCTGTGCATTTCCACCAAGAGGAGGAGAGTGAGATTAACGCATTTCATCCGTGACCCTTTTGACAAACTATTTGATAAAACATTGGGGAATGATTAAGTCTTATGTTTTGAGTTTTAAGATCCCCCAAAGTACTCTAGAGAGGAGGGAACAAAAAAGGAAAATGGAGTTCTTCCCTACCTCTTGAGGTGTTGGAAGTATCATGGACTAATTTTGTGTTTGACCTACCAGAAACAGTTTGAAACTTGTCTCTTACTATTTTCCCTATGCTCCTCCCCCAAACTCATGGGTCCTGCAAGTGCCCTGAGAGTCCTGTCTCCTTAAATTTTATGCCCTAGGTGCCTCACTTGCCTGACCCTAGTCCTGGCCCTGCTCCTCAGATTCCATGGAGGCCAGCATTCATACATTCATATAGATGCACATTCTCTCTCTGTCTCTCTCTCTCTCTCTTTCTCTCTCTCACACACACACACACACACACACACACACACACACACACACCTATCTGACAGCTGAGTTTCCTGCATTAGATGGATTCCAGAAACATCAAATACTTAACAAAGTTATTTTCAGTCCAGGAGCCAAGCTCAGACAATCCTCCCTACTCCAAGTCTCATACTTTTTTAGGGAGGTGGGGGAATGGCAACCCCAAACCTTGACCTAGCAATCAGCACAGACTAACTGAAGGGTCCAGCATCTGGTGAAAAGTATTTAATGAACACAACTAATTTCAGAGTGTGTTTTTGAAGCTCAAAAAAGAAAGTATCTTTGGCATTTTGATCTATGTCATTAGAGAAGTTTCAAGGGAAAAGGAAAGATGTGTCAGCAGCCTCTAGTCCTAGATCTATGACATGCTGTACCCTAATCCTAGAATCATGGGCGGGAAGGTGGTGGGTGTGGGTGAGGAGGTTAGGGGTTGAGGGGGTTGGGTGGTAGAACTTCGTCCAGCAGGTCTTTCCTCCAAAAAGCATCACGCAACTCACACTAGCTCTGTTTTCCCCACAGCTTCCTCAGGTTTCAGCTAAAGCAGCAGAGAAGGGGTACAGTGTAGGAGGTCTTCTTCAAGAGGTCATGAAGTTTGCCAAGGAACGGCAACCAGATGAAGCTGTGGGAAAGGTGGCCAGGAAACAGTTGCTGGACTGGCTGCTCGCTAACCTGTGAGCTGATCCTTGACTCCTCTTCATCTTAGCCCCCCTAGCAGCATTCCATCCCAGCCAGAGCACCCCCACCATCAGGCCAGTCAACTGCACAATACACAACTGTATTTCCCAATACACTTGAGCAGTTGCCTGTGAATGTAAGAGGTGTCAACAAACTGGGAAATAAAATAAAAAAAAATAATAATAAATGTGTCATTGTTTTTTGATCAGCTATTTCCAAGACAAGAGAAGGGAATTGGCTCATTTTCCAGGAATGGTGATACAGTGTTGGAGTTGTATTCAGATCTCACCCTGGATTATTTTCTGAGCACCGAGGACACAGGGATATAATCCATGTCAAGGTCCCTAAGTAATCTGGTTTGTCCAAATAATCTCAGTTCACAGTCTATTTAGAGTTTTCCCACCTGTGGCCTTCCTATTTCTCCCTGAACTGCACAACTAACTTGATAATCCCCTTTCTAATCCCAAGGATACAGCTTTCTTGGTTTAGTTGAAGAAAGCGTATACCCATTACCCTGCCTTGCTACACACACATCCCTCAAAAGTGTTCACTGCACATAGCTAAATACTACCCAGAACTACAGTGGGATCTGATCCTCTCCTGTGTGTGAATAAAGCTTCCTTATAAGGAATTTCCTTCAGTTGATGAGATATCCTTGTCTTCTTCCAGTCTGAAGGAAAAATTTTCCAAGAACATAAACCTCCAAGATGGGTAAATTCCTTTGGGGCCCAATGTCCCAGTGTCTTCTCTGGGAATAACAGTAAGTTCCCAGATTTGTTCTATGTGTCCTGTAAGTCAATCACAGTGCTAGCATTCACTGCAAATCAGATCAAGACAGTGGTTTCAACCCTGCGGCCCTTGTTAGCTAGTTTACTGTGTGCTCTCATGGCACACTTTGGCACCCTTGAGGCGTTGCGGCTTAGTAGAACAAGCACAGGATGGGGTGTCCTTCTGGACTCAACAGTCAAAGCTTTGCCTCTTACTAGTCACATGGCCTTAGGCAATCCTGCAGACTGAGCCTGTTCATCTGTAAAATGTAGCTAAAAATTACCTTACATTGTTTACAGGTTAAACTAGAGGAATAGATGTGATGGTGTTTTGCACAGGGTGGATTTTGTTGCAAATGTAGATATGTGAATGATATGTGACTTTCAATGCCAGTCCTAACACAGGAGTGCCCTCTTGATACATTTCAGAACTGAAAGCATATCCTCTGAGTATGGGACCCAGAGAGACACATTTTGGGAGAAGTTAAGCACACAGGCAAACTTTGCCAACTTCTCCACGATGCCAGACCCAGTCAGATAGAAGAAGTAAAGGCAGGCTTCTTCAAAGCAGGATCTTTACAACTCTCCAGCCCGGCTGAAAGCTCATGGAATCTTTTTGAGTCTCACCCCACCCCATTAAAATCTTTGGAGTTGAGCCATCACAGATCCTTCTCTTTGCCCTTGAAGAAAATCCTTAATAAACAAATCTCGAGGCCAGGGCTACATTTCTAATGATTCAGTCCTCCCTGAGCACAGCTGGGTCCCATAGCAGTTTACTTCCTTGATTAACTTGGCTCTTACCTTGTTCCTGATTTTTATTATGAGGCAGCCTTGGGGATTCCTTGAAACGTGGAAATAGAGCAAAGGAAGTTACATGTTCTGTTAAATGAAAGGGGTTGGGGCAAGATGGTCTCTCAGGGCCTTTCCAGTTCTGACATTTGAGAATTATACGAACAAGTTTCTTTTCCATAATTTCTAAGGGAAACTTGTGTGGATGGAGTAAGTTCAGAGCGAGGAAACTTGATTTTTGCCAGAGCTAACTGACAGATTCCAGCAGAGAAAGGAATGCTTTGGGCCACAAGGGCCCTGTCAAGGGTCTGGAGGAGCTCAATAGCCCTTGGGGTTTATTTCCGGAGAATAAGACCCTGGCCTTTGACCTCTCTAAATGAAGAAGTAACCCCAGGCATCCCAATAGCAATGTGGCCGTGCTCAATGCCAGCAGCTGGAAATGGACAAGGACTTCTGCTGAGCTGAGAGTCTGGCATATAGTAAGAAAGAGGCGAAAGGAGCAGAAAAGGACAGCATGATTCTCTCCTGGCAGGCGGTACAATTGGCTTAATAACAGTTTCAGTCTCTCTGATATCAGGCTTCCATTTCAAAAGAAAATTATAAGCAAAACTTGTCTGGGAGGTTATTACAAGGCCAGAACTAGACTGGAATGAGGTGAGAGAGGTACTTGCCTCAGGGATCAAAAACTCCATAATCAAATAATATTTTAATAAATTAATGCCAAAAAACCGTGATGAACAAAATATCAAAAATTTTTATACACACGATCAGTAACAGTGCCATGCCAAGCCATAATGGAGCCTGAGGCAAAAGGAAAAATTAATTTGTAAGACTGATTTCATGGGAGTAATGTTAGAGAAACAGGAGCCTAGGAGAGCCAGGTGACACCATTTTAAAATCAATTCCATGTTAAAACTAATAAGGCACATTCCTTGCCAGTCACGGCCCATGGTCATAAGATGTTTATGGCTGAGGAAACAGCTTAATAATACCTGTAAGGATAAATGCCCACGACAGCAGAATGTTCAGATGTCCCAATATCGCATAACAATATATGCTTTTAAGTTGATTATAGTCATGCTTTGATGTGCTTACAAGCTAAAATGCCAAGAATAGTTTTCTTTACATCAGCAAAATAATAAATTGTCATGCTGTCAGCCCACCAGCATGTAGACATAACTTAGTTTTACATAGAAAATAAGACCACTATATAAGAAAACTTAAAGACAAGTCGTTCCTCCTCTTGCTTTCTGAGGACGCCCTACTCTGTAACTGAGTAGCAGCTGAGGATGCCCTACTCTGTAACTGAGTAGCAGCTGAGGACGCCCTACTCTGTAACTGAGTAGCAGTGTTCAATAAACTGTCTCTTCTCCCTGCACTCTACAACTTGCCTTGAATTCCTTCCTGCATTAGATCCAAGAACCCTCTCTTGGGGTCTGGATCAGGACCCCTTTTTCTGACAACAGTAACACTTTCTGGGAGATTGCCAAGGCAGCATTTAGAGAATGTGTTGCCCTTAAAGCCTATATCAGAATAAAAAAAGAAACAGTGACATCCTGCCTAAAGAAAGTAAAATAAAATCCAGGTTTAAACTAAAATCCAGTGTAAACTCAAATCCACGTTTGCCTCATGTCAAATAACAAATTAAAAGTTTAGAAAAGGGGAAATAAAATTTGGAACAAGGAAAAAGACCAAACAAGGAAAGCAAAGTTTTGCTTAAGTCTTAAGACATCAGAAATCAGAGATGGGGTGGGTGAGGGTGGGTGTTGCAGTGTTTTCTCTCTTGTTTAATATGATAAGAGTACACCCTTTCCCCCCCACCCCCCCAAAAATAAAAAATAAATAAATAAAAACTCATATGAGATTTATTCTGGGTAAAAACAGGAACTGCACAAGATTACCCGTGTTAAAGTTCTACCTTAAAACAATTCTAATAATGAAAGAAGAAAAATAAACAAAAAGTAGAAATATAGGAAAGAGGGAAAAAAATGCCGCTTTTGCAAATAGTATATTTGTACATCAGTGAAAATCAAATCCCCAAATACCAAAGGTAATGAAGGAGTTTTGCAAAGGTACTAGGATAGGAGATACTGGTGAGCTGCAATAATTTGCTGTCAATTAAAACAGTCTCCCCAGTGACTCAGAGACATGTAAAAAGTTCACTGCTTCTCCCGAGCCAAAGCCTCTGTGGTGTCAGAACATAAAATAAATCTAAAAGAATCTGTTGAATTCCTATATCCTAAGGCCACCCTGCCAGAAAGAGGAGTCTACTCACAATTGTGACAACAATATTAAACACTTGGGTATTAAAGGAGGCAAGAAATGACATTTACACAGCACTTACTGAGTGCCAGATACTACTCAGTGCTTTAATGCTTTCAAAAACCTTGTGAGATGGTTTCTTCCCAGCCACTTTTTATGGATGAGAAATTAGCGAGTCAGGCCTTTTGCAAGGTCATCTAACCAGTGAGTGGGAAAGTTGGGATTCAAATCCAGGTTTGCCTCGTGTCAAATACTATGCTCTTTCCTTTCTATCACATTGTCTTCCCATTAATCCAGATCCATGTTTATTAAAGAACAAACTATAAAACATGAATGAGAAAAATAAAAACAGGTGAATAGTAAAAATAGACCATGCTCTTGACTGGTAAAACTAAATTCAACAAAACACCACTCTCTAATTCAACATATAGGTCTTATATAGTGCTAAATCAAATATTTATGGGATAGTTTCAGTGTCTCTCTCAAGATACTTATTAATTGCAAAGGGAAAAGTAGTAACTTTCCAATGGAGAAATCTGTTAGTTACATCTTAATTAGATGGTCAAGGCCAATATCACCAGGAAAGACACAATGATATCATGTATCTCCCGATATAATATGATAAGAAGGGCTTATCGCTTCTGTGGTATTCTTGCAAAAAACACATAACCCTAGTCTAATAATGAGAAACCATCAGACAAACCCAAACTGAGGGACATTCTACATAATACCTAGCCAGAATTGACTGCGAAAGTCTCAAGGGAACACTTTAGGGTGATGAAAATGTTCTGTATATCTTGAGAGAGGCGATGTTTAACACAGGGGTCTATGTTTCTCAAGACTCGTTAACCTGTATGCTTAGAATCAGTGAACTTTATTCTATCTAAATTATATCTCAATAAAGTTACTTTTAAAATGTTTAAACTTAATAAGTACCTATAAGGAAAAAAATTCCCTTTCCACTGCTAAAAGTTTCTTTGCTCTCCTGCCTCTTTCCAGAAAATCTCAAATTTAGCAAGTCTTTCTGACTTTGGGCTCTGAGCAACCCTTATCTTGCAACCCTCCTTCCTGTCCACTTGTCTATGGTGGCCCAGAGTAGGACCTTGGAAATCCCCTCTTCATGAGGACTTCTCTCCCAGAACCTAGCTACATATCCAAGGTGAGAAGGTCTCCAGCTCATCTACTTGTCATGAAAGTCACCTCCCCAGAAAAACCCTCCTTCATTCACTACCTTATCTCCCTTAATTACTTTGTATCCCATTGCCCTGTTTAATTTTTATTGCACTAACTGATATATACCTTTTATTGTTATTTACTTGCTTATTGATTGTCCCCTTCCACTAAAATGGTAACTTCAGGAGCACAGGGACCTGTCTGTCTTGCTCACCACTGTACCCTCAGCGCCCAGCACAATGCCTGGCACACAGTAGCCATTCAATAAATATTTATTGAATAAATAACAATCCATCTATTTCAGTGTCTTCTGGTGGAGAACAATAACATTAAACGGGAAATCATAAAACTTGTCATTAACCATGGCCATCTCACTTCATATAGCCAAGTCTTAATTTCTTTACCTCAAAAATTGGGATTCTAACCAATAGTCTTTTATACCTACCTCATTAGAACGGTTATGTACATCAAAAGAGGCAATTATATTTGAAAATATACCTAAATGAAGCCCACTAAAGCTTCAGTATGGTTGGGCACGGTGGCTCAGGCCTCTAATCACAGCACTTTGGGAGGCCGAGACAGGTGGATCGCTTGAACTCAGGAGTACAACACCAGCCTAGGCAACATGGTAAAACCCCATCTATATAAACGCAAAACTTAGTCGGGCATGGTGGCACTTGCCTGTAGTCCCAGCTACTTAGGAGTCTGAGGTGGGAGGATTACCTGAGCCCGGGAGGTTGAGGCTGCAGTGAGCCAAGATTGCACCACTGCACTCCAGCCTGGGTGACAAGACCTTCCTCAAAAAAAAAAAGAGCTTCAATACAAAATAATAATAATAGCAATAATAATAACGTCTAACATTTGTTGAGCTTTTACTGTGAGTCAGCATTCTTCTAAATGCTTTTCAGTATTATATAATCCTCCCAAAAGCCCTATAAGGTATGTATTACTGTTATCCCTTTTTGCAGATGAGATGACAGAGGCTTGGAAAGGCTGAGTAACTTGCTAAGGTCACAGAGCTAGGAAGTGCTGGAGCTGGGATTGAAAAACACAGATAGGCTCCAAAGCTTCCACTCTATACTACTTCACAGGACACCAGGACCTTGTCCATAACATCATAAGTCAGGATAAATCCTAGCATAGTGCAGGTAACACTGACAGAATGGAGTAGGAACAACTAGGAGGTGACAGGAACCTCTGCAGTAGAGTGGATGGTTAGCTGGAAGAAATCTCCCCTGGTGGACAGGCAGAGGTTTTCAAAGGATATTGCTGGCATAGACCATAGCCCAGAAGAAGGCTGAACTGGGCATCCCCCAAAGCAAGCCGATACAGCTCCTGGGACTCAGAGCAGGCAATATCCCCAAGGAGAAGCATATGTAATGTTGAAAATGTAGCCTCGCAGAACAAGTATGGAATTTGCATTTGCTCAGAGGGCTCAGGGCTGCTCCTTGTTGGGGGTTGAGGGGAACCAGAGCTAAAGAGCAACAAGACAGGCTAGCACCCTTGCACCCTGGCAGGAGACAAGGACAGTCTCTGATGGTATCCGACCAATGCACGCCAGAATGTGTGAAGTAGAAGGAAAGGAGGGGTTACAGGCAGTTGGGGTGTTCAGGGCACTTGCCAATCAGTAGGAAAGGATTTCAACATTTGAATAGCTGTGGGGCTGTGCTAGTGCCTCAAGTCTGAAATGCCTCTCCCAGGGTGGAAGTATTTTACTTTCTCTTATCTTCCTCAAGTCTCGGGCCTGGCTAAGAGTTGAATTCTAGATAACACCTGGGGCGAGCTCAGCTGAAGAAAAGGTACAAACCCACACAGTTCCAGCGCCACTGGATCACACTGTCTTATAATGTCTTGGTTTCATGTCTGCCTTTCCACCAGACTACAAATAGCTTGTAACAAATGAACAGATAAGGGCCTCCCACCTACTGGGCACCCAGACAATCAATGTTTGTTAAGTAACAGCTAACTGTGTGCTGAGCCAGGCCCTCTGCTAGGCTCTTCTCACAGATTGTCACATCTAATCCTCAAGGTGCCTCTCTTGGTAGCCCCAATTCTCAACTGAGGAAATGAAGGTACAGAGGATCAGAAAGTTGCCTACATCTGGGATGACGCCCAGGCAAAATGAGACTTGACTCTGTACTATTCACCACCACACTTGAGTGGCTGGTGGGTGCCCATCCATGTGCAAAACGTCAGAGGTGAATAAAGGCATGGCTTGCTTAGGAATCCAGGAGACATGGCACTGGAGTAGAAAGTGTGTGAAGGGGAACTGAAGGGTGACAAGGCTAGAAAAGTCAGCTGGCATCAGAGTACTATGTGGATTCACTGCTAAGTTCAAGGAGAAACCACTTGAAGGGTTTGAGCTCTGCAGTTTCAGAGTAAGCTTTGTGTTCTGGAGTGCTCACTCAGTCTGCTATGGGAAGGATACATTGGAGCGAGCCATGTGCTGCTTAACTGTTCTTTACTTCCTTTGCTTATTTCTGCTTTTTTTTTGGTTCCTTTCATTTTTCCTTTTTAAAATGGACTTCACTAAATGTTAAAAGATTCCAGAGCTGAACTAACATACCTACTGGGGGGCAGATGGGGAAGGTGAGCAGTGCCCCTTATGACCGACTAGAAACCCCAGCTGTGATGGAGACAATTGATGAAGAGAAGGGTGGTAGGTTTTCATTTTCCTTCCCTAAGGTTACACTTGGCCTCCAGGCCTTTATTTGCCACTGTCACAACCATCAGATGCCAGAAACAGTAGAAGGCAGACTCCAAACTCTCCCCGACCTCCAAATGCCAAATGCATATATTTTTAATGACCTTGACGTGGCTTAACACAGCACCTCCCAATAGAAGATAAATCATGTCCCAGAACTCAGCAAGAGAGGAAAGTAAAATAAAACACCCTGATCTGCTAACTTTCCTCTCAGTGGCTGACAGCATCTCGTTCCCAAAGGCCCTGCTTTTGGAAAAGAAATTTTTCCTGTTGGAGACTTCGGATGCCTTTGTCAATGAGTCCTGTGGCACAAACTATCTGCTAAAGGGAAGGGAGGACTTGCCAGGAAAATCTCCTCTGCAACCAAATGGTCCACTTCTGAAATGACAGAACAACTTAGTTATCCCCATCCTGATGCAAACTCTAAGCAGGCACACCTAGAGTGACTTGTCATATCTCTCCATCCTCCTTTGAGTCGAATCTTGGGGTTTTCTTCCTACTTCCCTGGCCCTTTCTTCCCAGTCTCTTTCAGAGAACCCTCTTTCTCTGCCCATCTGATAACTGTTGACCTACCCAGGATCTATCCTTGTTTTGCTGCTCTTCCCACAAGCCCCACTATCTAGCTGCACCCACTTTACAGAGGGTGGGTGGACAGGCCTAGCTGGGACACTGCCAAAGAGAACTCGTGCCAGAGTTTGGATCCTGGAAGACGGCAAGGACCAGAGGAGGTAGAGGAGGGTGTGAGATGAGGTTCTCTCAGTGGTGTTTCTTCGCTAGGATACCGCAACTTTTAAAATACAGATTCCCAGCCCATCTGTCCCACCCCAACTCCAGATAAATTCTCAATTCCTTTGTTTGGGGTTGCAAAACAAGCATGTATATTTTACATATCTCCAAGTGATGTCATATTACTCCGTTCTATTTTGAAGAAATTAAAACTTATGGAAAAGTTGTAACACCAGTATAATAAGTACCCATATACCCTTCATCTAGCTTCAATTGTTCATATTTTGCCATCTTGCTTTATCTATCTGGCACACAAATGACTAAAATTGTGTGCATATATATAATAATTATTATTATTATATAAAATTATCATTATTTTTCTGAGCCATTTGAAAGTCAGTGTAGACATCATGATATTCAACCCTAAATACTCCAGTGTGTGTCTCCTAGGAACTAGGACATTCGTCCACATACAAGTCATAGCCAGTTGTCCTAAAAAATCCCAATAATAGCCTCAATAGCTGTTCCCCTCTGCTCTATCCAATATCCATGCATTGTATTGAGTTATCATGTCCCTTTAGTCTCCTTTAATCTAGAAAGGTCCCAGCCATTTTTTCCTGGTCTTTAATGACATTGTCACTTTTTTAAGAGTCTAGGCCAGGCATTTTGCAGAATGTCCAAGAGGTTTTGATCCACAAAGAAGAATGAGAACAGCTTAAAGAACAGCTTGGAGAGGTCATGACCAGTCAGTGAACTGAAGGCCAAATTGGAGACAGCACCACAGGTTAGGAACTACATGAAAACTGGAAAGCGGTCAGGAGTGAAGTGAGGAAGCTTGGTGGCTGGGTAGGTTGCATGGCTTAAAAACATAAGGTCACAGCAGCTATTTGTCCTATGGCTATAAATACCCAAATATACACAGCAGTGACTCACGCAGTGATTTCTTCCATCCTCTCACCAGTTTCCTGAACCCCAGGCCCTTATATTGAACTGACTACTGGACATACACAGACATTTCTTAAGCAAACACTATGTCTCAGGCACTGTCTAAGCACATTATATGTATTATCTCATTTAACCTCCATCATAACAAACTCTCCAGGAGGCAGAAACTAGGATTTTCTCTGTTTGAGGGCAAGGAAACTGAAGCACAGAGGGGTGGAAACTTGTTTGGGGTCAACACAGCTAGTGAGTGGTGTTACCAGAATTTGAACACCAGAGCCTTCACACTTTTAAATTATATTTTTTTAAGTATTATTCTGTAAAACTGGCTTTCTTCCGTTTTGGTTCACAGTTCTATAAATTTTAACACATGTATAGATTATGTAGCTACCACCATAATCAGGATACAGAACAGTTCATCACGCCCAATAAACTCCCTCTGCTCTCCCTTTAAGAGTCATCACCCCACCCCCACTATGGAGAATGTTGCTATTTCTTTTATTCTTCTACAGCCTATATTTCCAATGTCAGTTAAGCTTTCAAATATTTCGCAGTTCTAATCCGTTTTCTCGCGTGACCAACCAGTAGGTCAGTTGGGTCTGTTGGGAAGACCGCTTAGCTCAGTTCTCAGTTCTGACAGCCTTCGTTATGGTAGTTAGGTTCAGAAAACGGACGCAGAGGTCAAGGGTAAACCCTAGATGTCATAACAGCTCTTTGGGGCCACATTCCTGAGCTCCTCACTTTCCGTTATCCTTCCAATACTTTCCAGTACCCTGCAGGCTCTCATTGATGGAGGTTGTCTGGGCCACGTGGCAGGAGACGCTTTGCTCGGGGCGGGGAAGGAGCAGGGGGCGGGGAGACAGAGACAAAAAAAAAAAAAAAAAAAAAAAAGGCAATGGGTTTTGGCCCCTCCCCCTTAAAGCTGCAGCTTCATTGAACAGAAAAGTAAGGTTCTCCCTTTTCATTCACTTTTGGCTTCTGCAGTTTCCCATCCCCGGCTACTCTTTCCCACTGCCACCACCTCAACTGTGGGACCGCCTGCTGACTGGGGTGACAGACCACAGGGGAAAAAATAAAAACAGCACCAGTGTATTTCCTCCACTCTCTTTGAGCATTTTGGATCTCCCCTTTCCACCCCTCCAACCAGAAGTAGAGGGTTTCTACTGGATCTCTGTCTGTACCAGAGTGCTCACTTCTGAGTTTCAGATTGTCTTGAGTTCCTGCTGGGGGATGCTGCAGGAACAAAAATAGTAAACTCACTTCCAGTTTGGTGGCACTGTTAATTCTAGCCTTCTCTAGTCTGTCTGCTAATATTTACTTTTCAGAGTTCTCAAATAGTTTGGCATGCATTCTGTACAAGCTTTGTACTCAAGTTCAGTAGGCAATAAAGGGAGGTGTGTGTTTATTCCATCATGTACAGAATAAAAATCAGCCCTCACTTTTAAACCCCATGCCATTGTGCCTCTCCACATGAATGTCCATAGACACTATGAACTCATCATGTGCCAATTGTATTCACCATCTACTCACCAGCCTTATCTCTTCCAATGTTCCATATCTCAACCAGTCCCACCATCATCATTTACCCAGTTGTCCAAGCTGGAATCCTGGGCATTGTCAAGAACTCCTCTCTCTGTCTAATGTCTACATCCAATCATACATCCAGTCCTAGCTTCCCTCTCCTTATTTCCACTACTTTAAATTATTCACGCCTTCATTCTTTCTTGCCTGGATTATTGCATGTTGTCAGTTAATTGGTGTGACTAGGTAATTGTTTTTCTTTTGTTGACATCCTACTTTTTAAACATTGTATTGGCTATATACAGAAAACTGAACAAAATTATAAGCTCAACACATTATCAATAAATTATCACAAACTGAGCCCACCCATGGTCAAGAAACAGAACATTCGAAGCACTCAAAAGCCCCTCTTAGTCTGCCTTTTTTTTTTTTTTTTTTTTTTTAGACAGAGTCTGTCTGTTGCTCAGGCTGGAAGGCCGTGGTGCAATCACAGCTCACTGCAGCCTCGACCTCCAAGGCTCATGTGAGGTGGGCTCCTTCCACCTCAGCATCCCAAGTAACTGGAACCACAGGCATGTGCCACCACACCAGGCTAATATTTGCATTTTTTGTAGAGATGGGGCTTCACTATGTTGACCAGGCTGGATTCTGCCTTTTACAACACTTCATAGCTAAATAGAATCACACCGTATGATTTTTTGTGCGTTTAGTTTCCTTTGCTCAACATTATGCTTGTGAGAGTCAGCCGTGTTGTTGCTTGTTGTTTTATTCTCATATTGTATAATATTCCATTATATATCGTCCATTGTATAGTTGATGGACATTTATTTGGGTTGTTTCCAGTTTGATCCTATTAGGAATAGTGCTGCTATGAATGCACCTATACATGTCTTTTGCTAGCCACAAGCACTCATTTTATTGGATACATACCTACAGGTGATATTCCTGATATGACTATATTCAACTTTAATAGATCGTGACAAACCCTGTCACGGTGGTTGTACAAATTTACTCTTCCATCAGTGGTATAGGAGACTTTCTGTTGCTCTATAGCTGGATAATATTTTAGGAGACTAATATATTTATTTATTTTTTTCTTCCTGTGCATTCCTCCTTTTCTTTCCTTCCATCAAGCAGATAGCTGGTTCAGGCCCTCTTGGCTACCAGGAGGTTTGTAGCACGGCAGAAAACAGGGCAGAAAAGTGACTTTTCGTACAGCACTAAAAAAAAATAGTGATGGGGTTTCACCATGTCACTCAGGCTGGTCTGGAACTCCTGGCCACCCACCTGCCTCGGCCTCCCGAAGTGCTGGGATTACAGGGGTAAGCCACCAGGCCTGGCGCCCCTATAGCACTTTCTAATTTTGGTTCACAACAGCCTTGAGCCTCAAAGTGGGGAAAGTTTGCCAGTAAAGAAACAAAACAAAAACCATCTTGGAGGAGACATGAAGGGAAAACGACTTTTTTCCACATCAAAAAAAGTGATTTCCCTGATACAATGGGAGAAGAGAAAGTTCCAGAGCAGGAGAGCCTGGGCTGGCTTCTGGGCAGTGTGCATGGGAAGGCAGCAAGACCCCAGAAAGGAATGGTGAGGTGGGGAATCTAGGAGGGTGGGATGTTAAGCAGAGGATTTTTGCAGAATCATCAGAGTGCTGTTGGGCCTGAAGGGTCCTGCACAGAGGCCAGTAGATACCTCAGCATTAGCCGCTGTGAGTAGACGACTTGATGACCAGAGAGGGCCATACCCCTATGTCCTGGTACATACAAAAATCAGAACTCAGGCGCAACTCTGAGTGAAGAGTCCCAAGAATAATTGAGGTTGAGTTTCCCTCCAGACTGTGGGTCCTGGGAGATCAAAGTGGAATTCACTATGATTTGTAAAAAGATGTGCTGCTTCTTACCTGAGTGGTGGACTAATATGTGTACCTGCTACATGGGCCTGGCTTTTCCCCAAGGCTAGTGCTAGTACATATAGTATCTTCGTGAAAGTTGTGTTTTTGTTGTTCTTATTGTTGTTTCTGAAAGGCACTGCCTCTGGGCTGACCAATCAGGAAAAGGTTCACTTTACTCTGAGCTGGCAGTGTTGTGCCAGGGTGCTTGGCTTGATGTATAGAATTATTGGGCTGCATTGCAGCCCACATCCACGTCCTTTGTACCGCACACAACTTGCACAAATACACATAGCAATCTTGAGTGGCTGGCTCCTGTTCTTGCTCTGAAGCACGCATCAGGACATGGCGCTCCACTGCCTAAAACGCCTCAGTGGCTCCCCATTGCCTAGGTCTGCAGTGACAAATACACTAGTCCTTAGATTCATGTGGCCCTTGAGTTACATGTGGCCCTTGAGCATTTGAAATGTGGCTAGTTCAGATTAAGATGTGCTGTCACTGTAAAACTACATGCCAGATTTCAATGACTTAGTATTCAAAAAAGAGTGCAAAATGTCATTAATCAGTATTCATTTTGACTGCATGTTAAAATGATAATGTATTTGATATAGTGGGTTAAATGAATTATAATGTTAAAGTTGATTTTGCCCATTTCTTTTTTCATGTGGCGGCTAGAATACTTAAAATTGCCTATGTGGATCACATTATATTCTTAATGGACAATGCTGATCTAGGTGAAGTTCAAACTCCTGACTTTCACAGGAAAGCACATTGTATGCTGGTCTTTCCTTCTTTGATAGCCTTATCTCCCCTCCAGTTTCCTCTTTTTCCCTCTCGCTTTGAAACATGTATATGCACACTAACTCATCTGGTCTTGCAGCCACTCAAAAATCTTATAATTCCCTTTCGTGATGTTTGCTTTTGCACAGTCTTTTTCATTTTCCTCTAATGCACTTGTCTCCATTGGGTTTTGGGTTCCTCATGTGTCAAACTAAGAGAGAGCAACAGATCTGTAACATTCTTTCCACCCCAGTGGTTTTATTATTTGGTCTTACAGAAGTATACAGTTGCCTGGATAATCCAATGGTCATTTGCATTTGCATTTTCATTCAATGGGAGGAAATAAGGATAGATACTATGCACTGGTGGCCTACTGTGTGTTAGCCTCTGTTCCCGTGGCTTTCCATACCACTTAATCTCATTAGCATTCCTATGGGATGGGTACTATCATTAACCCTGTTTTACAGATGAGAAAACCTAGGATCAGAGCGGTTCCCTGATTTGCCAAGGTTAGTAGAGACTTCAGAGCTCATACTCTTATCACATATACCGTGTTTGAGAAGCTGGGAGTTGATAGCACTTTCCATTCACACCAGGCATGGGGCTCCTGCCTGTAATTCCAGCACTTTGGGAGGCCAAGACAGGAGGATCCTGTTAGCCCAGGAGTTCAGGACCAGCCTGGGCAACATAGAGAAACCACATCTCTACAAAAAATACAAAAATTTGCCAGGCGTAGTGGCACATGCCTGTAATCTGAGCTTCTCTGGAGGCAGA
The DNA here is from genome assembly GCF_000001405.40 of Homo sapiens. Lineage (NCBI taxonomy): Eukaryota > Metazoa > Chordata > Mammalia > Primates > Hominidae > Homo > Homo sapiens. The sequence goes on along the minus strand of NC_000023.11, from coordinate 50,176,633 downwards.
GGTGGGAGGATCAACTGAGCCAGGGAAGTGAAGACTACACTGAGCTGCTATCATGCTACTGCACTCCAGGCTGGGTGACAGAGCGAGATCCTGTCTCAAAAAGAAAAAACAAAGAAAAGAAAAAATTCACACAGTGAAAGGATAACTCAGGAAAAGATGGTGAGCTACCCAGACCTTTGTTCTGTCCTTATTCTTTCAACATCCCACTATCTGGTCTCCCTTAGACACTAGCCAACAGGTGTCTCTCTGGCTGTCAATGTCTGACCTTCCTTCCATGTTTCTAGTCCTGTAAAAGCTCAATCTAGAGGCTCAGCCTGCACTCCAGGTGGATGCTTTTGGATGCTTTCTCCCCATTCTTGCTCAGCTGTCCCAAGAATCCAAAGGATCTGGCAAGAAGGGGAGTGTCAGTGTGCCTCAGACCCCTCTCTTTTTTTTTTATTATACTTTTAAGTTTTAGGGTACATGTGCACATTGTGCAGGTTAGTTACATATGTATACATGTGCCATGCTGGTGCGCTGCACCCACTAACTCGTCATCTAGCATTAGGTATATCTCCTGATGCTATCCCTCCCCGCTCCCACCACCCCACAACAGTCCCCAGAGTGTGATATTCCCCTTCCTGTGTCCATGTGATCTCATTGTTCAGTTCCCACCTATGAGTGAGAATATGCGGTGTTTGGTTTTTTGTTCTTGCGATAGTTTACTGAGAATGATGATTTCCAATTTCATCCATGTCCCTATGAAGGACATGAACTCATCATTTTTTATGGCTGCATAGTATTCCATGGTGTATATGTGCCACATTTTCTTAATCCGGTCTATCATTGTTGGACATTTGGGTTGGTTCCAAGTCTTTGCTATTGTGAATAATGCCGCAATAAACATACGTGTGCATGTGTCTTTATAGCAGCATGATTTATAGTCCTTTGGGTATATACCCAGTAATGGGATGGCTGGGTCAAATGGTATTTCCAGTTCTAGATCCCTGAGGAGTCGCCACACTGACTTCCACAATGGTTGAACTAGTTTACAGTCCCACCAACAGTGTAAAAGTGTTCCTATTTCTCCACATCCTCTCCAGCACCTGTTGTTTCCTGACTTTTTAATGATTGCCATTCTAACAAACCTGAGAAAAACAAGCAATGGGGAAAGGATTCCCTATTTAATAAATGGTGCTGGGAAAACTGGCTAGCCATATGTAGAAAGCTAAAACTGGATCCCTTCCTCACACCTTATACAAAAATCAATTCAAGATGGCTTAAAGACTTAAACGTTCAACCTAAAACCATAAAAACCCTAGAAGAAAACCTAGGCATTACCATTCAGGACACAGGCATGGGCAAGGACTTCATGTCTGAAACACCAAAAGCAATGGCAACAAAAGACAAAATTGACAAATGGGATCTAATTAAACTAAAGAGCTTCTGCACAGCAAAAGAAACTACCATCAGAGTGAACAGGTAGCCTACAAAATGGGAGAAAATTTTCGCAACCTACTCATCTGACAAAGGGCTAATATCCAGAATCTGCAATGAACTCAAACAAATTTACAAGAAAAAAACAAACAACCCCATCAAAAAGTGGGCGAAGGACATGAACAGACACTTCTCAAAAGAAGACATTTATGCAGCCAAAAAACACATGAAAAAATGCTCATCATCACTGGCCATCAGAGAAATGCAAATCAGACCCCTCTCTTCAGGTTTCAGGATTTCCCTGTGTTCTCTGGAGTTAGATTTCTCAACAGAAAGAAATACATTCACCTGATAATCCCACCAAGTCTTAGGTAAACATGGGAGAAATATGCACATACAAGAGCAAAAGTGCTTCCATGCTAACAAGGCCTCTCCTCAACACACGCTCACACGCTCTCACACACACTCATATGTTCTAAAAAACATTCTAAAACCAACATAATGGCAACATTAAACAGGAGTTGTGGGGAAAATCATCTTGGGTGATATAATAGAAAGGCTGTGGAACCCGTCAAACATGGGCTCCACTCCTGGTTTTGCCACACACTAGCTCTGCGACCTTGAGCAAGATGACTGCTCTGTCTGAGCCATTTTCCAGGGGACCCATATGGCCCTCTTCTAAACTGTGAAGTTCCCATCATCCCTTCAATCCCCCACCATGTCTCCAATCATGTAGCCCCTCCTGTTTTGGATTCTTCCCCAAACCCAGGTCTTCATTTAGCCTTTTTGTTTTTTTTTTTTTTGAGACAGTCTTGCTCTGTCACCAAGGCTGGAGCACAGTGGCGTGATCTTGGCTCACTGCAACCTCCACCTCCTGGATTCAAGTGATTCTCCTACCTCAGCCTCCTGAGTAGCTGGCACTAGAAGCGAGTGCCACCACGCCTGGCTAATTTTTTGTATTTTTAGTAGAGATGGGGTTTCACTGTGTTAGACAGGATGGTCTTGATCTCCTGACCTCGTGAGCCGCCTGCCTTGGCCTCCCAAAGTGCTGGGATTACAGGCATGAGCCACCATGTCCAGCCTCATTCAGCTTCTTTTTTCTCCTTCAAAGAGCCTCAGGCTTCACCTTTCCCAAGACTGACTGAAGTGTGGGATCCAGGCCTGAAGGTCACCCCTTCCTTGCTTTCCCCAAAGACAAGCAGCTATGGCCTAGCACGTGGGAAATTCTGACAAATCCAGTACTTTTCATTCAAGGATTTTGCTGTCAGCCCCTTCAGGAAAACACAGAAGGATTCACAAAAATCAATAACACTGGAATTTTGACAAAATTTCCAGAATAATAGAAAGTCTCAACATCACATCGTACACCTTAAATATATTCAATAAAAATAGGCACAGATAATGGATGTTTGGATGCAAACAAAAGGGGAAAATAGACACATGTTTTTTTTAAAAGAAAGCAAGAAAGCTGCCTGAGTCTCTGTCCCTATTGTTTTGTCCGTGCTGCTCTTGCTAGATGCTATCTTGAAGTTCCAGGGGCCTTCTGTTCAATTCTATTTCTCAAAATAGAGCTCATGAATTCTCTCATTTGTCACTGACTAGCTGCGTAATCTGGGGCAAGTCACTTAACCCAAATCTCAGTGGACGTAATATCTCCTACTGCTTATTTCCACTCACGCTTTCTTCTTTTCTCGAAAACAATATTTCTCTATTTCATTGTTCCCCTCATCTGAAACACTCACCCCAACTCCTATTCCCAGTCTTTGCACTTCTAGCAACTTTGTCTTTAGGTCTCAATTTAAATATCCTCTCCCCAAAGAGGCCTTCTCTGCATGCCAAGTCTAAAATATACCCTCTACCCTGTTACTTTCTCTCTGTGTTTTCTTCCTAGCAATTACCACAATCAAATGGCATCAAAGGTTTTTGTTTGTTTGTTTGTTTTTTGTTGTTGTTGTTGTTTTTTAAAGTAACTGGGCCAGGCACAGTGGCTCACTCATGTAAACCCTGCACATTGAGAGGCCAAGGTGGGAGATTGCTTAAGGCCAGCAGTTCAACACCAGCCTGGGCAACATAAGGTGATGCTGTCTCTACAAAAATTTGTTTTAAGAATTAGCCAGGCATGGTGGTATGCAGCTGTGGTCCCAGCTATTCAGGAGGCTGAGGTGGGAGGATCGCTTGAGCCTAGGAGGTCAAGGCTGCAGTGAGCCATGATCCTGCCACTGCACTCTAGTGTGGGAGACAGAGTGAGTCCTGTCTCAAAATAATAATAATAATTGGTGGTGGGGAGTAGAATTTGTTGAAGATGGAGAGACTGAAGGAAGGGTCATACTTTCTCCTCTCTCTCTTACTGTTTCTCTCCTGAGCTATATGCTCTGGCCGCCCCAAGCTCCAAATTCTTCTCTCTCTCTCTCATCAGAATTGCCCCTGACCCCCGCCTTTAGTTTTACAGCCTCTGGAGAGTCTTTTTCTTTTCTCTAGATAATTATGCTAAAACGAACACAGCCTCATTTGCTTCTTTCCCCTGTCCCATTTTCCCTACCCCCACCAGAGGCAAATATTATTATGCATTTGGGATGTAACGATTTGATTCAAGATTGTGGGCTTCCTGAGGAAAAGGACTCAACTCTTTCACCCTCCACATCCCACAGCCCAAGCACAGGGCTCAGTCAGTATTTGACGAATGATTGGAAGAGTGGACTTTCTGTTTTCCCTTGCATACTCTTAGTTGGTTCCCCTCTCACAGGGGCAGTGGAAGGTGAGCTCATTCCTGCGAGGGACACAAGAGCAGTGCCTGCCCATGAGGTACTTATGATTAATTGAGGAGAGAAGAGAAATGCACAAGGCAGTGTATTCTAAGGGCCACATGAAGGGACCAAGTACTGTTGGAGTTCAGAGGAAAGACTGGGATAGGCCCATGAGGCCTCAGAGCTGAGGTGGGATCTAAGTTGGGTGTTAAAGGAAGGGAAGATCTTAATTCATCATCGGGTAAATAAGGAGAGTATTAGAGGACAAAAGCAACTCAAGCAAATATGTGGAGGAAGGAATAGAAATACTTCCTTGGACACAATGGTGTCTGGTAGGTTTCTCTCTGATATATCATCATCTACAATTAACTGCTGATCTATGCCTGGGGTCCCCAAGGCAGCCTGTTATTCAAAAGTAGCTCCTCTAATCACCACTTGGGGATTCTACAGGCTAGCTCACAGGTCGCTAGTTTCATAAGTAGCCCTAAATTGTATTCTGGATCTGTTGTATGAGTCCAGTGGATGTGTACTGAGGTATATGATGGGCTGCTGCACAGGCAGTGCCTATCCAGGAGTGTTTGTAGCAGTATGACTTGATATTTTATTTAACAAACAATTATATATTTATCTATAATATAAAAATACAAAAACATGGCATTTACTAGTGCTAGGCATTGTTTTAAGTACTGTATTATATTAACTCATTAACAAATATCAATCTTGGCCAAGCATAGTGGCTCACGCCTGTAATCCCAGTACTTTCAGAGGCTGAGGTGGGAGGATCACTTGAGGCCAGGAGTTTGAGACCAGCCTGGGCAACATAGTGAGCCCTCTTCTCTGCAGAAAATACAAAAATTAGACAGGTGTGGTGGCGCACACCTGTATGTCCAGCTACTTGGGAGGCTGAGGTGGTTGGATCACTTGAGGCCAAGACTTTCAGACCAACCTGGGTAATATTGTGAGACTTCATCTCTACAACAAATAAAACAAATTAGCCAGGCATGGTGGCGGCTTCCTGTGGTCCCAGTTACTCAGGAAGCTGGAGTGGGAGGATTGCTTGAGCCCAGGTGTTCCAGGCTACAGTGAGCTGTGGTCACGCCATTGTACTCCAGCCTGGATGACAAAGAAAGACCTTGCCTCAAAAAAAAAAAAAAAAAAAATTAAAAAAAAAAATCAGGCTGCTCCAAGTGCAGTGGTGTTTACAGCTAATGACCACAACCAGTGATAGATTTCTTTGTTGCTTCTGTACTCCCACTGCTTCACTTGACTAGCCAAAAAAAAAAAAAAAAAAAAAAAAATTGAACCTTGTATTGGGCCATGAGGTAGTTGCTATTATTATCCTCATTTTAGAGATGGGTAAACTGAGGCACGGGGGGTTAAGTTACTTACTCGTGGTCACACAGGTAGCAAGCGGTAGAGCGGTATAACAGTCAATTCTTAACTGTTATACCATAGTGCCTGTCTCTACAAATACCTTTGATGAATGGTTGTATTAAGGCCTTTAAATCCTGTTAAAGGAATCTTGAGACTATTCCTTTTCTTTTCTGTCTTCCTTCTTCTCCTTCTTTTTTTCATCAACTTACTGACCAGGGTTTGTTTCTTTAAATAAACTTCTTGTTTTGAAATAATTTTAGATTTACATCGAAGTTGCAAAGACAGTACTGAGTATTCACGTATACCCATCACCCAGTTTCTGCTTTCTTAACCTGTTACATAACCATGGTCCTTTCGTCAAAATTTAGAGATCAGCATTTGTGGATTACTTTAACTAACTACAGACTTTATTCATATTTTACTTGTTTTGCCACTAATGTCCTTTTTCTGCTCGAGAATTCAATCCAGGATACCACATTTCATTTAGTCACTGTCTTCTTACTCTCCTCTGGTCTGTTAGTTTGTCAGTTTTTCCTTGGTACTCACGACCTTCACAGTTTTTAAACATATTGGCCAGGTATTTTGGGGAACGTCCCTCAATTTTGGTTTGTCCGATGTTTTCCTCATAATTAGACCAGTGTTATGGGTTTGAGGGCAGAATACCACAGAGGTGAAATGCCCTTCTCATCGAATCGTGTCAGTGGGTACATAATATCCACATGACTTATCACTAGTAAGTTAACCTTGATCACCTGGCCAAGGTAGTGTTTGTAGGGTTTCTCTACCATAAAGTTACTATGTTTCCATTTCTATATATATTTCTACTTTATGGATGCATTAGTTTGAAGTGAGCTATTAAGTCCAGCCCACACTCAAGCAGAAGGGTATCAAGCTGCACCTCTTGGAGGAAGGGATTATCTACATATATTATTTGGAATCATTCTATAAGGAAAATTTGCCCTTTCTCCCCCATTTATTTATTTGTTCAAGCATTTATTTATATCATCATGGACTCATGTATTTCATACTTTGGGTTATAATCCAATACTATGTTATTTCTTCCTTTTTGTCCTTTCTGCACTTTTGAAAGGTTATCGACTTGCAAATCCACAATTCCTTATTTGTGGGTTTGTTTAAAGCAGAAACTATCTGAATTACCTTCTGGTAGACAGTTTGGGGAGGATGTGCATGCATGCACCCACTTTACAGATAAGGAAGTTGAAATTGGTAATGTTAAATGAGTCAAGCATGCTTATACAGGATGTGATGGAATCTTATACAGGAATCGTCTCTCCAAAATTCTCAATAAGTAGACTTCCATCGTCCTCCTTCACACCTCTGGTGACATGAAGCTGATTAGCTCACAAGGCAGCTTTTTTGCTGTAGGGTCTGCTCAATTCCTAGTGGAACTGCGGGCATCCAGGTAGTAGGATTGGGAGAGGGCAAGGGAGATGGTGGCCTTGGGGGAGCAGACTGTGATGGAGCAGCTGACAAGAAAAGGGATTTGACTAAAGAGGAAGCAGCAACTGAATCTAGAGAGGTACAACTGAAAACTGGTGTGTTTCCCAGGATTTCAGGGAAGTAGTTCTCTGCCAGGCTGACAAAATGCATGCAGAGAGAGGACCTGTAGTGACCACCCCCAACCACAGCCCACGCCCATCTAGCTGTCCACTGTTCCCCTCAGCAGACAACTTTCAGTTATTTTATTACTCTGTTGGCCCACCCCCTCTATATCCATTCTTAGATATAAAATATATTCACCAATGTAACAAATATTTCTTAAGCACCCACTATATATGCTGTTGCCATGGGTGAGTTGGAAGGACAGTGTGTGTGTGTGTGTGTGTGTGTGTGTGTGTGTGTGTGTGTGGTTAGGAAGTGTGTAGGAGGTGACAAAAGACTTTCTGTTGCTCATATACACTTGGAATAAATTAATTTAAGTATTTCCCCATCGTTTTATACTTGATTTTTAAATTAAGTATAGCTTTATTGAGACATAATTCACACAGCATACAATTTGCTCATTAAAAGTGTACAGTTCAGTGGTTTTGGTGTATTCACATATGTGCATAACAATTGCCACAATTTTAGAACATTTTCATTACCTCAAAAAGAAACCATTTAGCCGTCATTTCCCTACCCATCCACCCCCTTCCCCAAGCCCTAAGTAATCACTAATCTACTCTCTGTCTCTATACATTTCCCTATTCTAGGCTTTCATATGAATAGAATCATATAGTGTGTGGTCTTTTGTGACTGGCTTTTTTCACTTAGTATGTGTTCAAGGTTCATCCATTTGAGAGTGTATGTATCAGTGCTTTATTCCTTTGATAGCTGGATAATATTCCATTGTATGGGTATATCACATTTTGTTTATCCATTCTTCTGTCGATGAACGTTTGGTTCATTTCCACCTTTTCACTATTGTGACTAATGCTGCTATATATATTCATGAACAAATGTCTGCACGGGCTTATGTTTTCAATATTCTTGGGTATATATCTAGGAGTAGAATTGCTGAGTCATACAGTAACCGTATATTTAATTTTGGGGGAACCACCAGACTGTTTTCTAAAGAAGCTGGACCATTTTGTGTTTGCATCAACAGGTTATGAGGGCTCCCATTTCTCCACATCTTCACCGATACTTGTTATCTGCCTTGATTCTAGCCATCCCAGGCGGTATGCAGTGGTACGTCTTTGTGATTTTGATTTGCAGCATCCTTGATGACTCATGATGTCTGAGCATGTTTTCATGTGCTTATTCACCATTCTTGCATCTCATTTGGAGAACTGTCCATTCAGATTCTTTGCCTGTTTTTGAACTGGGTTATTTGTTATTTTATTATTGAGTTGTAAGAGCCCCTTGTGTATTCTAGGCACAAGTCCCTTATTCTTTTTTCCATCACTTGGCTGAGATCCATGTCTGGTGGTAAACCTTACAAAACCTACCTTGCTTTCAAGATGATAGTGTAGAGAGGAAACAGCCTCAAACACAGAGAGCAGGAGATGTGGGGAAAGGATTTTTAAGAAGTCTGGCAGCCCATTAAGGGGTTCCCAGGCCAAGGGGAGGCTATATCTAACTAGCTGGCTAGCAATGCTACTGTACGTAGTTAAAAATCACTTGACCTGCCGGGCGCGGTTGCTCACGCCTGTAATCCCAGCACTTTGGGAGGCTGAGGCGGGCAGATCACGAGGTCAGGAAATCGAGACCATCCTGACCAACATGGTGAAACCCCGTCTCTACTAAAAATACAGAAATTAGCTGGGCGTGGTGGCGCGTGCCTGTAGTCCCAGCTACTCAGGAGGCTGAGGCAGGAGAATCACTTGAATCAGGCAGTCAGAGATTGCAGTGAGCGTAGATCATGCCACTGCACTCCAGCCTGATGACAGAGCGAGACTCCATCTAAAAAAAAAAAAAAATCATTTAGCCATGTCCAGACTTTATTAAGTGGTGCTCTGTATGAGGAAAACCTCACTCTTAGTAGTGCTCAGTAGTCTCAGCTCCTCATCTTGGAACAATCGTGCCAATGCCCTCCCTCCTCCACCCTCCAGATTTATCTTCTCCTAGACAAATTTTCCATGCCAACTTCCGTGTGGGTAGAAGAGTGTGTAAGCCAAGAGAGAGGACAAACACTCTGCTAAACCAGGGTTCGATTTGAGGGTTTCGAGGAGGGCCCCGGAACTCCATTCATTCTCTCACCCCTCACTCCTACCCCCACCCCAATCCTCAGCTCAGGCCAAGCTGTCAGTGGTATTACGGGTCCCACAGCAAAGACTTATCTGCCTGCGGGCTGGATACTGGCAAGGGCCAGGAAGAGGCAGCTAGGGGGCCTTCTGGGGGAGGGAGAGCTAAGTCGAGCAACTCCTCAGCGTTCACCACTTCAACCAAAGCTATTTGGGTGCTGCAGGTCACCTGCACCACCTGCCTCTTTGTCTGTTTCAGTGCCCATTTCCTGCTGAGGAGAGCTGGAACCCTGGAGGATGGACCCCTGGTGCTTCAGGGAGGGTCTGGCACTGACAGGGGTTAATCTTCTCATTCTTGTGGGTCTCATTAGCCCCAGCCATAACCTCACTTCCTCCACACTTTTCTCCAGAAGGATCTGGGTTTCTGAGTTTCCCTCCTTATGGCCCAAATGCAAATTCAGGCAGGCCAGGGTCTCAAAATGGGCTAAAGTGTAACCTAGTGGATGGCTTGTGGTGGGAATGGGACTACGGTTGTTTGTTTGGCCCAGAAAGGACCAGTGCAGCAAAGTGTGGCCTCTGGGCAGTCTGTATGCTTCCACCCTGCAGGTGGGGACATTACATACTGCCACATCCTGGGATTAAACTCTGCACATATGGGCAAGAGCTGAGGATGCATTCAGCATCCCAGAGAACAAACACTTCAGCCAGACCACCTGGGTTCACATAGCAACTCCATCACTTACTAGCTGTTCGACTGTAGGAAGGTTACTTCAACTCTCTGTCTCAACTTTGATTTCCAAGGAGTAAAAATCTCTCACTCCACTTCTGACTTGTTGAATAAAAATCTAGTGATTCCCAAAGCAGAAGAAATATTATTTAAGGAGGAAGAGATCAAGAGCAAAGGAGAGTGGCCCCATCCCTATATTCCCAAACATTTCTGAGCCCTTACCATTCTCATAGGGAAGTAGGAATCTGCCTTTGACTAGTGTAGAAATGGGTTCCCTGTAAATGGGGACAATATTTCCCAATTCATAAGACTATTGAGAAGGTTAAAATGTGTTAATATATATAAAGTGGTACGTGTCAACTGGTATTTTCATTGTGGATGGAAAGGAGGGCAAAGGTCTTGGCATTCGAAGGCCTGGTCCTGGCAATGGTTGAGTCCCATACAGCCGACAGGCATTGAGCATCTGGTGTGTGGATGCTTCATAAACTAGCAGGGAATCCTCTCAACATCTTGGTGAGGTCTGCATCATCGCCCCGTTTTGCAGATCTACCTCTTAGCAAAGCAGGCAGAAAGGTAGGGCAGCGGTAAGTGGGGGAGTGTTGGAAGGAAAAGCTCAGCCTCCTGGCTTCCCTGCTAGTGCCCTTTCCACTTCACAGTCTGCCACAGAGGGCTGAGGGAAGAACAATACTTGGGCAGGAGGGCATCCAAGGTATTCATTTTCACCTTTCTATGGAGTCAAAGTACAACATCGAGGAGGGAAGCACTGGCAGCAAGGAAGGGCTTCCTGGTTAGATGCGCAGCTGTGTTTTTGGCTCCTGGTTCTAAAGGGTTGTGAATTTCCTCCGAAGTTGGAGTGTATTTCCTTCCCATAGACAGAATCCAGGAAACGAAGCTACTCTCTTGTTAGCTAACCTGAGTCCTCTGCAGGAAGAAACTAGAACCTTGTTAATCACCTACTCCAGCTCCCTTGTCCCTACTGCCCCTTGCAGGCAAACCTACACAAACTTATGGCCCTTTATACGATGAGAACTTTGATTTCCAAGGAGTAAAAATCTCTCACCGCACTCCAGACTTGTATAAAAAATTCTAGTGATCCTCAAAGCAGAAGAAATATTATTTGAGGAGAAAGAGATAAACAGCAAGGGGTAGTGGCCCCATCCCTATATTCCCAAACATTTCTGAGCCCTTACCACTGTCAGAGGGAAGTAGGAATCTGCCTTTGACTAGTACAGGAATGGGGCCCACAAAAGTTCAGAGATAGCTCAAATGGGGAATAGCGGAACTCAAGGCTACATGTATTGATTCCCAGCTTTTGGTTTTTCCCTCACAATTAGGACATTCCCTAGAGAGAGGAATAGACATGCCTCCTGAGATGACAAGCCAGACAAATTTCAATGTGCATTTCACCCTTCACTATTACACCCTAAACCAAAGCTAAATTAAGCCTATTTATGCCTAGTATTCCATTATTGGAACGCTAAGCATGGGGAGTTATTTATATCAATGTCATCGCCAAGGTCCGATTGCAAAAATTCAAAAAATTGTAACCTAAGGCATAAATGGGTTAAGACTATATATTAATATTATAGTGGGAGTAGTTAGTGGTGGTTGTGGTGTGGTTTGGATGACCAACTTTTTACAAAGCAAACTAGGACACAGTCACATCAGACAAAAGAAAACCATAATGATATAATACGTAATAAATAATTATACATGTGTTATAACCTTAACATAAAAATATTAAAATAGGTGTTTATTTAGAATTATACATTATTTATTATTTTCTTTTCTGTGTATCAATTCTGTTATTTAAATGAAACACTAGTAGGACTAGTTAACAGTGGCAATTAGTAGTAATTAATAGTAAGACTAATTAAACCAATAATATGGGGAACAAAAATATACCAATGTTTTTATAATGTTTCTGTCTGATACAGCTACTTAACTCTTTTTTTAGCTTCTTACTAGATATTTAAATTTTGTAGCCTATAATATTCTGTATTCTTCAGGTACTTAAATATAAGACTTATTAAAAAGGAAAATATAAATGCAAGAGGACTAATTGAACAGATATTGCCTATATTTGATGTTTCAAAATAGTAATGACATGTTTCTTTTGGTCCATGATATAGTAGGATATATTTATTCTTTCTGGTTTTTTTCTGATAATAATTAATTCAGAACTGCCTGTGACCATCAGGACATTAAAAATTTTTTTTCTTTCATATAGTAGTAAAATTTCATACAATCAAATATAAAAGTCATTTTGACCTGCAGTTCTGCACTGATTTTTGGTGTTTGCCAGGCTGCATAGCCTTTCGACAACAACAACAACAAAAATGTGAGCATTGAATACTTAGAATTTTACTTACTAGCAGCAGCAGGTTTTTAGATTTATAGAAATGTCCCACCACTTTCTGTCTACAGGATTGTTTTGGTAGGTCAGCTGTTTGTCAGTCGGGCCTGTTACATCTATAAATACATCATATACATGAAGCTATCCATGTTTTAATATGCTTACCATTTTTAAATGCTCTCGTGGTGTTATGATATATATTGGTTTTTGTCCACGGTTCCTGGCTCGTAACTCCCATAGCCCTTGTTACAGTCTTTTGTGAAAATATTGGGTGTGTTAGGCTTTAGTAGCAGGCCTCTGACCTCCTGTCCTCTTTTTACTCTAATGTTCCCCCACCTTTCTGACTGTGGGTCTTAAGACCTCCCATGAGAACGTCCTACCCTACACCTTGGGAGAAGAAATGCTAATGTCATGAAGTTTCCATAAAAACCCAAGAGTGAGAGGTGACAGCGTGCTGGCAGTCCTCAGAGCCCTCGCTTGCTCTCGGCACCTCCTCTGCCTGGGCTCCCACTTTGGCAGCATTTGAGGGCCCTTCAGCCCACCACTGCACTGTGGGAGCCCCTTTCTGGGCTGGCCAAGGCTGGAGCCCACTCCCTCAGCTTGCAGGGAGGTGTGGAGGGAGAGGCGCGAGCGGGAACCGGCGCTGCGTGCGGCGCTTGCTGGCCAGCTGGAGTTCCGGGTGGGCGTGGGCTTGGCGGGCCCGGCCCTCAGAGCAGCCGGCCAGCCTGCTGGCCCCGGGCAATGAGGGACTTAGCACCCGGGCCAGCGGCTGCGGAGGGTGTACTGGGTCCCCCAGCAGTGCCGGCCCACCGGCGCTGTGCTCGATTTCTCGCCGGGCCTTAGCTGCCTTCCCGCGCGGCAGGGCTTGGGACCTGCAGCCCGCCATGGCTGAGCCTCCCACCCACTCCGTGGGTTCCTGTGCAGCCCGAGCCTCCCCGACGAGCACTGCCCCCTGCTCCACTGCGCCCAGTCCCATTGACCACCCAAGGGCTGAGGAGTGTGCGCACGGCACCGGGACTGGCAGGCAGCTCCACCTGCAGCCCCGGTGCAGGATCCACTGGGTGAAGCCAGCTGGGCTCCTGAGTCTGGTGGGGCCTTGGAGGACCTTTATGTCTAGCTCAGGGATTGTAAATACACCAATTGGCACTCTGTATCTAGCTCAAGGTTTGTAAACACACCAATCAGCACCCTGTGTTTAGCTCAAGGTTTGTGAGTGCACCAATTGACACTCTGTATCTAGCTGCTCTGGTGGGGCCTTGGAGAACCTTTATGTCTAGCTCAGGGATGGTAAACACACCAATCAACACCCTGTGTTTAGCTCAAGGTTTGTGAATACACCAATCGGCACTCTGTATCTAGCTCAAGGTTTGTAAACACACCAATCAGCACCCTGTGTTTAGCTCAAGGTTTGTGAGTGCACCAATCGACACTCTGTATCTAGCTGCTCTGGTGGGGCCTTGGAGAACCTTTATGTCTAGCTCAGGGATTGTAAATACACCAATCGGCACTCTGTATCTAGCTCAAGGTTTGTAAACATACCAATCAACACCCTGTGTTTAGCTCAAGGTTTGTGAATGCACCAATCGACACTCTGTATCTAGCTGCTCTGGTGGGGCCTTGGAGAACCTGTGTGTCCAAACTCTGTATCTAACTAATCTGATGGGGACGTGGAGAACCTTTGTATCTAGCTCAGGGATTGTAAACGCACCAATCAGCGCCCTGTCAAAACAGGCCACTCAGCTCTACCAATCAGCAGGATGTGGGTGGGGCCAGATAAGAGAATAAAAGCAGGCTGCCGGAGCCAGCAGTGGCAACCCGCTGAGGTCCCCTTCCACACTGTAGAGGCTTTGTTCTTTTGCTCTTTGCAGTAAATCTTGCTGCTGCTCACTCTTTGGGTCCACACTGCTTTTATGAGCTGTAACACTCACCGCGAAAGTCTGCAGCTTCACTCCTGAAGCCAGCAAGACCACGAGCCCACCGGGAAGAACGAACAACTCCAGACGCGCTGCCTTAAGAGCTGTAACACTCACCGCGAAGGTCTGCAGCTTCACTCCTGAGCCAGCGAGACCACAAACCCACCAGAAGGAAGAAACTCCGAACGCATCCGAACATCAGAAGGAACAAACTCTAGACGTGCCACCTTAAGAGCTGTAACACTCACCGCGAGGGTCCGCGGCTTCATTCTTGAAGTCAGTGAGACCAAGAACCCACCAATTCCGGACACAAGAGGACGGTGTTCAGTGAGCTTCCAGAGGGCTGAACACATGGAGGTTCCTGGAGGGTGGCATGTCTAGGGAGGGGAGGGAAGCTCCACACCCTTTCCTCCATAGCTCACCCTGTACTCTCTTCATCTGTATCCTTTGCAATATCTTTTATAATAAACCGGTAAATGTGTTTCCCTAAGTTTTATGAGCCACTCCAGCAAATTAATCAAATGAAAGAGGGGATCATGGGAACCCCAACTTGAAGCCGGTAGGTAGGCCAGAAGTTCTGGAGGCCCAGACTTGCAACTGGTGTGGGGAGGGCAGTCTTGGGGACTGATCCCCCAACCTGTAGGATCTGACACTATCTTTTTGGAGAATCAGAGGATACCCAGCTGGTGTCCACTGTTGGTGTGTGGGGAAACCTCCCTCTACATTTGGTCACAGAAGTTTTCTGTGTTGATGATTTTGGTGGTGGTGAGAGTAGAGGAAGAACACAGTTTGTGGAGAGTTTTTCCTTACGTAACTCCCAATAAATAGATGTTACCACAAGCTAAACTTCTCTTTCAAAGGGAAAATGGTCCCAAGGGGCAGAAGTAATTTGAACTTTTTGATTGCTATAGGAATCCAGTTGGATTCCAAATAAGTTACAGTTTTATTAGAGAAATTGATGAAGTCTTATTTCATGTTGTTGCCTTTTCCTGGTAACTTTTTTTGTTGTTGTTCTGAAGCAGTCTTACGATGTCTGCATGAATGAGTCATTTTTTGCCATGTGGTTTTTTGTTGAGATCTACTCATAACATGGAACAGCTCAGCTGTAATGAGTCCATTCTTTCCGAGGCTCCATATGACCTCTTCAATGGTCTTCAAACAGTTTTAGAGGAACAGCTGATAAATTTCTGTTTTATTGTCATCCTTTTCTCCATTTTTATTCTCAATGTATTTCCAAATTACAGAAGGACATTCTTCTCATACCGCACTTTGAAATTATGGTTTTATGGCAGGCTGACATTTTAACATTTTTTTTCCTATGGCTGGCAACAATGATAGATATTGTAGGCACCTGTTAAGGAGGCTATCTCCTCCCATTTCTATAAAGTAAAAAAAAACTCACTACATACTTCTGCATATTTTGAAGAAATTAAAAAGTCATCAAAAACTTTCATTATAAAACCTTTAATTTTATAGATAAGCAGAATGTATCTGTCTTTAGCAGGATTGTGTACAAGGTGTGCATGACATTTAGCAGGTAAGGTCTTTTCATTTATTTCAATAAAAAGTTTATAGACTGAATGGAATTCCACACAATTGACATTTATGCTGTCTGCTAAACATACAGATAAATGAGAAAAGTCTCGTTTGTATTTTTTCATATTTTCTGTGGTTTTATTAATATCTTCATTGAAATCAAGAAGATAATATGAAACTTCATTTTTTTTTTTGAGATAGGGTCTCACCCTGTCACCCAGGCTGGGGGTGCAGTGGAGCATTCTCGGCTTACTGCAGCTTCTACCTTCCAGGCTCAATTGATCCTTCCCCTTTCACCTCTGTAGCTGGGACTACAGGCATGCGCCACCACGCCTGGTTAATTTTTCTATTTTTTGTTGAGACAGTGTCTCACTATGTTGGGTAGGCTGATCTCGAACTCGAACTCTCGGTCTCGAACTCCTGGGCTCAAGCAATTTTCCCACCTGTTATCTGCATTCTTACAAAACATGGTGTTATGGTTGAATTGTGTCCCCCAAAAAGTCATATGCTGAAACCTTAGCCCCAAGTATCTCAGAATGTGACAGTATTCGGAAATAGGGCCTTTAAAGAGGTGATTACGTTAAAATGTGGCTATTAGGGTGGGCCCTAATTTAATCTGTCCAGTGTCCTTATACAAAGAGGAAATTTCCACACACAGAGACACCAGGGATTCACAAGCACAAAGGAAAGACCTGTGAGGACACAGAAGGAAGGTTGCCATCTGCAAGCCAAGGAGAGAAGCCTCAGAAAAAACCAAACCTGCTGGCACCTTGGTCTTGGATTGTCAGCTTCCAGAACTGTGAGAAAATACATTTCTGTTGTTTAAGCCACCTAGTCTGTGGTATTCTGTTATGGTAGCCCTAGCAAACTAATGCACATGGTCACAATATTCATGATGTGAAAGGTTAAACAACCTTGATACAAATTACAACAGTTGATCCACAGGCAAATACAAAGGCGAGCTTGTTAATGCTCACAATTTCAATGCACTTAAGTTGCATGCTAAAGTGGCATCAGTCACCGTGATGCAACAATGGATGATCATTATTGTGAGCTGCAAATCATGGTTGTCAATATCAGCAGTTGGGGCAAAAAAAATGGCCACAGCAACTACAGAAGGCAGAGAATCTATGCCATATCCATTTCACATTACAAACTGCTGTTTTCACTCCCTATTTGGGCGGGGGGGGCGGGTCACCATATGGGTTTTGTGCTTTTCCCCCAATCTTCTGTACCCATCACAGAAAATTGAGACTTTTCACATCCCAGGGAGGAGTTTCCTTGGGATTTGAGCCTTTCTGTGCTAAAAGTGGAACAGTCCAAGGCAAACCAAGACACCTGGCCGTCTGCAGTGGTGCTCCTGGGATGCTGCAGACAATGTTCTATTTCTTGCCTGGGTGATGGTTACATAGTGTTTACTTTATAACAACTTTTAGTTGTACATTTATACTTTATGCAATTTTGTGTATGTGTATTGTTTTTCAGAATATGGATACTTTTTAAACATTTTTTAAAAATCTTTTGTAGACATGGGGTCTCACCATGTTGCCCAGGCTCAAGTAACTCCTGGGCTCAAGTGAGCCTCCTGCCTCAGTCTCCCAAAGGGCTGGAATTACGGACATGAGCCACCACACCTGGCCAGAATACATATACTTTAGAAAAAGTTATGCCCACCTCTTCCTACCCCATATGTAATTCAGAATAAAATGATATTGCACCATAAAATAGATGGAACAAAATTTAACCAACTTCTTATTTTCTCTTGTTTTATATATAATGTAAAGTTGATTTACATTTTTGTTTTACCCCAGCTTTGCTAATGCCCTAGGCATCTGACTATTTAGGCAACCCAGTACTGCCCTAGGTAAATGACACATTGAGTTACCAGATGCAACATTGGCAGTCCTTCTGGTGCCAGGCCCATGTGTCCTCTTCTTTTTTATGACTCTTCCAGGTAGAGTTAGTGGTTCCTTGCCACTGAACTGTGACCTAGTGCTGAACACAATGAATTGGAATTAGATGTTTATTGTGTGTCTCCCAACATCAGACAACTTTTTGTGAGAAAAATTGTACCTTGTTCCTTTCTGCACCATCAGCACTTTGTGGTTGGGACTTGGTAAACATTTGTTGAATGAATGATGGGCTTTTATTGGGGCTATCTATCAAAGTCAGCACTCCCTCACGACTTCCTTCTTACAACTGCATTTTAAGCCTGGTTATGTTGGCTAAATCCTGAGAAAATAAATTTCTGTTGTTTAAGCCACCTAGTCTGTGGTATTCTGTTAGGGTAGCCCAACAGAATGGGTCCAACTGACACCATTTGTTTTCTGAGCAGACCTGTTATCCTAGAATGTAGAGCTGGTACAAAATTCATTTCTTTAGGATGTATTTATTGACTGTCCACTGCATGCCCTGACCTACCCCTGGAGTACAAAGAGGCAAAAATCTAAATTGAAAGCATAATCAAATGCTGAATTTCTGGCAGGGAAAATTGGTCTAGGCGAGTTATTTACTAAACTGTCTGCATTTGATTGTTCCTGATAATTGTTGTTTGGCATCATCTTTTCTAGTTAAACATAGCTGAAATTTGAGAGTCTGGACAATGCCTGGGAACATTCGCATTCCAGAGGCATCTTACTGGGTCCTCTTACCGCCATAATTCTCTTTGCTGGTAATAATAATGGATGACCTTCCACAGAAAAGCCTGTTATACCATTGAAGGTAGAGGTTGAGGGAAAAGTACAAGCAAAAGCAGGGTGACACTAGAACTGTACAGAGGCTATTCTTGGGTCACCAGACCAGCTTAGGACTTGTATAGACAGGACATTTTTAAAAATCCTAGTTTTAAGTGGTGAGGATAGAGATAATTGCAAATGTCTAGAAACGAGTATGCTTTTATTTAGCTCTGGTTTATTTTTGCTACATAGACTGGCTCTTGGCCAAGCAGTGAGTCACGCCTGTAATCCCAGCACTTTGGGAGGCCAAGGCAGGAGGATTGCTCCAAGACCAGCCTGGGAAACACAGTGAAACCCTATCTCTACAAAAAATACAAAAATAGCCAGGTGTCGTGGTGCATGCCTGTAGTCCCAGCTACTTGAGAGGCTGAGGCAGGAGGATCAATTGAGCCTGGCAGGTCGAGGCTGCAGTGAGCTGTGATCACACCACTGCACTCCAACCTGGGCAACAGAGTGAGACCCTGTCTTTAAAAAGAGAAAAAATTTTGACTGGCTCCCACAGCCCTGAGTGTAGTAGTGTCAAAGGCTCAAAGAATACTGTATGATCTGGGTTTATTTTCAAAGAGCAGAATCTTTTCTAGCTAATGTCAGCAGAAAGTAATTTATAGTATTTAACTGGCTTACAGAATCGTGGGTAGGGATGAAGAAAAAGGATCTAGGTAGAGCTTCCAGGAGTGCTTCCAAATCCATACCACAGAACTGAACTACCTTAGGTAGCTGCTACTCCTGCTATGATCAGGAAGCTGGAAAGCCACCATCAATAGCAGCTGATTCCCAGACTGCACAATCTTTGCTATGATCTGCACCAGTAAATGTTTGGCCTTGAGTATTGTTTCTCTCTGCTTAACTCATATCCAAATTCAAGTCTTGAGCTAGTTCTGATTAGTAGAACTTAAGTCACATCCAGAATCCCAGCTGCAAGGAATTGTGAGAAATAGAGTTTTCAGCTTTCCAGACTCTGAAATACAGGAAGGCATGCAATAAGGGGATTGGAAAGGGTATTGAGTGAGTCAGTTCATAGGATCTGTCACAGGCCCTGATAACTGAGATTGGTGAAGGATTATTGTGTCAGTCAACATACTTCCAATTGCAAGTAACAGAAAAACTCAAACTGGTTTAAAGAAAATAGGAACTTGAATGGCTCATGTGACTGACAAGACCAGAGGCAGGGCTGACTTCAGACAAGGCTTGGTATGTCAGTGTTTCCTTAGTGTTGGCCCCATTCTCAGGCAGGTTATCCCCTCGTGGTCCTAAAATAGTTGTTAGCAGATCCCAAGTACATGTTTCCTTCTTCATGGCCAGAAGAGAGAGTCTGTGTCCCACCCAGCATTTCCAATAAAAGTGCTAAAATTGGACCAGTTTATGTCATACGTCCACTCCTGAATCAATCACTGTGGCCAAGTGACTTTTAGTTGCTGAATGACTTAGGCCAGGGCTGAGATCATATTCCTGAACTTATCACTGTGGCCAGAAGGGGTGTTTGGAGGAAGCGAGAAGAATGGGTTCGTTATTTTAAATATTGTTCCTACATGTAATGCATAAATGCATTATTTTCTTTTCCTGTGGAATTTGCTCTTTATTTTGGGACCAGGGAAGGACCATACACAGCCCTCCAGCCCAGGGGGAGGGGGTACCGAGATGCGGGTGGAAGTCCCCACCTGAATCCTGCCCAGACCCTGATGGCCAGGTGGGGAATCCGTGTTTCCCGGGTAGGAAGTGGATATGCAAATCAGGTGGGTGCGGTTAGCAGATCCCCAAGGAGACCTCAGGGGTCCTCACCACATGTCTGCACCCTCCCACCACTGTCTGGTGACCACGTTGAGGTAGTGGCACAGGGAAGCATAATAGTGGCTCAGCTCCTCCAGGGACTCGTCTTCGCCAGGAGCCTCGGGTTTGATGGGGCAGGTGTCGACCAGCGCCCCCAGGCAGACCAGCAGAGCCAGAAGTGCTATGGCCACAGCAGGCCACGGCCTGCACACCGACACCATAGGGATAGCTAGTGAAGCAGATGAGCAGGAGGTGGAAGGCGAGGGAACCCCCAAGGGCTGGACTGCCACAGGTCGACCTGAAGCCTCCTCTGCATAAATACATTCTTATAAAATGTAATACTTCCTGCCAAGTTGCCCTTCAGAGTGGCTCAAATGTACATACTCCCCATCAGTGTGTGAGAGTATCCTTTACCCTCGCCAATACTTGATATTAGCAAACGTATTGAAAATCTAGTTATTTTGATTTGACTTTCACTGATTAGTACTGAGCTTCAACAACTTTTCACATTCCTTGTGATCATTTTTATTTTCTATTTTATGAATTTTCTATTCATATCTTTTGTTCATTTTTCGATTAGGATGTGTACAGGCTAAAGTAACTCCATCTTGGATGCCAATCTGCCATGCTGACTTTTGATTAGCCCCAGTTCCAGGAATGCCTCTGAGATTTCCAGTTTATCTATTATTCCTTGTGTATGAAAGAGCACATCCTTACCAAAAATCCTGCCTTTAGACCAAATCAACCTTGATAAATTCATACTTACTGTCAATCCTGCCCTTAGACCAAACTCCAACCGATTCCCTCTGAAGCACATGTACCCTTCCCTACGGTATATAATCCCCGGGTCTGGGGAGTAATGGCACAAAGACCTACCTGTCTTCTGGCCACCCAAGACCACGCTTCTGTCACTATATTCCCCAATAAAATCACCCTGTGATGACGAGCTGGACTTGTCTGCCTCCTTTGGTTTCTCAGCTCCTTCTGCATTTGGGGATTGCTTTGCATATACAGCTCTTTCAAAAAACAGGTTATTGGTCTTTTCCTTATTGATTTTTAGATGTTCTTTTTAGCATAGTAAAACATTTAATATGGACAGTGAAACATTTTCAACCTTTTACAAACTCTAAAACTAAAGACAAGTTCTAAAACTGAATACATATAGAATTCTTTTCTAAGTCAGGTATGCCATGTGCATGCACACACAAATATTTCATATAGGCTCACATTTTTGATTTTCTGAAAGACTTCCTTACAGCGAGGTCCAGAGATCATGGGTAAACTAAATTCATACAAGTGATTTCTATTATTGCATAGAAATATTTGAAAAATAAAAACAAAACATGAGTTGCTACAATTGGCATTACTTATACCATATTCCAAAATATGCTTTATATTTCATGTTAATTTGCCCCAATTTTAAAAACTTAACAGCCATTCACTGTCCATACTGCACAACCTCATTGGAGCCTTCCTTTCTACTGGCCCACAAGGTTTTCTTCCCTCATGTCCCATAGGAAAAAAGGAAAACAAAATAACAACAAAAAGCAGGGCAAATTATTTCTTTCTATCTATCCCTACCCCACACTAACTGGCTTCCTCAAGGGCTAGTCATATGGGTGTTCATACTAGTGCTATATCTGTTCTATAAATGCTACCCCCAATGTAAATGTGAAACTGTCTTTGCAAAAATGATAACAGTAGGAAAAGTATGACTGTGACAGAGATCGGACTTTGACTCCATCCTGCTTCTAAACAAGCTGCCCTTGTTCAGTCCTGGGCATAGGCTGAACTAACTGTGGGAGAAACTTAGTTTACAGTTTAACTTTGAAACAAGGATGATAACAGTCCTTTGCTGAAACAAACCTCCTTCTTTGCTGGTGACAAGACTGGTATTATAGGACTAATAAATTAGCCACAAGATTTTCAACTTCTCCAATTACTCCTGTAGACAACACCACTATTGTAGAACCTAAAATTGGCCTTTTGAGATGTCTTTTCAGGTTTTTGCATTTCTGACTGCAGATGGCTCCACCCTGAACCACCAACTGGTCCTGTGGCCACACCCAGCAATAGACTTAGTGTGCACTTGAGAACCATTTTCCACATCTTCATGATTACATCCACAACCAATCAGCAGCACTTATTCCCAAGCCATTCCTCCTTCCCACAAACTACCCTTGAAAAACCCTAGTCCCCAGATTTTCAGAGACTGATTTGAGTAACATATCTCTGGTCTCCTGTTTAACAAGTTCTGTATAAATTAAGTTCTTTCTCTATTGCAATTCCCCCTCTTGATAAATTGGCTCTATCTGGGCAGTGGGCAAGGATAACCCGTTAGGAGGTTACAAATTCTCTGAGAGATACAATGGTTTTCCTGTAAGGGATCCACATTCAAAGACGAGGGGAGTGGCCTCTGACATTGTGATAGAATTGTAAATATATATTGGTTCTTTATCCTTGGTTCTTGGCACAGAGTTTCTAAAACCCTTGGAATTTCCTGAGTGATTGGAGTGAGAAGAGCATCTTTTTTTTTTTTATTCACAATAAGCTCATTTCAGCCATACCTGAGTTTATGCTAGTGAGGTGACTCTTGGGAGGATGGGGGCTGGATGCCACAGGAACCAGTCATATGATCAGAGGGTGGGAACTTTCAGCCCCATCCCCAACCTCTGGGGAGGGAAGAGGGAATGGGGATTGACTTAATTGCCAGTGGCCAATGATTTAATTAATCATGACTACATGGTAATGAAGCCTCCATAAAAACTTTAAACAATGAGGTTCAGACAGGTTCTGAATTGATGAACACATCCACTTGCCAGAAGAGTGGTGGACTCTAACTGCATGGAGACAGAAGCTTCTGCACTAAGCATCCTTCTGGACCTTGTCCTCTGTATCTCTTCATCTGGCTACTATCTGTATCCTTTGTAATATCCTAGGATAAACTGATAAATGTAAGTAAATGCTTCCCTGAATTTTGTGAGCCATTCTAGCAAATTATCAAACATGAGGAGTGGCTTGTGGAAACCCCTGATTTATAGGTCAAAAGTACAGGTGACAACCTGGTACTTGTAACTGGCACCTAATGTGAGGGCAGTCTTGTGGGATTGAGTCCTTAACCTGTGGAGTCTGAGCTCACAGGGGATAATTAGTGTCAGAAATGAATTGTAGGATACCCAGTTGGTGTGCAGAAAGTTGAAGAATTGGTTGGTGTGGGGAAAATTCCCACATATTCAGCATCAGAAGTGTTGTGAGTAAAAGAAAAATTTTTTCTTTTACATGAGTGGACGCAATTGGCATCATTTATATCATTTTCCAAAAATTGTTTTATATTTTATGTTAATTTGCATCAATTTTAAAAACTTAACCATTCATCCTTTGTACCACACGACCTCAATGGAGCCTTCCTTTTGAGGCTTCACGGCATTTTCCCCTCATGTTCCATGGTAGTAAAGAAAAACAAAACAAAACATGCTGCTCGTTTCACCATCTATTCCTCAAAGGACAAAAGAATGCAGGATTTTTGTCAAACTGAAATCCTACACTAATAAGAAATTTAGTGAAAGGAAGAGTTTCCCAGACTCAACTTAATTGAATCCATAGTACCAAAGTTCATTTTCTCTTCTCAGATTAATATCCAGCTCTGATCTGGGCACTCATTCCCAAAGGATTTATGATCTAAATTCTTGTAGCATTGTGTCAGGAAGAGAGCGAAAGGAAACAGTGACCGAACTAGAAACAAAACTGAGGCAAGCAGTGATCAACTTTGAAGTTAGATATCAGGACTTACATACTCAAATGCCTAACTGCAGCCATGTGGGTCACATGTGGAGCTGGCTTGTGCTGAACTACAGGGCTCAGGCCCTGTCTCAACAAGGCAGGGACTTTTCACCTCCAGCCAGTTCTTCCTAGGTGGTAATATGGGCCAATGATGCCACGTCTGCCAGTTTTTCAAGGGAAGCCATGAATTTCGACATGCATATGAAATCCTCTGATATTTAGATATAGGCAGTTATTTTTTATTTAATTTTTTTGGTTTTTTGTATGAGCTGGTTCTCACTATATTGCCCATGCTGGTCTTGAACTCCTAAGCTCATGCAATCCTCCCACCTTGGCCTCCCAAGACAGCTAATTTTTTAAAAATGTTTTAACATACTTTGCAGGCTAAACAAAAAATGTCTACTAGGCCTTTGTGGTACATGAACAGCCAATTTCTGAATGGTGGTATAGAGCAGAGTAGTTCAGGGTATGAATTAACTACAAGAAAGACCAGAGTTCAAGGCTGTATTGTTTTCTATTGCTGCATAACAAATGACCACAAACTTAGCAGGTCAAAACAACACCCATTCCTGTGTCCATCTGTTCTCTTTGTTCAATTCCAGATATACCTAATGCTAAATGACGAGTTAATGGGTGCAGCACACCAACATGGCACATGTATACATATGTAACTAACCTGCATGTTGTGCACATGTACCCTAAAACTTAAAGTATGATAATAATAATTTTTTAAAAAACACCCATTTATTATCTCACAGTTTCTGTGGCCAAGACTCTGGGTATAGGTTAGCTGAGTATCTCAGTCAGATCAGGTTGCTATAACAAATTACCATAGATTTGAGGCCTTAAACAACAGAAATTTCCTGCTTACAGTTCTGGAGGCTGGGAAGCCTGACCACAGGGTGCCAGCATGGTCAGCTTCTGGGGAGGACCCTCTTCCAGGTTACAGACTTGCTGCCTTCTCAGTATATTCTCACATGGCAGAAAGAAGGTAAGAGAGTTTTCTGGGGTTTCTTTTATAAGGGCACAAATCCCATTCATGAAGGCTCTACCCTCATGACCAATTACCTTCCAACAATCCCACCTTCTTATACCATCACATTGGGATTAGGGTTTCAACATATGAATTTCCAGGGGGACACAAACACAACATCCAGTCCATCAACCTGGGTCTCTGCTCAGGGTCTCACCAGGCTGAAGTCAAAGCATTGGCTGGAGCTGTGATCTCAGCTGAGGCTTGAAATCTTCTTCTGTGCTCACCAGTTGTTGGCACAATTTACTTCCTGGCAGTTGCAGGACTGATAGCCCTGTTTTCTTACTAGCTGTCTACCAGGGACTGCCCTCAGCTCTTAGAGGCCATCCCCAACAGGGGCTCTAGCCATGTGGCTCCCTCCATAGGCCCTCTCACAAATGGTAGCTTACTTCTTCAACACGAGACACTCTTTTTTAAGGACTCACCTGACTGGGCCAGGCCTGCCCAGGATGATCTTCCCTTTTATTAGCCCAAAGTCAATTGATTAGAAATCTTAATTATAGTGGCAGAATTCCTTCACCTTTGCCATACAGAGTAACCTAATTATGGGAGTAACTTCCCATCATGTTCACAGGTTCTGCCTACAGTCAAGAGGAGGAAACTCTACAATAAGTGTATACCAGGAACAGGAATATTGGGGACCATCTTAGGATTCTGAGAACCACAGAGGCCTAGCTCTGACATTTGATTTCATTAATTTATGGAATTATTGCTATGGATGCATTTACATCTGCAGTTTTGCTATTCCTCCCAAGTAGCTGGGGTTATAGGTGCCCACCACTATGCCCAGCTAATTTTTGTATTTTTAGTAAAGATGGGGTTTCGCCATATTGGCCAGGCTGGTCTCAAACTCCTGACCTCAGGTGATCCACCCACCTCGGCCTCCCAAAGTGCTAGGATTACAGGCGTGAGCCACCATGCCCGCCCAAGTTGCATACTCTTTAACGATCTATCTTTGAGTTCACTGATTCTTTCTCCTGCCATCTCAAATCTATTCATGAGCCCCTCTGGTGAAATTTCATTCCAAATATTATACTTTTCAACACTAGCTCGTTATATATATAATTAAGCACAACTTCCAATTAATCATAGGCTGATCATTAAGCTATGCTGACTCAGTGGCAACTCCTAGAAACCTTGGCTTCAATTTAAAAATGTTTAAATTTCTAGGGTTCAAATACGTTTAAAATAGTAGAAACTATGTTTAAAGAATTAAAGTATTATGACATATATATAGACTCTGCAAAATGAGTCCAAGTAAGCCACTATATTAGTCAGGGTTCTCTAGAGGGACAGAACTAATATATATGTAATATTATACAGATTATTATATATGGGGGGGAGTTTATTATTAATTTACACAATCACAAGTTCCCACAATAGGCTCTCTGCAAGCTTGAGGAGCAAGGAGAGGCAGTCTGAGCCTCAAAACTGAAGAAATTAGAATCTGATGTTCAAGGGCAGGAAGCATCCAGCATGGGAGAAAGATGTAGGCTGGGAGGCTAGGCCAGTCTCGCCTTTCACATTTTTCGACCTGCTTTATATTCACTGGCAGCTGATTAGAGTGTGCCCACCAGATTAAGGGTGGGTCTGCCTTCCCCAGCCCACTGACTCAAATGTTTATCTCCTTTGGCAACACCCTCACAGACACGCCCAGGATCAATACTTTGCTTTCTTCAATCCAATCAAGTTGCCACTCAGTATTAACCATCATAGCCACTAAAAGGACAAACAGAAATGATAACAACCACTGGGGACAGAAATCAGAATCTAGAGTTTGTACAATATATTATCTAAAATATCCCATTTTCAACCAAAATATGAGATTTACAAAGAAATAGGAGAGTGCTAACTATACACTATGTCATCATACTTTTCTTTAATTCTTTAATATTGTTTTTGGGTAGGATAATATTTTCCATGCTCCTCACTCAGCCATTCTGAAAATCCCCACAATGTTTATTAAGAAGTAGAAATTTTATATATATAAAAAGCATAATTATACATTATAAAGAAGTAGAAATTTTATGTATAAAATATAATTATGTATATAAATTATAAAACAGTAGACATTTTATATATAAAATTTCTTCTTTTTAATTTCTTCACTTCTTTATAATTTCTTTACAATTATATATAATTTCTATAATTTCTTAAGAAATTATAAAGAAGTAGAAATTTTATATCTAAATAAATTATGTATATATTTATATATTTATATATAATAATATATATAAAATTTCTATTTCCTTATAATTTCTACTTCTTTTTTTTTATACTTTAAGTTCTAGGGTACATGTGCACAACGTGCGGGTTTGTTACATATGTATACATGTGCCGTGTTGGTGTGCTGCACCCATTAACTTGTCATTTACATTAGGTATATCTCCTAATGCTATCCCTCCCCCCTCCCCCCACCCCACGACAGGCCCCGGTGTGTGATGTTCCCCTTCCTGTGTCCAAGTGTTTTCATTGTTCAATTATATAATAATATATATAAAATTTATATTTCCTTATAATTTCTACTTCTTTATTGATATTCTCTATTTGATGAAACATTGTCATCATACTTTAATTCTTTAAAAGTAGTTTCTACTAGTTTTTAAAACATATTTTTAAAAGCTGCTTTGAAATCTGTCTCCTAAGTCAACATCTGGGTCCTCCCAAGAAAGATTCTATTACTGCTTTTTCCCTGTGTACAGTTAGCACTTTACTATTTCTTTCTTTTTTTTTTTTTGAGATAGAGTCTGGCTCTTCTCGCCCAGACTGGAGTGCAATGGCGCGATCTCGGCTCACTGCAACCTCTGCCTCCTGGGTTCAAGCGATTCTCCTGCCTCAGCCTCCTTAGTAGCTGGGGCTACAGGCACCCGCCACCACACTCAGCTAATGTCTGTATTTTTAGTAGAGAGGGGGTTTCACCATGTTGGCCAGGCTGGTCTCAAACTCCTGACCCCGGGTGATCCGCCCACCTCAGCCTCCCAAAGTGCTGGGATTACAGGCGTGAGCCACCGCGCCTGGCTGCACTTTCCTATTTCTTTGTAAATCTCACATTTGGTTGAAAATTGGATATTTTAGATAATATATTGTACAAACTCTGGATTCTGATTTCTGTCCCCAGTGGTTATCATTTCTGTTTGTTCATTTAGTGGCTTGCTTAGACTCATTTTGTAGAGGCTATCTTGTCTGCAGTATGTAGCTACTGATGTCCGCTCATTTTTTTTTAAAAAATTGTATTCTTAAGCCTGGCTTTCTGGAGGTTACCACCGAGTCAGCATAGCTTAATGGTCAGCCTATGATTAATCAGAAGTTGTGCTTAAGCGTTTTTAGCCGCTAGGACTTCCACCATTTGCCGATTACTTCGTGTGTGGTTTGGTAAATGTGTTCAAAGTTCAGGTGGTTTACAAAACTGCCCAAGCTTTTGTTTTCTTTGTGTGCAAGACCTCATGTTCAGCATGGAATCAGTAGATGCTAGAGCCCTCTCTGTCTCCCCTGAGCAAGTGTGCTACCTTGTGCAAGCACACAGATTTACAGACCACCAGGGATATGTGAAAGCCCGCTATGCCTGTCTTGTTCCCCAGATGTCCTTGTTAAATTTCTGAATAGTCTGCTAGTCTGTTGCTTTCCCCAACCTGTAGAGAAACCTCAGATCAGCTGTGATGTTTGCCAGACTCCCACTGTTCTAATCAAGACTTCATGGTTTTTCTTGAATAACTGCTTCTCAATTTGTTGGATGCATTTGATAACATTTCTAATGTTGTGCTTGATCATGTTCCCTGGTTTTACTGTTGTTTTTTGGAGGGAAAATATTTTCCAAGCTCCTTACTAAGCCATTCTGAAAATCCCCACAATTATTTATGAATTGTTGATTGAGATTCTGTCTTCATGAACACAGATATTGAAATTTTCAAGTAGCCCCCAAAAATAGAGGCATTGCTATCTAAAATCATAAGGCAATATGAGAAATCGCTGTACTTTCCACTCAATTTTGCTGTGAACCTAAAACTGCTCTAAAAATTAAAGTCTGCTAAAAAAAATAAGATAAAGGTTGTTTCTTCATTTCTTAAAAGCACAAAACAAAAAAAATCTGTCAAAATCATTCTTTAATATTCAACTTATAAAAGACAAATATTAGGAGGCCAGGCACGGTGGCTCACCCCTGTAATTGCAGCAGTTTGGGAGGCCAAGGTAGGCGGTTGCTTGTACACAGGAGTTCAAGACCAGCTGGGGCAACATGGCAAAACCCCATCTCTACAAAAAAATGCAAAAATTCACTGGGTGTGGTGGCGCGTGCCTGTAGTCCCAGCTACCTGGGAGGCTGAGGTGGGAGGATCTCTCGAGCACAGGAGGCAGAGGTTGCAGTGAGCCAAGATCATGCCACTGCACTCCAGCCAGGTCAACAGAGTGAAACCCTGTCTCAAAAAACAAAAGCAAAAGCAAAAACAAAAACAAATTAGGTAATCTGATGGTTCTTGGCCACTGTGAGATACCTTCGTTTTCATGTTTTTGTCTTATAGATGCCTTTTGTTGTTGTTGTTTGTTTTTTGTTTTTTTTGAGACAGAGTTTTTGCTCTGTTGCCCAGGCTGGAGTACAATGGCACGATCTCAGCTCATTGCAACCTCTGCCTCCAGGGTTCAAGCGATTCCCCTGCCTCAGCCTCCCGAGTAGCTGGGATTACGCGTGCCCGCCACCACAGCTGGCTAATTTTTTGTATTTTTAGTAGAGACAAGGTTTCACCATGTCGGCCAGGTAGGTCTCAAACTCTTGACCTCAGTTGATCCACCTGCCTTGGCCTCCCAAAGTGCTAGGATTACAGGCAGGAGCCACCGTGCCTAGCTGTCTTGATTTTTTGATGCAGTCAAAATTATTTAGCACTCCACCCTGGGCAACAGAGTGAAACCCTGTCTCAAAAAACAAAAACAAAAACAAACATTAGGTAATTTGAAGGTTCTTGGCCACCATGAGATACTTTTGTTTTCATGTTTTTGTCTTATAGATGCCTTGTTTTTTGGATGCAGTCAATATTATTTATCTGTATCTGTATGTTTTATGCTTACCCTACCTCATGGCTTACAGCCCTCTCCTGTATTTTCTTTTTTACTTATACAATTTCATATTATATGTTCAGGCCTTTAATCTATCTAAAATTTACTTTTATGAAAATTGTGAGATGAAGATCTAACTTTACTTTTCCTAAACGGATAACCAGTTTTCCTAATACCATTTATTGAATACTTCATCCTTTTTCCTTTGTCGAAAACTGGACTCCTGTACATATTTGGATCTATTTCGGACTCCATTCTGATCCACTTATTTATTTGTAAAGCTTGTTCCATTATCACATCATTTTAATTACTAAACTTTTTTTTTTTTTTTTTTTGAGATAGAGTTTCACTCTTGTTGCCCAAGCTGGAGTGCAATGGCACGGTCTCGGCTCACTGCAACCTCTGCCTCCTGGGTTCAAGCAATTCTCCTGCCTCAGCCTCCCGAGTAGCTGAGATTACAGGTGCATGCCACAATGCCTGGCTAATTTTTTTTTTTTTTTGTATTTTTAGTAGAGACGGGATTTCACCATGTTGGTCAGGCTGGTGTTGAACTCCTGACCTCAGGTGATCCACCCACCTCAGCCTCCCAAAGTGCTGGATTACAGGGGTGAGCCACCACGCCCAGCCTCATTCTAATTACTGCCCTTCTATTCTAGGTTTTGAAATCTGGTAGGGTGAGTTTCCTCCCACTGTTCTTTTCTCAAAATCATCTCAGCTATTTTTGAATATTTTCTCTTCCAGGTGGTTTTTAGAATTACTCTGTTGGGTTCTATTTAAAAAAATCATTACAATTTTTACTGGGATGAAATTTACAGATTTTTAAGGTAGTTGACATTTTTACAAAAGTGAGTTAAATTACCGTGTTGAATTATAACACAGCTTTCACTTCATTCAGATACTATTTTTATGACCTTCAGTAAAGTTTTATATTTTTCTGCA
The DNA here is from genome assembly GCF_000001405.40 of Homo sapiens. Taxonomy (NCBI): domain Eukaryota; kingdom Metazoa; phylum Chordata; class Mammalia; order Primates; family Hominidae; genus Homo; species Homo sapiens. The sequence continues at coordinate 50,145,584 of NC_000023.11, read as the reverse complement.
TCTAGATTTTGTACATTTACTACTAGGTTCTTTCCCTAAGCATTTTAGAGTTCTGGAAGTTATTGTGACTGAGATTTTCATCTATTACATTTTTCTGGTATATTATTGCTGATGTATAATATAAAAACATTTCTTTGTATGTTGCTCTTGTATTTTGCCACTTTGTTGAATTATATTTATTGGTTCTAATGGCTTCTACGTTAATTGCCTTGAATTTTTAACGTAAATAATGATAGTTTTAACAAATAATGACGATTTCATATTTTTCTTTTTAATATTGATATCTCTTTGGCCAAAGGTAATTTACTCATTCATTTGATATTTATTGGGTAGCTGCTGTGTGCCAGGCATTGTCCTACACTCTGGGGATACAAAACAGACAAGCTTTCCACCCTCTAGAGCTTATATTCTATTCAGGAGAAACTGACAATCTATGAAAGGTATAAAAAGATAAAAAGGTCAATCACCTTTGGCAAAATATTCCAAAACTTAGTGGCTTAAAATAGCAACAAGGATTTATTACTGGCTGGGAACCATGGTTCACGTCTATAATCCCAACACTTTGGGAGGCGGAGGCAGGAGGATTGCTTGAGACCAGGAGTTCAAGAGCAGCCTGGGCAACAAAGACAGACCTCATCTCTAAAAAAAAAAAAAAAGAAAAAAAAAAAAAACCCACGAAACTAACCTGTGCGTGGTGGCGCACACCAACTGAGGTGGGAGGATCACTTAAGCCCGGGAGTTTGAGACTGCAAGAAGCAGTGATCATGCCACTGCACTCGAGCCCCGGCAACAGAGCGAGACCCTGTCATAAAAAATATATATATATATATTTATTATCATACACAATTTATGCTGGCCAGAAATCTGGGGAAAGCTTAACTAGGTGATTCTGGCTCTGTTTCTTATGAGATTACAGTCAAGATGTCAATGGCATTTGCCATCCTCTGAAGGCATGTCTGGAGCTGAAGGATATATTACCAAGGTAGCTCCCTCATATAGCTGGCAAATTGGTGCTGCACATTGGCAGGAGGCCTCAGTTCCTCATAACATGGACCTCTCCACAGGCTTGCTTAAGCGTCCCCATCACATAGCAGCAGACTTTCCGCAGAAAGAGTAGTCCGAGAGGGAAATACAGAAGCCATAATGTCTTTTATGATCTAGCCTTAGAAGTCACACTCCATCACTTCCACAATATACTATTGGTTACACAGGTCAATCCTATGCAGTGTGGAATGGGGCTACACAATAGTATGAATACCAGGAGGGAGGAATTATTGGGGGCCATCCTGGAGGCTAGTGACATGGTTTGGATTTGTGTCCCCACCCAAATCTCATATTGAATTGTAATCCCCAGTGTTGAAGGAGGGGCCTGGTGGGAGGTGACTGGATCATGAGGGTGGATTTCCTCCTTGCTGTTCTTGTGATAGTGAGTTCTCATTAGATCTGGTTGTTTAAAAGTGTGTAGCACCTCCCCCTTCACTCTCTCTTCCTCTGTCTCATGTAAGATGTGCCTGCTTCTCCTTCACTTTCTATGATTGTATGTTTCCTGAGGCCTCCCTAGCCGTGCTTCCTGAACAACCTGCAGAACTGTGAGTCAACTAAATGTCTTTTCTTTATAAGTTACCCAGTCTGAGGTGCTTCTTTATAGCAATGTGAGAACAAACTAATACAACTGGCTACCACAGACTATCCATACATTTTTAGGGAAACGTAAGCCATAAAATAGAGAGTGTTAGCAGTGAAATGCAGAGAAATAGAGGCCAGGACATAGCCTCATGAAGAAGAAGGGAGGATTGTAAAGGAAGGAAACTCTAAGATAGTGATCCTTAAACACTATCCAACTTTTGATGGATAGTGATCCACCAAACTCAATGTGTTTTTATAGCAAATAATTTGTAACACCCTTTTGTTACCTTGAAGTGAAATTTGTGGATAAATAACCTACCTATCCATATAATTTGAAAAGATGAATGCTTGAGGGACAGTGAGGAGGCCAGTGTGGCTGGAGGGAAGTGAATGAGGGAAAGAACAGTAATGGAAAAAACAAGGCTAACAATGGGGATCAGCAGGTGGGAGAGCACCAGATCAGTGAGGGTCACCAGATCAGTGAGGATCTTGGAATCCAGAGTTAGCACTTCAGCTTTTCTAATAAATGAAACAGGAAGCCATCAGAGGGTTCTGAGTAGAGGAGTGATGTTACTTGTCAACTTATGTGACATATGCTTTAAAAGGAACATTCTGGCTGCTCTATGGAGAGACACACTAAAAGGAGTCAAGAGTGGAACAAGGAGTGCAGCTGGCAGGCTCTTGCAATCATCCAGTTAAAGGTGATTCATGGTGGCTTGCAGCAGAGCAATGGCCATGGGCATGGTCAAAGTGGGTTGAGTCTGGATAAATATTTTGAAGGTAGAACATTAGGACTCGCTGACAGACCAGATATAGAGTGTGAAGGAGAGAGCAAGCACTTACAAATATATGGACTGTTCTATAAGTTCACAAAATCCCAGATCTCTGTCCCTTTAGATGCCCTGACAGCACTATGCGTGTGACATATTTTAGTGGTAGGATTAAGGCAACCATCATGCAGTAGCCTCTGAACACTGGACTGCTTGGGAAACTTAAGCTAAGAGAAATCTGTCCAGTAGGCTGGTTAAATCCTTGTAGTCTATGCATATACATGTGTAGTGCCCATATAATATTTCTAGCCAATCCACATGTCTTGAACATCATCAGTTGAACATCATTCATTTCACCAAGGAAAAATCACTTGTGATTTTCCTTATGCTATTTCACAGCCTCTGGTGTCAATTGGAAATATCTTAAGTATTTGTGGCAGCCCACTGAAGTATGGGCTTCTTCAAAGAAACAACACATGGAGTGTGTATTCCTAATTAAGATCTTTTGGATGTTAACCAGATATCTGGTTAGTATTAACATCCTAGAAGCCTTGGATAACAAGGCTTAGCTATAACAAGGATATAAATATAAGTGGTTAGTGTATATATAATATATATTCTGTACAATATTATATCCTATTATCTATAATAGATTATAGATATTCTATAATATATTATGTAATTAATATATAATCAATATATTGTAATATTTATGTATTATATATTATAAATAATATAATAAGCTATCATATTATACTAGACTATATTAATATAATATATGTTATAATATTTATATATAATATAATTTTCTATAATTATATATCACATATAATACATTATAATATCATATTATATTTATATATTACATTATATATTATATAATATATATTACCTTAATATATTAAATACTATATAATATAATCAATATATTATGTAATATAAAGGTATGTTTATATATACATATAAGACAGAACATGTGTGTGTGTGTGTGTGTGTGTGTGTGTGTGTGTGCATCCCATTAAATTCTCTTTCTTGAAGTATTTAAAAGCAGGCTTCTGTAAAATTTAACTCCATTTGGCCTCACCTCTAAGGTACGGAAGCTCTCCATTTCTATGGACCTTGATGCTGTCACAAGTTGGGCTCTGAGAACTTACATTCTTGTTGGGAGGGTATGGGCCCGTTAACTGAACAAGGCTGCAATCCCTTCCCACTTTGTGTTAGTCTAAGGTCCAAGAGTTCTCAGAAAAAAATCCCAGTGATGTTTTTCTGCACCACTATCCCACCTCTGCTCCATGCCCATCTCCATCAGGGCTTGTTTTTCCACTTCCTTTGCAAGAGCCAGGATGAACTCTACAATGCATCCAAGGGGCAGCTGGCTGCCATTCCTCACTCCTCTCTGCTCACCTCCCTCTGGTGCCCTGCAGCTCTGCCTCTGGGCGGGAGGGAATGTGAAGGATGGGATGGATTTGCTTAGGTAAAGAGGAGAAAGAGCAATTTAAACTGGGGAAGAGCATGATCGAAGGCACAGAAGTGGAACCGTGAATGGGCCGGGAGAGGAAACAATCCCACAGGATTGGAGCTGAAAGCCCCAACAGAGAAGTGGGAGATAAGGCTGAAACAGAGGGGACGGCCATGTCATGGAGGGACCTGAAAGCTTAGCTAAGGTATTCGGCCTTTCTTTCAGTAATAATAGTAGTAATCTGCTTGTTGAATGTCTCCGGTGTGCCAATCTCCGTCCTGGGCCCTTTTCCTGCACTTTCTCATGTAATCTCCATATTAAGGTAGAGATTATTTTCCCAGTTTTACATTTTAAGGAAACTGAGGCCCAGAGAAGTTAAAATTCCTTGCTCAAGGTTACCTAGCTAGTGAGTGGTACAGCCCAGACTTGAACCTAGGCTGTCTGGTTCTTGTCATAATTTAAACGAGTCACTCTCCTGGTTAAGAACCTTTGAGACTTTGGAAAGCTGAGGCAAAAACTTGAATTGAATCTGAAGGTTCAGTGGGATGCTAGGTTGATGATCTCCCTCATCCTTAACAGCCACCTGCTTCTCTTCCTTCCCCTCCAGAAACTCTGGTCCATCCTGAGGAGCTACCCCAGTCCTAGCATTATTTCTGCATAACTGGGAGCCCTGAGACCTGCTGTCTCACCTGCACAACCTCACCTACCAGGGAGAGGCATTTCTGCCCAGCCAGGGTGGCAAGTACTATGTGTATTCCTAGGTCCACTTTACTTCAGTAGCAGGGATGAGGACAAGGAGCCCTTCCTGATGGACCAGCAGCTGATACAAGGCATCAATCACCGCACTGATTACCTCCATCCCATTCTACCTCTCAAGGGTATGGCCACAAAGTATTTGTCACTCAAGATTGGCCTACATGCTATAGTACAGTCGGACATCTTTGAGCTCAGGACTAGGGGGAGTTCTTTGTGTCTTTCTCATCTCCCTCTTTAGAGTTCCCGCACAGGACACTCAATCATTTGGGGGCTTTCCATCTGGCCATGTGATCAAGCTCATGGCCTGGAGGCGGGGAGTAGCCAGACTGGATCACACACCCTTCCTGCACTGTGAGCCCCCAGCATGAGAACTAAAAGATGTCCAGATGCTCAGATGCCAGCATCCAGGCCCACCAACTGGGGCTGGCCTGTGGATCCCCTTCTCAAGACCTCTCCCTCAGGAATCCAATCTATGAGGTCCTGAAAGCCCAGCATTGTCTGGTCTGCCTATGTAGAGCTTCAAGTCCAGAGGGAACAAGGCTGAGGAGAGAGATGAGGATGAAGAGAGGCAGGAGGCCTGTCCCAGAGGAAGACAGCAGTTCTCACCTGCATCCCCACTCCTAGGGCAGCAGAGCACAGCTGGGAGCTGAGAGCTACATTCTCTGGGAGTGGCCTATAAGACTGAGACCTCACTGGGTACCTCCTGTTGGCCCATGTCATGACAAGCCTACGTACCCTGTCCTTTTCTCCAGGGTACGAAGGGCATGGAAGTGGCAAAGTGAAGGGCAAAATAGCTATTTCATAGCAGGCAGTAGCACATAGATTCTGTAGAACAGGTAGATGCTGTTTGCTGAGGGAAGAGGACAAGTAGGTTCTTGCTGGCTCTCAGCTTGAGACTTGTGCAGCCCCTTGTGCACAAGATACAAACTTGTGCAACAGTTTGTATCTGTTATTCTTGATTATTTATATTAAATCAATATGTAAGGCTACTGAAAAGACTTTTGTTGGTGGTGGTCTTATTTGTTTGTTTGTTTGTTTGAGACAAGGTCTGGCTCTGTTGCCCCGACTGGAGTGCAGTGGCAGGATCTTGGCTCACTACAACCTATGCCTCCTGGGCTCAAGCCATCCTTCCACCTCAGCCTCTCAAGTAGCTGGGATTAGAGGTGCACACCACCATGTCCGGCTAATTTTTGTATTTTTTGTACAGACTGGGTTTTCCATGTTGCCCAGGCTGGTCTCGAACTTGTGAGCTCAAACGATCTGCCCGCCTTGGCCTCCAAAGTACTGGGATTACAGGCGTGAGCCACTGCACCCTGCCTAAAAAGACTGTTTGTCATTCCTTGACTCCTTCTTCTTACTTCACTATTTCCTAGTAAAATTGACACTGGCCTCCAGATTGTAAGCATTCCCATTGCCTTCATTGCTTCTGTAATTCTCTTCAGACCCCAGGTATCAACTTGCTACAAAGGCCCAGTCTTTTGCTTTGGTTTTTCCACTCAATACTTGAGCAACATGCTGGAACTGGGACCCTCTTGCAACTTTACTCCGGTCCCTGAGTTGATCCCCGATCCTCTGCCTGGCTCTCACCAAATTCTTCCCAAGTGGGGAGAATCCTGCTGCCATTTTTCCAGGGCTCTCCCGTGAGTGGGCCAATTATTAAAAACCCCAAGTCTAGCACCTACTTACCTTAGAAAGGAGATGGAATGAGGCCAGGCGCTGTAGCTCACACCTGTAATCCCAGCACTTTGGGAGGCTGAGGCGGGTGGATCATGAGGTCAGGAGATCGAGACCATCCTGGCCAACATGGTGAAACTCCATCTGTACTAAAAATACAAAAATTAGCCAGGCGTGATGGTGCGTGCCTGTTATCCCAGCTACTCAAGAGGCTGAAGCAGCAGAATTGCTTGAACCAGGGAGCTGGAGGTTGCCGTGAGCCAAGGTCGCGCCACAGCACTCCAGCCTGGTGACAGAGCGAGACTCCGCCTCAAAAAAAAAAAAAAAAAAAAAGAAAGAAAGGAGATGGAATGAATATCAGGATAGTTGTTTAATGGGATTTCCATGCAAGAAAACCACGATAAGAGGCATCTGAGAGAAGAAGACTGAAAAGATGGTTCATGACTTGGGCACAAAGTCTTAAGGCCATATTCCAGTGATAGAAAGTCCCTCTGACATTTGTCATGGAGGTGAGGATTAAGTTCCTTGAGATTTTATGTAAAGTAACTGACAGTCGCAGGTGCCTAACAAATGCTAGCTTCCTTCTTCCTATCTTCCCTATGCCTTCAGGTCAGGTCCAATATTTCCACCATCTATCCTAGCTTCAGCCTTGCTCTGCACAGTAGGACACTGTGTCTCAAAATGCCCAACCAGCTTGTAGCCTAATAACTCTTTTTTTTTTTTTTTTGGAGAGGGAGTCTTGCTCTATTGCACAGGCTAGAGGCTAGAGTGCAGTGGTGCAATCTCAGCTCACTGCAACCTCTGCCTCCCAGGTTCAAGCAATTCTCCTGCCTCAGCCTCCAGAGTAGCTGGGACTACAGGCATAAAACCACACTCGGCTAATTTTTATGGTTTTAGTAGAGACAGGGTTTCGCCATGTTGGCCAGGCTGGTCTCAAACTCCTGACTTCAAGTGATCTGCCTGCCTCGACCTCCCAAAGTTGTGGGATTACAGGCATGAGCCACCTCGCCCAGCCTGCAGTCTGGTAACTCTTGACCCAGTCCTACCCATTCAAAAAGTTCAGTGGTTAGCATCCTCAGCCCTCTTTGGCTTAGCTAAATTCAAAGAATCTGAACCTAATTATCATTATATTCTCTATCCCTATATGCTTTCAGTTTTGCAAAATATTTTCCCATCCATCATTTCATCACTTTTTCCTAGGAATGCTGTGAAATACCAGCTGAGGCTTTTCCCTGCTTGAGTGTAGTCTAAGAGGTATAGTGACTAGTCTACACTGTAGTTGTGCTGACAGGCAGTAGCAGGTAGATTCTTTCTGATAGTTTCAAATGTCCCAACTTAAGACCTTTCTTGAGTTTCATGTTTATGTGAGGGTTTGAATATTGATTTTTAATGAGATATCTTGTGTTACATTCTGATTGTTTAAAGCAGTACATGCTCATTGTAGGACATTTGCATACAGAACAGTATAAGGAAGAAAAATTTTTAAATCCCCCAGCATCCACCATTTGGACACAAGTATTGTTTCTTTCCAGACTTTTCCAGTAGCATGAATAATAGTTACTGTAATAAGTAGTGATATTTAGTGAGTACTTACTATATGCAAGCACTATACTAAGGGTTTTGCATTTATTATCTCATTTTAATCTTTACAAAAACCCTATGAGGTACATACATAGTATTATTGTCCTTGCTAAAACTGATGAATTAGGCCAGGTTCGGTGGCTCACGCCTGTAATCCCAGCACTTTGGGAGGCTAAGGCAGGAGGATTGCTTGATCTCAGGAGTTCGAGACCAGCCTGGGTTACATGGTGAAACCCTGTCTCTACAAAAAAAAAAAATAGCATGCCTTGGTGGCACACAGTTGTAGTCCCAGCTACTTGAGGAACTGAGGTGGGAAGATAGCTTGAGCCCAGGAAGTCGATGCTGCAGTGAAACAGGATCTTAACACTGCATTCCAGCCTGGGTGAAAAAGTGAGACCCTGTCTCAAAAAAAAAAAAAAAACTGACGAATTGAGGCACAGAGAGTTTAAGTTACTTGACCTAAGTTACCACAACTATTGACACTAGAGTCGGAATGCAGGAGATCTGCCCCAGGAGCCCTGCTCCTACCCTATGCTATGTGGCCATGTGTGTCAGACAGATACTACCTAGTTCTTCTTGCAATAAGGTAAGAAGGTCATGCAAAAAAGAGACTTGAAAGTATTCATTTACCCTTCTTTGCTACACCCATTCCTTTTCACCAGAGCCGCAGGGTCTCAGACATGTTCCCCTTCTAGAGAATAGGCTAGAAGCCATGAATTGCCCTGAAGCATGCAAGCATGCAATGGGAGGAGGACAGAGGAAGGAAATTAGGGGCTGCATGAGAAGGCCTGCAAGTTGAAGGAAACTGATAGCAGACAGAGTAAACCACAAGTAGCCCATATCTTCCTAGAGGTCACAGTCTGGAACAGACACTTTTGGCAAGCATTCTTCTTTCTCTCTTTTTTTTCTTTTTTTTGAGAGAGAGTCTCGCTCTGTCGCCCAGGCTGGAGTGTAGTGCCACAATCTTGGTTCACTGCAATCTTCGCCTCCTGGGTTCAAGTGAGCACGTTTGGCTAATTTTTGTATTTTTAGTAGAGATGAGGTTTCACCATGTTGGCGAGGCTGGTTTCAAACTCCTGACCTCAAGTGATCTGCCCACCTCAGCCTCCCAAAGTGCTGGGATTACAGGTGTGAGCCACCATGCCTGGCCAATTTTATTCTTCTATCTTCTTGCTAATAGCAGCCCAACATTGATCAAGTGTTTGACAGAGATCTCTTGATCTCAGGAGGTGAGTCAGCACTAGATGAGCCATAATCAGTTTACAACAGTTACAGCAGTGCTCTTCCCCCTCACCAGTGATTGATCTCAGTTCTGGCCAGTGAAGTATAAAAGGAGGTCAGCTACGGAACTTCTGGGAAAGGTTTATGTCCCCACCTGGTGACCCAGTTGACTCCTAGAAGACTTTCCTATATATCTCATTAGGGACACGAGGCTCAAAGTCAGCAGAGAACATAAAATCCTTGCAACTGTGTGAGACAGACTATAAACACTACTGAACCTGAGGTAAAGCCTCAAAGGGTGGGAGGAGTTAAATGGCCAGATTATGGAGAGGGAGAAGGATTCCAAAATGATGCTAAATGGAACAAGCATACTGAGCTTGGCCAGGGTATGAGGTACTATGATCAATCCAACTTGGATCATGTGTCCACCACTCAGAGCCCAAAGAATAAAAACTATTACCAGAAAAAAAGAACAGGTAGCAGGCAGGCAGGAAAAATAGATGGCCATTATTGGGATCCTCCACTATTTCTGTCGTCATGCCTTCTCATACATTATCTGCTTTGGGGGGGTCTGCCAAGCCCCTAATCCCCCTTCTCTAAGAACCAGATCTCTCCCAGCCACCAGCCACAGGGGTGGGTTCCTGGCAGCTGTGTCGCAACCCTGACTCCTGGGTGGAACTGATTGAACCACACAGCATCCCTGATCTAAACTGGGACAAGCAGATTCTACCCTGAAAATTTAGAATTGGATTCAGAGATGCCAGTCAGCACTTTTGGTCACTTAAACCCAAGACTTATAAATCCAATCGCTGTGGAGAAGCTATATTTAGTCAAGGTCATGGAAAAGCAGAGAAATCAGGATCATGAAGAGACTGGAGTGGATATGGATAGACAAAAGAACACACAGACTGAGAGGGACAGAACTGCCTTGATTCCTGGTGAGTTTCCAGTTCATGGCTTTAGTCCCTCCTGACACATGGCTACACTTACTGACCTTGTGTTCCATGAAACTCCTTATATCCTATAATAAGCCTTCCTATTAACTAAGCTAGCTCAAGTAGGTTTCTGTTGCTAGCAACCAGAAGAGCCTTGATTGAAGATACTATATTATTTGGTCCTCAGATCAAATGAAATCAAAGTAGTCATCATCCTCATTGTACAGATGAAGAAACTGAGGACCCCCAGAAGTCAGCCATACAACAGAATATGGTTTCCAATGAGGTATGCCTCATGGAGGCTGTGCAACATTGGGCAACTTCCAGAACATCATCGGACCTATGTCTGAAAATGCCTGTGAGTAATCTTTACATTGCTTAAGCACCTGAAATTAAAAACCCATGTAAAATCTCAGGAATATGCTATTCAGGTTTTTGTCTGATGGAAAACCTCCCATAACAAGAGTTTGACGCCATTGGATCCTACTCTGTGTACCCAGGGCCACCTATGCTTCTCTATTATAGCACTTCTAACATTGTATAGAAATTGCCTGTTTACTTGTCTGTTTCACCCCCCAGAGAGTGATTTCTGGAGATCATTGTGTAGCTGTTCCTGGCACAAATCAGGTGCTCAAGAAATTTATGTTGAATGAATAAAAGAACAAATATCAGCTTTTGTTTGGTTTCCTTCCTGACTACATCCTGTCTGAATATTGCACATGACACAGTTGGACACTTGGGAAACAATGCTTGTTGGTAGAAAGAGCATCGAAGGGACACATGGCTTCCAGGGTCAGCTCTGTCACAAATGAGAGAGGTGTATGACATTAGGAAAGTCAGTCCCCATCTGAAAAACCAGGGGGTTGGATTTTATGGTCTCTGGAGTGGAAATTTATCATTTTGTGACATCCTTGAGCCCTCTTCCTTTGTCTGAGCCCTCTGCTACTTTATGAGCTCACAATTTCCCAAAGCAGGAACCAGACATCTGCATTCCTGCTTCCCTTGCCAACAGGTTACAAGCATATGACTTAGAGCCTACTGAACCCAATAGAGATTTGGAAGAGAATTCAATTTGGAAGAGCATGCCATGAAAGAGGCACTGCTCAGAGTCCACTGTGGAGGATGTGGAGGAGAGACAGCCAGCTTTCACAGGCAGTGGTGCTAAATTGTGTTGCAGTGATGCATCAGGCCTGCATTGGTGTTGAAGCTACACCAAGCCTACCTACAGAGAGCAATAGTGCCTCTCCCAGAGGAGCTCAACTGGGCTATTGTTTTTGGAGACAAAATTTATTTGGTTCTGTGGACAATTCAAATTTTCTGAGTTACTTAATATACTTAAATTCTTATTTTTCTACTAAAACTAGCTAGAGTGAGTTCTATTGTTTGTTTGTCACCAAGAACCCTGACCAATAGAGTCTTTGAGACTCCTACTAGCACTAAGATTTTTTCCTAGGCCCTCTCTCTTCAGAAATGACCCTACAAGGCCGGGCATGGTGGCTCACATCTGTAATCCCAGCACTTTGGGAGGCTGAGGCAAGAGGATTGCTTGAGCCCAGGAGTTTGAGACCAGCCTGGGCAACATAGCAAGACCCCATCTCTACATAAATAAATAAATAAATTAATTAATAAATTAATTAATTAATAACCCTACAAGTCCCCAGTGTTTGGCCCAAGAGGTAGAGACAGTTGTACTAGTTAGGGAAACTGTAAGCAGTTCTGTATAACTAGACAGGAAACTTCTAGAGGGCAGTGGTAAGGCCAATGAGTAGGCAGGCATCAGATCAGAAAAACCTTAGTAAGCCTTGGTGCTGAAGGATTTTGGAGTTTATTTTTCAGAACAGCAGTTTTCAAACGTTTTGTCTTTAGGACCCTTTCACAGTAAATGCCTAAAAATTATTGAGGACCCCCCAGAAGCTTTTGTTTATATGGGCTGTATCTAGTGATTTTTACTACATTAGAAATTAAACTGAAAAAATTTTTAAGTATTTACTTATTCATTTTAAAATAACAACAATGGGCCAGGCATGGTGGCTCACACCTGTAATCCCAGCACTTCGGGAGGCCGAGGCGGGTAGATCACTTGAGGTTAGGAGTTCGAGACCAGCCTGGCCAACATGGTAAAATCTCGTCTGTACTAAAAATACAAAAATTAGCTGGGTGTGGTGGCATGCCTCTGTAACCCCAGCTACTTGGGAGGCTGAGACAGGAGAATTGCTTGAACCCAGGAGGCGGAGGTTGCAGTGAGCCTAGATTATGCCACTGCACTCCAGCCTGGGCAACAGAGTGAGACACTATCTCAAAAATAAAATAACAACAATAAACTATATATTAGCTATATTTTAGCATGAATAGCATTTTGTGAAAAATAACAATATTTTCTGTTTTCCAAAACTGAAAAGTAAGTGAGAAAAGTGGTATTGTTTTACATATTTCCAGATCTCTTTAATAGATGACAGTTGGATTCCTATATCTGCTTCTAAATTCAGGCCAGGTGTGGTGGCTTATGCCTGTAATCTCAGCACTTTTGGAGGCTGAGACTGAGACGGGTGGATCACTTGAGTTCAGGAGTTCAACACCAGCCTGGCCCAACATGTTGAAACCCTGTCTCTACTAAAAATACAAAAATTAGCTGGGTTTGTTGGCACATGCCTGTAATCCAAGCTACTGGGAAAACTGAAGCAGGAAAATCGCTTGAATCTGGGAGGCGGAGGTTGCAGTGAGCCGAGATTGTGCCACTGCACTCCAGCCTAGGCAATAGAGCAAGACTCCATCTCAAAAAAAAAAAAAAAAAAAAAGAGAAAGGAAAATAAATAAATAAATTCAATCTGTTGCATTATGTTGTTTTCGTTAAAGTATATGAAAAAGAATCTGGCTTCACACAGATAGGTGGTTAGAAAAAGGAGGACCTTGTGGACCTGCTTAATGAATCTCAAGGACTCTCAAGGACTCTTGGATCCTATTTTGGGAACCCTTGGTTCAGAGTTATAGGAATTCAATAAAAGCTTCTAAAAGAGAGTGGCAAGAGTGGATTTGTTTTAGGAAAGTGATTCTGGCCGCAGGGTTGCCGGGACAGCACACATTGTATTCTATGTGAATGGTACCCCCAGTAAGATCATAGCCTTGACGTAAGAGAATTAGAGGGAAGTCAAGAAGGACAATTAAGAGGTCATTGTGTTAGTCCAGGAAGGAGATGATCTTGCCTTGTTTGGCTGTGGATATAGAGAGTAGGGGACAGAAGTTGAATTCAGATCCCTCTGACTTCAATACCCATGCTCTTCTCTCAATACCAGTGACCTCCAAGCACAATCAGTTAAAAAATATTGAGAAACAAATTGAAAATATCTCAATTTGAAATTCTAAAATAAGATAAAAATGAAATAAATATTATTTTTAGAGGTCTTAACTATCATGATAGCTTCTTACTGTCAGTAACTGATAATCTTGAGTTACAAAATCCAAGCACTTAGGGCAAGATTTCTTTCTAATGATCATGAGTGTATATCCAGATTTCAAAACATCTTAGAAGTGCTGAATGTATGCCAAGTTTTCATAATGACAAAAAAAAAAAAAGGCTGAATGTTGGGGTCAATGTCTTGTCAGATCTCATTAGATTATCAATGCCCTTAACTTGTAGTGTGACTGATAAAGTTCACTTAGTAGGAGTTTAAGTGCCAGCTCTTTGACCTGATTGGTTGTTTTGGGTTTTCTTTGTTTTCTTTTGTCTTGCATGAGTTTACATTATTATCATTATTATTATTATTATTATTATTATTTTGAGATAGAGTTTCACTCTTCTTGCCCAGACTGGAGTGCAATGGCGCGATCTCGGCTCACCAAAACTTCCGCCTCCTGGGTTCCAGCGATTCTCCTGCCTCAGCCTCCCAAGTAGCTGGAATTATGGGCATGCGCCATCACGCCAGGCTAATTTTTGTATTTTTAGTAGAGATGCGGTTTCTCCATGTTGGTCAGGCTGGTCATGAACTCCCGACCTCAGGTGATTCACCTGTCTTGGCCTCCCAAAGTGCTGGGATTACAGACGTGAGCCACCACGCCCGGCCACATTATTTTATCTTTAATCCATAGCTTCTTTGCAGGTCTCTTCTGAAGCAATTTGTCCATTTTGTGAGCATTAGTTTTAAAAAAACCGAAGTAAATAAATAAATCCATAATTCCACTTACCTGAGCTCATGTGAATAGAAAAATGTTCCCAAAAAATCAGAGAGAGTATGGCACTCTTAATCCCTACCCCCGTTGGAACTCCCACTCTTTTCTGAAGATACCTCACCTATAGTACATAACAGGTCACCATCCTGCATAAGGGCTGAGTAAAAGTGCTACTATCAATCCTTATATTAAATATTAATAATGTATAGTTTCTTTTTTATTTTTTTACTATATTTTAAGTTTTAGGGTACATGTGCACAACGTGCAGGTTAGTTACATATGTATACATGTGCCATGTTGGTGTGCTGCACCCATTAACTCATCACTTAACATTAGGTATATCTCCTAATGCTATCCCTCCTCCCTCCCCCAACCCCATGACAGGCCCCAGTGTGTGATGTTCCCCTTCCTGTGTCCATGTGTTCTCATTGTTCAATTCCCACCTATGAGTGAGAACATGCAGTGTTTGGTTTTTTGTCCTTGCGATAGTTTGCTGAGAATGATGGTTTCCAGCTTCATCCATGTCCCTACAAAGGACATGAACTCATCCTTTTTTATGGCTGCATAATATTCCATCGTGTATATGTGCCACATTTTCTTAATCCAGTCTATCATTATTAGACATTTGGGTTGGTTCCAAGTCTTTGCTATTGTGAATAGTGCCGCAATAAACATATGTGTGCATGTGTCTTTATAGCAGCATGATTTATAATACTTTGGGTATATACCCAGTAATGGGATGGCTGGGTCAAATGGTATTTCTAGTTCTAGATCCCTGAGGAATCGCCACACTGACTTCCACGATGGTTGAACTAGTTTACAGTCCCACCAACAGTGTAAAAGTGTTCCTATTTCTCCACATCCTCTCCAGCACCTGTTGTTTCCTGACTTTTTAATGATCGCCATTCTAACTGCATAGTTTCTTGTACTTTATTATTTATTTCTTATTCTTTATAGATTCAAGTTAAAACTGAATATTAAACAAATTCTAATATTTACTCACTACAATTCAATGAATTGCCTTGAACTCCTCAATTTGGAACCCTCTGTTATGTGCTATTGTAAACTAAAAGTAACATCCTAAGCCCCTCAACTGACTGAACAGACCTCCTCTTGGCCAAGGGAGCCCCAGAGAAAAACAAAAACTGAGTTCCTGGCCATGATAGGATGGGAGGTCAGACTTGCCGCATTACACCCCCTCCCTTTTATGGTTTAGACACAACAGCTGACCAGCATTAATGTTAAAATAGAGATCATAAGACTGACAGGACAGGCTCTTTGTGACAATAAGATACCAAATTATAAACAGGACCTAAGGCCATGCCAGGCAAGGGTGAAGTCATGTACTCCTCACACTTAAAGAATAAACTCTGTTCTCACTGCTGCAAGGTTTTTCTTTTTCTCTAGCAACTAAACAAGCACTGGCTTCAAAATAAGCAATATTAAAACAATTGCAGCTAATCCACCACCAGACACTGACTGACCCCTTCTTCCACAAACCATAATTACAGCTTATTGAACAACGGACTGATTTCAGTAACTTTCTCCTGATAAGAGACCATTAGCCATAGACTGGTTCTGGCTGGTTTACAGAGGCTGCACACTTGAGCACCTCCATGTCCCTGGTTCACCTTTTCAAGTATGGGGCCTAATTATAATACATTTAAATGTTGTCTCCACTCCAAAGTGACCATGGATTATATGTTATATACATGGTTTGTTCAATACACATGCATCAGGACCACCTTCATGAATATTCATAGCTCTTCATGTAACCTGCTAAATATGTATACTTGGCCAACTTGTTCACCTTAAATTCCTGTACAAACCCTTCTCCTTTGAGGTGCCTGCCTCTGGTCTTTTCCACAGGCTATGTTTCCCAGCCTGTGTAATGACCACTTTGCAGGCTGTAATCCCTTATAAAAAATAGTCTCCTTTTCTGGCCAGGCGCAGTGGCTCACGCCTGTAATCCCAGTACTTTGGGAGGCCTAGGCAGGTAGATCATTTGAGGCCAGGAGTTCGAGACCAGCCTGGGCAAAATAGCGAAACCCCATCTACAAAAAATACATATATACAAAAAGTAGTCGGGTGTGGTGGCACATACCTGCAGCCCCATCCACTTGGGAGGCTGAGGCACAAGAATCACTTGAGCCCAGGTGGTGGAGGTTGCAGTGAGCTGAGATCACACCATTGCACTCCAGCCTGGGCAACAGAGGGAAACTCTATCAAAAGGGAAGAAAGAAAAGAAAAGAAAAAAAGAAAGAGAAAGAAAGAAAGAGAAAGGGGAAAAAAGAAAGAGAAAGAAAGAAAGAAAAAAGAAAGAAAGAAAGAAAGAAAGAAAGAAAGAAAGAAAGAAAGAAAGAAAGAAAAAGAAAGAAAGAAAGAAAAAGAAGAAGGAAGGGAGGGAGGGAAGAGAGAAAGAAAGGGAAAGAAAAGAAAAGAAAAGAAAGAAAAGAAAAGAAATGGATCTATCGTGCCTAGAATTAGCATTAGTTCTGATGCTTATTTGTTCTACTACAAGTGCCTCTCTCACCAGAGATTTTGTTTTTCAGACCTACAGGTATTCTCCCCCACTGACACTGATACTGAATTCAGAAATTAACAATCTTTTCAGAGGTACCTGCTTATCTTTGAGAACCAAAAGCAGCAAAAGTCAATGTGGGTTTCCGAATAAAACACATACGTACTTGTTCTGTGCTTATCATTTGCTCTAGGCATTTTCACACACATTAGCTTTAATCACACACCTTTAATCTTTGCAACAGGTCTGTGCAATAGATGTTCATAGCACACACACAGTACAACACAGTTCTCCTAGCACAATGCCTGGCACAGGTGAGTTCTCAACAAATATTTGTTGACTTAATCTTTCATTCAAATGTAAAGTTACCCTGCATGAGTAAGAATTGGAAGAATCAAACAAAATGCATGAGATCAGTAATCTGCAGAAATAAACTCTTTCTCAGAAAGTGGTACAATGTTAGTAGCTTCTACAATGGAAAGATCCAAAATAATGGTGGCTTCAATAAGATGGGAGTTTATTTTTCCCGCACATAAAGGTCTAAGCCATTACGGTGGCTCTACTCTTTAAAATTGTCAGGGATCCAACCTGCTTCTGTCTTCTTGCTCCATCCACTCTCTGACATTACTCTCATCTTCATGGTCAGATTGGCTCACCACTTACCTTCATTCTAGTCAATGAGAAGGGTGAAAGCTGACATGTATAAATTGTGGGAAGAAACACCCTTAGAGTGGAGATGGCTGCATCAGGATCGTAGAACTTGATAATAATCTCAGATCTTGTTACACAGCTCCCTTTGTTTACTACTGTGGAACAGAAGCAGCATTTGAGATTTCCGAAGTCATCTTTCTTTTTGAGGAGAGAATACACTGAACATTCAATCCGTAGGTTCCACTGACTTCGCAGGTGTGTTCCCCAATATTGCACCTTGCTCTGTTGGGCAGTCTGTTGGGATTTTACCCAGTGCAAGTCAGGCTCCCAGATCTCTTTTCTCATTCATTCATCCATTCATTCAACCAATATTTAATAAGCATCACCTATAGGCCAGGTGTTGTAGCAGTCACTGGACCACTCTGGGATTGAATGAGAGCATTGAATTCTTAACCCACCTAGCTGAAGATGGAGCTCAGCTTTTAGTGATCACTGAAAGCATGGAATTTTTTGGGATTTGGTACAGAAAGAAAGATCCATCAAGCTGGTGGCATTGACTAATTGTCACATCCACAAAGCACAGCACTTAATCCACTTCTAGTGGAATCCTTGTGAAGGGTTCTAAGCATCACCTTCTTCATACCTCCCAAAATCTGAAAGGTTTTAATACCTTCCTCATGTTATGTTTAAATAAATAAATCTGTGGCTCATCCTGTAGTCCCAGCACTTTGGGAGGCTGAATGGCCAGGATCACTTTAGCCTAGGAGTTCAAGGCGGCAGTGAGCCATGATCGCAGCACTGCACTCCAGCCTGGGTGACAGAGCAAGACCCTGTCTCAAATAAATAAATACATTTGTGAAAGCCATTTTAAAATGATACACAGTTGCATCCCAGATAACTTAAGGTGGCACTTTATAGTATCAATTTTAGGAGATTTATTTGATGCATTTAATACAACTGGTAACTGCAAAATCTATTTTGTCTGTGTAAGTGAAAAATACAAGCAGTTATCTGGTTAACTCTATGAAACTCTATGCACATATTTAGTGTATAATCTATCTTCATTACATCTGGCAAGATATTCTGCCTTAGCACTCAATTATATTCTTTTCCTCTCCTTTTCTATTTGCTATGCTTTAATTCTAAGGACCATATGAGAGTGGAATATATTACCTTTTTGAAATGACAAAAATCTGTGTAGGCAAATTATTTCCTTAAATTGATGACCAAATGTTTTTTTTTTTAAATATCATTTATAATCTTGTCACAGTCCACTTAGCAAAGTTTGGTTGGATTTTAGTAAGGATTATCTTCCAGAGTAGACCTATGTTTCCTCTCACCCTTGGATAGGTGAGGAGTAACCATATTGGTACAGAATTTCATGCACATGAGATGTGCCAAACAGTGAGATAATTTAAGATTTTGTAAACAAATGGACAAACATACTCCTGGTTAGATCAAGACAGCCTCTAGGATCCAGTTTCTTTTACTAATTTACTGATTAGTAAATTTTACCAATCTTTTGTTACACGGGAGGAAGTCCTGACTTCGCCACTTATTAAGAGCAAAAATTGCCTACTTACCATAGGCAAGTAACTTAACTATACTTTGCCTCAATTTCCTTATCTGTAAAATGGGGATAATAGTAGTGTCTCTTGTTAAAAATAAATGAGATAATGCATGTAAAGTGCTTTGCACAGTACATGATAATGAGTAAGTACTTAATAGATATTAGTTATTATTATTATTGAGTTTTCAGCAAAGGGAATCTAGTTGATTGCTAGATTCGAAACAGTGTGGAGCTGTTGGTCATATATAATAGGACGAGGCAGACTATCCCTATAGACCACTGGGAATGACAACTAAATTAACAAACGATTTTAGCACTCTAAGGAAAGGATGTGTCAACAGAAGATGAGGGGCCAGCATAGAAAAATGAGGGTTCCAAAAGATAAAATAGATTGGGTGTTTATCCAGTACTATCCTAGGGAAAAGAGATGCTGGATATAGGAGATAAATGTTTCAATCAGTGTGCTGGTTTCTCAAGAGCCTGAGTGACAGAGCCTCTCCAAATGACTCCTTTTCTCTTGTTTTGACTCCACATTGACCAAGCAAACTTCTGATTTTACTTCCCAAGTAGCTTGATTCTAGTTTGGGGAATGGCCCTGGCTAGGGCCACAAACACTGTGGTAACTACAAGTGGATCTTCACAACTGTGGAGTAATAAGTGGGTATTCAGGTTTAAATAACCTGTCTAGTGTTAACAGAAGCCATCACCAAAAGTATAAGAATCTGTGAATGTACTGAAAATATATTTGGGGGTGGAGGAGTGATGAGAGATAAAAGACAAGACCCTTGGTTGATAACAAAATTGGGGTGCTGCCCTTGGGTGTCCCAGATTAAGTGACCATCCTCCCCCTTGAAAAACAATAAGATGATCTGTACTAGGAAATGTCTGCCTCTTAAGCACCTGAATAATGAGGGCTACCTATGAACAACACTGTATTCTGATTCATTTCAGGTCAACAAATATTTTCTGAGTGCCTACTCTATGCCAGGCTGGATACTTAAACACTAGGAATACAAAATTCTTGAAGGGTGACCAAGAATTTCCCAGGCAATAAAGGGCTGTAAAGGTGTTCCAGGCAAAGGAACAACATAGGCAAAAGCATGGAAGCATGAAACATCATGCAGGGTGCTAGGGAATTACAAGCATTCTAGTACCTGCACTTATAGGGTCCGTTCAGTTACTCACACATTGGGAGCCAGTGTGGTGCAGCAAAAGGAGTATAGAATGCACCTGCATCAATGAATGATGTTGGCAAGAACCTGCCCCTTTTGTGAGCCCGTTTTCCTTATAAGTGAAATGAAGTTGAAAATCCCTCCCTTAAAGGATTGCTGTGGGTGTGCACTAGAGGTAATGTATGCCCAACACGTGCCACATAGGGGGCACTCAATAAATATCAATGATACTGGTTTTTTAAACTTGTCCTGACTTTTTTATATTTGAGCTTTACTTTTTTATTGTAAATAAGGAACAAATCTACTTTACAAGCACTTAAAGGGCAGTTTTGGCCTCTCTATTAATCATTATTATTATTTTTTATTATTAGAGACGAGGTCTCCCTATGTTGCCCAAGCTGGTCTCAAACTCCTGGGCTCAAGCGATCCGCCCACCTCAGCCTCCCAAAGTGTTGGGATTACACCATGCCCGGTCAGCCACTCTAAATTAAATATAAAGGCACTGTTGAAGGAGATCTTTGAGTTATAATGGGATAGTTCTGAAAGTGGTTGCTCAGTTCTGAAGAGGTCTCTTAGATACAGTAAGTCCCACTATAATGGGACATATACAGTCCTCAAAATCATAATGCTATGCAGATTTGTGCAATACAAACCACAGGGCTTATGGGGGAAAATAGGGTTAGGGGTACAGTGCTCAAAGCCTTCATCCATGATATGCACAAAAAGATAAGAACCTAATAAAAATGGTAGCCCAGTTTCACATAGGTTAAATACTTGAGAAATAAGGAAGTATTGCTAGTAGCCTCGAAAGTTTGCTTGTGGAAGCAGTTGTTGAAGGGGTGCAGTTTGTGAGCTGTGAAATGGAAAAAGAAAAAAGGTCATCTGAAATGAGAAGGAAAGTTGTAATACCAGGTGTAGGTGTTATCTTCCCTCCCTCCCCTGTACAGTATCTTTGTATAGTTTTTGGTTTTGAACTGTTTTGTTTTTGTTTGTTTTAACTTATTGCTCTAGGGATCACAGTATATACGTAACTTGTTACATCCTCCTAGTATTGATATTTTACCTCTTCAAGTGAAATATACGTCCATATAGGTTCTTTTCTGCTCCTACTTTATCATTCACTTATCCTAAATATTTCCTTTACCTACATTGTGAACCACATCAGACAACCTAATTTTGCTTTCAATAATCTAACATAGTCTTTAAAGCTCAAGAGGAGATGGCTAGTCTATGGTATTTACATGTATTTTTGCCCATTCTGTTTATCTTTCTTCATTCTCAATGTTTCAAGCTTTCTTTCATTGTCATATCCTTTCTATATGAAGGACTTCTTTTGGTCATTCTTTTAAGGCAGTTCTGCTGGTGAAAAATTCTGCTGATTTTCCTTTATCTGAGAATGTCTTTATTTCACTTTCATTCCTGAAGAAAACTTTTGATAGATAAAGAATTTTAGGCAGCTGGAGGCCATCATCCTAAGCAAATCAACGCAGGAACAGAAAACCAAATACTTCAGGTTCTCACTTATAAGTGGGAGCCAAACATTGGGTACTTATGGATGTAAAGATGGAAACAATAGACACTGGGGACTACTAGACAGGGGCAAGGGTAGAAAAACGACCTATTGAGTACTGTGCTCACTACCTGGGTGACAGGATCATTCATACCCCAAACCTCAGCATCATGCAATATACCCTTGTTACAAACCTGCACGTTTTACCCCCTGAACCTAAAATAAAAGTTGAAATTTTTTTAAAAAAAGAATTCTGGGTTGACAGTTCTTTGCTTACAGCACTTGAAAAGTTTCGCGCCACATCCTTCTGGTTTCCATGATTTCTGATAAGAACTCCACTGTCATTCGAATCTGTGTTCTTGTGTAGGGCTGTTTTTCAAGATTTCTTTTGTCTTTAATTTTCATAAGTTTTAGTATGATGTGTCTGGAATTGATTTGAGTTCAACCTGTTTGATTTTCTCTTGGCTTCTTGAATCTTCTCTTCTTCTTGAATCTTCTTTACAATTTTGCCAAAATTGTAAAAATTTCAGCCATCATTCTTTGAATATTTTTCAGCCCGATTTTTAGCTTTTCCTTTGGGACTCCAATGATGTGAACGTTAAATCTTTTATTATTGTTCCACAGTTCTCTAGGCTCTGTTCATTTTTTAAAAAATCTGTCTTCTGTCTGTTAGTTTAACTGGATGATTTCAATTGATCTAGGATATTGACTCTTGCCTTTATTGTTGCCATTCTGCTATTCAGTCATTACAGTGAGTTTTAAATATTTTGGTTATCGTATTTTTCAGTTCCAATATTTCCATTTTGTTCTTTATATCTCATGTTTCTTTGCTTGAGACTTTCTATTTTGTCATTTGTTTTAAGACTATTTGCTGGCTGGACACAGTGGCTCATGCCTGTAGTCCTGGCACTTTGGGAGACTGAGGCAGGTGGATCACTTGAGGTCAGGAGTTCCAGACCAGCCTGGGCAGCATGGTGAAACCTCGTCTCTACAAAAAATACAAAAATTGGCCAGGTGTGGTGGTGTGTGCCTGAAGTCCCAGCTACTTGGGAGGCTGAGATGGGAGGATCGCTCAAGCCCAGGAGGTGGAGGTTGCAGTGAGCCCTGATGGTACCACTGCACTCCAGCCTGGGTGACAGAGCAAGACCCTGTGTCACAAAAAAGATACTATTTTCTGTCTACAAAAAAAGTCATTCCAAATCTAATCATAGGAGTAGGTTAGAAATAAATATATGGAAAAAGATTCACCAATCAAAAGAAAGCTGGCATTGCTATATATACTAAATGTCAGATAACATAGACTTCATAATGGACAAGTCCCTTGAAAAACACAAACTACCAAAACTCACCTGAGACAAAACAGATAATCTTAATAGTTCTATAACTATTAAAGAAATTGAATCAGTAATTTTTAAATCTTCAGAAAAAGAAAGATTCAGGCCCAGATGGTTTTTCCAGAGACTCCAACCAATCATTTACAGAAGAAGTGCATTAATTCTCTACATTCTCTCCAAGGGGAAGAGTTCTTATTCATGACATCAAAAGCACAATCCATAAAGAAAAAATGAATCAAATAAACATTTTTAAAATTAAAAACTTTTGCTCTGTGAAGAATCTTAAGTGGATGACAAACAAACCATCGACTAGGAGGAAATATTTGCAAATCCCAGATCTGACAAATAATTCATAATTACAGAATATATAAAGAACTCTTTAAATTAAACAAGAAAACAAAGGATGCAATTAGAAGATTGGCAGAAGGCTTGAACAGACATCTCACCAAACAAGATGATAAGGTTCGAAAAACACATGAAAAGATGTTCAGCATTACTAGTCATTAGTGAAATGCAAATTAAAACTACAATGAGATATAACTACATACTTAGAATGGCTAATATGAAATATACTGACAATACTAAGTGCTGACCAGGATATGGAGTAACTGGAATTCTCATACATTTCCATTGGAAATGAAAAACGAGAACGCTACTGTAGAAAACAGTCTGATGATTTCTTACCATATGACCCAGCAATTATGCTCCTAGAAAAATTTATCCTAGAGAAATGCAAACTTGTATTCATACACAAAAAAACTTGCACACAAATACTCATAGCAGCTTTATGTGTAATAGCCAAAAAACTAGAAACAATGCAATGTCCTTTAGCGGGTGGATGGTTAAACAAACTGTACATCCATACAATGAATTACAACGCGGCAATAAAAAGGACCAAACTGTTGATGCAGGCAACAACTTGGGTGAATCTCCAGAGAATTACGCTGAGTGAAAGAACGATAATCTGAAAAGATTACATACTCTGTGATTCATTCATACAACATTCTCAAAATGACAAAATTAAAGAGATGGAGAACATCTAAAAATAGAGAAGGAGCGGGAGTACGTGTATAAACAGCACAGGGAGTTCCTTTGTGGTGACAAAACACTTCTGTGTCTTGATTGTGATGGGAGCTAGAGCCATCTGTACATGTCGTAAAATGTAATGCAGTTATACACAAAGACATATAAAAATGAATGCATGCAAAAAAATGTAAAATCTGAGTAAGGGCTGTGGTACATAATTGTATTGAGTCACTTCATTTCCTAGTTTTGAAATGCACTTTAATTTCATAAGATATCACCCTTGGGGCCAGGTGTGGTGGCTCATGCCTATAATCCCAGCACTTTGGGAGGCCAGCGAAGGGGGATCTCTTGAGCCCAGGAGTTCAAGATCAGCCTAGGCATCGTGGCAAAACCCTGTCCCTATAAAAAAATTAAAAAAAAAAATTATCTAGATACGGTGGCACATGCCTCCAGTCTCAACTACTAGGGAGGCTGAGGTGGGAGGATCGCTTGAGCCTGGGAGGTTGAGATTGCAGTGAGCTGTGATTGTGCCACTGCACTCCAGCCTGGGTGACAGAGCAAGACCTTGTCTCAAAAAGTATATATATCCCCATTGGGGAAACTGGGTAAGGGGCCACAGCTCTATGCTAATTCTGCAATTTCTCATGAGTCTATAATAATTAAGAAATAAAAAGTTATCTCATTGTGGTTTTTGATTTACATTTTTCTGATGATTAGTGATGCTGAGCGTCTTTCCATATACCTATTGGCCATTTGTATTTCATCTTTGGGAAAATGTCCATTCAGATCCTTTGCCCAGTTTTTGTTTGCTTGTTAGCTTTGTATTTCCTATTGAGTTGTATGAGTTCCTTATATATTTTGGATATTAACCCCTTATTGGATATATGGCTTACAAATATTTTCTCCTGTACTGTAGGTTGTCTTTTATTTTGTTGATTTTTTCTTTGCCATGAAGAAGCTTTTTAGTTTGATGTAATCCCACTTGTTTATTTTTACTTTTGTTGCCTGTGCTTTTGGTGTCAAATCCAAAAAGTCATTGCCAAGACCAATGTTAAGGAGCTTTTTCCGTAAGTTTTCTTCTAAGAGTTTTACAGTTTCAGGTCTTATAATTAAGTATCTAATCAATTTTGAGTTGATTTTTGTGTATGGTCTAAGATCCAATTTCATTTTTATTGCATGTGGATATCCAGTTTTCCCAACATCATTTATTAAAGAGACTATCCTTTCCCCATTGTGTATTCTTGGTGCCTTTGTCTAAAATTAGCTAACTATATATATGTGGGTTTATTTCTGGGCTCTTTGTTCTATTCCCTTGGTCTATGTGTCTGTTTTTATGCCAGTACCATGCTGTTTTGATTACTATAGCACTGTAATATCATTTGAAATCAAGAAATGTGATGCTTCCAGCTTTGTTCTTGCTCAAGACTGCTTTAGCTATTCAGGATCTTTGTGGTTTCATACAAATTTTAGAATTGTTTTTCCTATTTCTGTGAAAAATTCCATTAAATTTTTGATAGGGATTGCAATGAGATATCACCTGACACCTCTTCAGATGGCTATTATCAAAAAAAAAAAAAAAACAAAAAAACAAAAGGTAAGTGTTAGCAACGATAGAGTACAGAGAACCTTTGTACACTGTTAGTGGGAATGTAAATTAGTACAATCTTTATGGAAAACAGTATGGAAGTTCCTCAAAAAATTAAAAATAGAATTACTGTGTGATCCAGCAACCCCACTTCTGGGTATATATCCAAAGGAAGTGAAATCAGTATGTCAAAGTGGTAGCTGCACTCCCATGCAGCATTATCCGTAACAGCCAACATATGGAAACAACCTAAGTGTCCATTAACAGATGAGTGGATAAAGATAATGTGGTGTGTATATATACACAAGAGTATTATTCAGCCTTAAAAAAGAAGGAAATCCTGCCATTTGAGGCAACATATATGAACTCTGAGGACATTATGCTAAGTGAAATAAGCCAGACACAGAAAGACAAATGCTGTTACGATCTCATTCATATGTGGAATCTAAAAAAAAGTCAAACTCATAGTAACAGAGAGTAGAATGATGATTACCAGGGATTTGAAAGTGGTTGAAGGTGGAGAGACTGGTCAAAGGGTGCAAGATTAATATGTACTAGAGACTTAATTAATGTACAGCATGTTGACTATACTTAATAATAATGTACTGTATATTTGAAAGTTACAAAGAGAGTAGATCTCAAGTGTTCTCACCACACAAAAAGAAAAGGTAACTCTGTGAGGTGATGGATATATCAATTAGCTTGATTGTAGTAATCATTTCACAATGTATACATATATCAAAACGTCATGTTTTACACTCTAAATATATACAATTTTTATTTGTCATTCATTCCTCAGTAAAGCAGGAAAAAAATGTTAAAAAAAAGAGAAGAAATCTACAGCTGGCTAGTTAAAGCTATCTCCTAGTGTTCTAATACTCATTTGGCCCTTGTTTCCCAAAGAGTATTAGCCCAAGGGTGGCGTTCAAGGGCATTAACCTTCCACCAGTGTCTCAGTGTCCCTAGAGAACCTTTGATCTTGAGGCACTACCAGACTGAAGAAATTGAATATTGAATATTTGGGCAGGTTCTTCCCCCTAAGATAAGGGTTCTTAACATTTAGTCCATAAACCAGGCTTTTCAAGTCTGTCGATGACTCATTTGATGTTTTAGAACGGTGTTTTGGTGTTTATTTAAAAGTTATTCAGGCACATGATAAAATATTTGCAAAGTACGGGAAGTTAAAATTTAAAATTAAAAGCTCCCTGGTCCCAGAACTCTAGTCCTTCTACTCAAATATAATTTTACTTTTGACAGTTTTTGTGTATTCTTCCAGGAAAAAAAAAAAAGACACAAATGGTTGTATGTTATATTCAGTTTTTTGCAGTTACACTTAACAGTGCATCATTGAGATCATTCTACTTCAGCACTACACTCTGCCTCTTGCTTTTAAATAGTCCTTAATGTTCTTAATATTAATGGATGAACTGTGTTTTATTTAACCAAACATTTTATTTTTTTTGAGACAGGGTGTTGCTCTGTTACCCAGGCTGGAGTGCAGTGGCACAATCATGGCTCACTGCAGCCTCGATCTCTCAGGCTCAAGTGATCCTCCTACCCCAGCCTCTCAAGTAGCTAGGACTACAGGCATGCACCATGATGCTGGACTAATTTTTTAAAATATTTTGTAAAGACAGGGTCCCACCATGTTGGGCGGGCTGGTCTCAGACTCCTGGGCTCAAGCGATCCTCCCACCTCAGCCTCCCAAAGTGCTGGGATTACAGGCATGAGCCACCAAGCCTGGCTTAACCAAACTTTAATGATGGACATTTAGTTTTTGCCATTATGAAAAAATTCTGCAGTAAACATCCTCACATGCTTACATCATGACATGCTTTTGAGCATATATCCATACAGTAAACTCCTAGCAGTAGTATTGTTGAGTCAAAGATAAATACATGGTAAGTTCTGATGCACACTGCAAAATTGTCCCCAAAGAACCTATACCAAGATGAGCTTCTTCCAACAGTAGAGGATAGCATCTATTCCTCCTCATGCTTTGTCAAACACAAGCATTACCCAACTTTTTTGTTTTTTACCATTCTGGTAGGTAACAAATGGCATCTCCTTGCTTATTGCTGGAGATAACTAGCTTTGCATGATTATGATTCTTCTGTAGCTCCTCTCTAATCTTTCCTATTTGTTGTCTTTTATTTTAAAAGAAATAATTGTATTGCTTTTTCTTACACAAGTAATAAATAACATTCATTGTAAAAAGAAAAGTGATATCGAAGTATAAAGAGTCAAAAAGGGAAAGCCCTTTATCTCCCCAACCCTACAGTCTCACTTCCCTCCTTAGAGCTGCAGAGACACTGCTGTGTGCCCGAGTGTCACTCTGCTAGAAACACAAGCACCAGGCACTCATTCTGTTTCCTCTGAGTCATGATTGGGATGCTTGTGACAGGGGCATGGCTAAGGTTCAGCTTTTACAATATCCAGGAAGGAAGGGTTTGCCGAGCAAATCAGCAGTAATAAAGACTGCAAAGACCTATTTACAATAGCAAAGACATGGAATCAACCTAGGTGCCCATCAACAGTGGAATGGATAAAGGAAGTCTGGTACCTACACACCATGGAATACTTTGCAGCCATAAAAAAATGAAATCATGTCCTTTGCAGCAACATGGATGCAGCCGGAGGCCATAATCCTAAGCAAATTAATGCAGGAACAGGAAACCAAATATTGCATGTTCTCACTTGTAAGTGGGAGCTAAACATTGGGTACACATGGACATAAAGATGGCAACAATAGACACTGAAGACTGTTAGAGGTAGGAGAGAGGGAGGGGGTAAGGGTTGAAACTATCTATTGGGTACTATGTTCACTACCTGGGTGATGGGATCATTGTGCCCCAAACCTCAGCATCATGCAATATACCCATGTAACAAACCTGCACATGTAACCTTTAAATCTAAAATAGTAATTGAAGAAAAAGACTGCAAAGAAAATGACTAAGCAATTTATATGAACAAAATGGCTTAAAAGTCCTTCAAAAGCTTTAAAGGTACCATTTCCCTACAATCAACATGCAAACTATAAATAATGTGTTTATGAAATCAGAATCCAGAAACACTTCAAAGAATCAAAGCTTAGTTAATGTATTTCCTATATGCTTTGAAAGTAGTAAGATGGTATTTAAATAGGGAGAAGGAGAAGGAATCAGTAATAAAAGACAAGGGCAGAGTCCACATATCTAGAAACATACTGGGATAAATTATTTGAGCCTTAGTTTCCTCACATCAATGGGAATAATTATAAGATATCTAGCTTATAGGGCTACTGTAATAAATAATTATCTATGCAAGTGCTTAACACAGAGCTAGGCATGGAATAAGTACTCAATAAATAGTAGTTACTCTTAGCTATTGTTAAAACTCTTTCCTGGAAGAGAGAAGGTACTGTGGGTGGGAAGCTCAGAATGAATCAAAGTGTCAATTGTGAATTGTAACGGCCCAATGAGTTTATTTTGCCTGCTGCCCAGATACAGCGGATTTATCAAGACAGGAGAATTGCAATAGAGAAAGAGTTTAATTCACACAGAGCTGACTGAATGGGAGACTAGAGTTTTATTATTACTCAAATCAAAAATTTGGAGACTAGGGTTTTTCAAGGACAAAGGCAGGGGGCTACGGAGTGGGGAGTGCTGCTTGGTCAGGTCAAAGATGAAATCACAGGGAGTTGAAATTGTCCTCTTGCACTGAGTTGTTTCCTGAGTGGGGCCACAGGGCCAGTTGCCAAATCCAGGTGGAGCGGTCAGCTGTCAGAAATGCAAAAACCTGAAAAGACATCTCAAAAGGCCAATCTTAGATTCTACAATAGTGATGTAATCTGCAAGAGTAATTGGGGAAGTTGCAAATATTGTGGCTAATTTGTTAGTCCTACAAAGGTAGTCTGGTCCCCAGGCAAGAAAGAGGTTTGTTTCAGGGAGGGGTTGTTATTGTCTTTGTTTCAAAGTTAAACTATAAATTAGGCAAGACACAGTGGCTCATGCCTGTAATACCAGCACTTTGGGAGGCTGGCGGGTGGGTCACTTGAGGTCAAGAGTTCCAGACCAGCCTGGCCAACATGGTGAAACTAATAATAAATAAATCTCGACTAATAATAAATAAATCTCTATAATAAATAAATCTCTACTAAAAATACAAAAATTAGCCAGGCGTGATGGCACATGCCTGTAATCCCAGCTACTTGGGAGGCTGGGGCATGAGAATTGCTTGAACCCAGGAGGCGGAGGTTGCAGTGAGCCAAGATTACACCACTAAACTCCAGCCCGGGCAAGATGGAGTCAGTTAGATCAGATCTCTGTCACTGTCATCATTTTCTCACTTATAATTTCTGCAAGGGTAGCTTCAGAATGAGGATGGTGTACTTAGAAGGACAACAGTAAGATGGGACTAGAAGTGGAAGATTCATTCACGCAGTAAATGGCAAATGCAATGATTGTGGAAAGATACTAAAGCAGTGTGGGAAATGGAGATGTTTTAGGCAAAAATTAATGTGAACATTGGGCAGAACAGTGTAGGGTGGGGAAATTGTTGGGGTAGGGGGCAGTAGGAGGCTGTTGCAGTACAGGAGAGAGCTAGAGGCTATACTAACAAAGGAGGAACCAGATCACAAAAACGTTATGAATTAACAGTCCCCAGGCCTTGATGCCTGTCTGTATGAAGTAGGAGAAGAGAAGGAAGTAGAAAAACCTGTATTTGTTTGTTGAATGGATAGAGTTAGTCGGAGGGGCTGGTTTTACTCTTACTCTAGGTGGAGATCTGAGACTGTGTTACCCGTGGAGGGTGTCCAGGTTCTTGTTGTTTTGAACAAAGAATTGGACAAAATGCACAAACAAAGCAAGGAAAGAATGAAGCAACAAAAGCAGAGATTTACTGAAAACAAAAGTACACTACACAGGGTGGGAATGGCCCGAGCATAGGGCCATTACAGACTTTTCTGGGATTTAAATACTCTCTAGAGGTTTCCCATTGGTTGCTTGATATACACCCTATGTAAATGAAGTAGTGGCCCATGATCAGTCTGATTGGTTGTGGAAAGCAACTATCAGAGGCTGAAATGAAGTTACAAAGTTACACACCTATGCAAACGTCTGATTGGTTGCAGAAAGCAACCAATCAGAGATATTTTCAATTTTCCATCTGCCAGGCAGAATACTCGGAGAGGGGGATAGGGTGGGGCGGTGCGTGGAGTAGGGGGAGGTTGCAAAAGGAGTAGCCTCGCATCCTTTTGTTACTTAGGTGCGGAAAGTTGGGGTTTTCCTTTTAATTTAGTTCTAGGAAGTCAGCATTAATTGGCCTTAGGTTCCCTGCTTCCAGGCCCTATTCTCCTGCCTCAACTGGAAGTCTGTCCCCTACACATTGAGTATGTGTGGGGTGACTGCAGAAGATTCCAATTAGTAAGGCTTGACTAGAGGTAAACCAACAAGGCCAAGGTCTCTGGATCTCCTTTTCAGAACTCCTGGAATCAAAACAGTTCCAATTCAGAATGGCTGACATGGCTGTTACATGAGACGTCCCTTTAAACTCTCTTTTGTTATGAAGTAATCACAGATGCTAATTTGGGAACACTCACTACCTCCCAGTAAACCACAAATAAAATTCTAAGGTCCCCCAACCATCTGAATGGACTTTCTCCTCAGCCAGGGCACTCTTTTAAAATTTAACCTGAGAGACTGGTTCAGGCCATGACAGAAAGTGAGGGGGTTGGACATGCCTTATTATACCTCTCCAGCGTTAACATCAACAGGGACCTTTAAGTCTGATAAGAAGCATTTACAATCTATTCTCTCTGAAGCAGGCCACCTGGAGACTTCATTTACATGATTAAACTTTGGTCTCCACAACTTCTTATCTTAACTCTGACATTCCTTTCTATTGATCCCAGGTCTTTAGATAAACTCAGCCAATTGTCAACCAGAAAATTTTTAAGTCTACCTAGAAGCCCACTTCCCCCACCCCAGCTTTGAGTTGTCCCGCCTTTCTGGACCAAACCAATGTATTTCTTAAATGTATTTGATTGAAGTCTCATGTCTCCCTAAAATGTGTAAAACCAAACTGCACCCTAGCCACCTTGGGCACATGTTCTCTGGATCTCCTGAGGTCTGCGTCATGGGCCATGGTCACTCATATTTGTCTCAGAATAAATCTTTTCAAATATTTTACAGAGTTTGACTCTTTTCATCAACATTTTTTTTTTTTTTTTTTTTTTACCTAAAGAGTCAGACAATTTTTTTTTTAACCTACAGATTCAGCACTGTTCTAAATCCTCAGTCCCATGCCTATTGGAACGGGAGCTTGCTACATCAAGAAGGCTGCTTCAAGGGCCTGACTCCAATATGGCTACTATTCCAACCTATGGCCTCTGGCTCAGACTAGTTACAGTTCAGAGAGCTAGACCCTTGCTGCCCAGAGTGTGGTCCAAGGACCAGCAGCACTGGCATTACCTGGGAGCTCATTAGAACTGCAGAATCTTAGGCTCTACCCTAGACCCACTGAATCAGAATCTGCATTTTAACAAATCCCCACATTAAAGTCTAGAAATACCAACCTAGAGCATGGTTTTGAATTAGTTTTTAATTTTTTTTTTCGTTTTTTTTTTTAGTGAGGAAGAAAAACAACTTTAAATGTAAATGTAAAGTGATGGTATGATGAGTCCCAGTTTCAGAAATTAGAAAAATAGTAAATCATAGAATTGAGGAAACATGGTAGTTATATATTCAATAAATCAATTCAATAAATCTATTACTTTTAGGCTGGGCATGGTGGCTCACACCTGTAATCACTGCACTTTGGGAGCCATGGCAGGAGGATCACTTGTGTCTGTAAGTTTGAGACCACCCTGTCTCTACAAAAAATAAAATAAAAAATTAGCCAGGTGTGGTGGTACAGGTACATGCCCATGGTCCCAGCTACTTGGGAGGCTGAGATGGGAGGATCACTTGAGCCTGGGAGGTTGAGGCCACCGCGCGCCATGATCACGCCACTGCACTCAAGCCTGGGTGACACGACGACACCCTGTCTCAAAAAAAAAAAAAAAAATTCTATTACTTTTGTAACACAGGTAGTGATGATGATGATAGTTAACATTAACATTGATTGAGCACTTAACTTTGTCTCAGGTACTATACTAATTGCTTTCCAGATATTATTTCATGCAACCTTCAGAAATATCTATAGCCTAACAACAAGCCTATAAAGCAGGTACTATTATCATCCCCGTTTAATAGATGAGGAAACTGAGGCATGGATGCTTAATTGACTTGCCCAAGTTCACAAAGCTATTAAGTATTGGAGCCATGTTGTCAGTGCAGTATATCTGACTTCAGAGGCCACAGGCTATAATCACTATGTTGTATGGCCAGCTGAGATCTCACTGATCTTCAGAGAGTTTGGTAAAATCAGATCAAACACCCTCTTTACATGCCCTTACAATTCCTGCCCCACTCCCCTATCATTGGTGTTTTAAAGTGCCCTCACCCTCAGGTCCCTTCATGTAGCTCAGGCTTAAAATACACCCTCCACCACTTGAAGCTCCAATTGCATTATTTCTTTGAGATGTTCTATATATTTTCTGTCATTCTTAATGTGAAAAGCAGGCTGTCTTTTAAAAGCTATTCTGTTTTTTAAAAAGTAATTCTTTCAAAGAATATTTAATGAGATGGAAAACACAATGGAATGTTAATGTAACCATTCCTCAAGAAGTTTAGAGCACTACAGTCCCACTTTTGTGTAACCCACGCATATTTTTGCTGAAGTTGAAATCACAGCTAGGGTATAATTTGGTGCCTCACTTTTGGCATTTCTCATTGGATCATTATTAATCTCAGACGTTTGTCATCATCCCAGAGTCCATTTGCATTCCCTTGCTCCTTCCACGCAAATCATATAGCCTATGGTTTGGGTTCTATTGCTGTGCTTTAGTAAAGGAGAACTTGAGTCTGTGATTTGTGGCAGTCACAGGTTCTAGTTCACTTCTTCTACCTGCTCCCCAGAGCCATCATTTCCTCTTACCTCCCTGAGGGAGTTTGCAGGTGAAAACAGAGTTGCTGAGAAAGTCACATGGCCTGGGGAACGTCTACAAGGACAGAGCTCCTTTGGGCTTAGAGCCAGGCCCTGAAACAGGCTGGAGCTGGCTCAAAACAGGCTGGAGATCAGGAAGTCAAAAGCCTAGGGGAGAAATCATTCTGAAGGAAAAGACATCTGTGGAAAGCAATTCGCTCCAAGAAATGTTAAATGAGAGGAAAAAAGAATATAAGGCACTATGGTTCAGCATTATTCCAATTCTATTTGTGTGTGTATATACACTGTCATATATAGAAAAATAATAAAAATAAATTTACCCAAATATTAACCATGGTATCTCTGAGTGAAGGAACTGCAGGTAATTTTACTTTCTTCATTATGATTTTGAAACCTTTTAGAACTTTTCTTTAAAAATTTCTAATTTTTTCTTACAATAAACCTACTTTTTATTTTTTTTGAGATGGGGTCTCACTTTGTTGCCCAGGCTGGAGTGCTGTGGTGTGATCATGGCTCCCTGCAGCCTTGACCTCCCAGGCTCAAGTGATCCTCCTGCCTCAGCCTCCTGAGTAGCTGGGACTACCAGTGTGCGCCACCACACCCGGCTAATTTTTTTTATTTTTAGTAGAGACAAGGTCTCACTGTGTTACCCAGGCTGGTCTCAAACTCCTGAGCTCAAACAGTCCTTCCACTTTGGTCTCCCAAAGAGAGGCAGAAGAACAGGGCCTGGAGGTAAGGAACCTATGGACTTCCTAGAACTAAATTAAATGGAAACACTTTACCTATGACAGGAAATATCCTCTTCATTTACACAGGGCGTACACCAAGTAACCAATGGAAACCTCTAAAGGGTATCTAAACCCCAGAAAATTCTGTACCGGGGCTCTTGAGTCTCTATGCTCAGACCCGCTCCCACCCTATGGAATGTACTTTCATTTTCGATAAATCTCTGCTTTTGTTGCTTCATTTTTTCCTTGCTTTGTTTGTGCGTTTTTTCCAATTCTTTGCTCAAGACGCCAAGAACATGGACACCCTCCGCCCGTAAAAAAAGTGCTGGGATTATAGGCATGAGCCACCATGCCTGGCCCAATATGTTTATTTTATAATCAGAGAAAAATGAACACAATTGTTTTTAAATTCAGGTTCCTTCCACGTGTCCCAATGTTATCTGTTGAGCAGCTGCAAACTGAGAAAAGTGGGTTTTGATCTGTAGATTATAATGGCTTCACCCAACAAAGATTTCTTAGCCTGTTCATGCTGCCAAAACCAAATATCATAGGCTAGGTGACCTAAATCACTGGAATTTATTTTCTTAGAGTCCTGGAGGCTTGAAGTCTGAGACCAAGGTGCCAGCAAAGTTTATTTCTGATGAGGGCTCTCTTCTTGGCTTACAGATGGCTATCTTCTCACTATAGAAACCACCTTTGCAAAAATTATAACAGTAAGAAAATTATGACAGTGAAAGAGATCCGATCTAACCAACTCCATCTTACCTCTAACCTCCAAACTGCCCTTGGTTATTCCTAGGCATGGGCCAATCTAACTTTGGAAGAAATTTATAGTTTAAATGATAACAGCCCTTCCCACAAACCAAACCACTTTTGTAAAACAAATGAAAGACAACCAGATTTCTGGAGGTCACAAGATTTGCAACTTCCTCAATTACTCCTGTAATTAACATTACTATTGTGGAACCTAAAACTGGCCTTTTGAAATGTCTCTTCAGGCTTTTGCATTTCTGATAACTGGATGGCCCCACCCTGACCCTCAACCAGTCCTGTGGCCCTCACCTAGAAGCAGACTCTACACACAAGGACCATTTTTCACACCCCTGCCCTCCAAACTGCCTTTGAAAAACCGTAGCCTCCAAATTTTTGAGGAGGCTTATTTGAGTAATAATAAAACTCTGGTCTTCCATTTAGCTGGCTCTACTTGTATTAAATGCTTTCTCTATTGTAATTCCCCTGTCTTGATAAATTGACTCTATCTGAGTAGCAGGCAAGAAGAACCCACTGGGCAGTTGCACCACGTCCTCATGTGGCCTTTCTCAGTGCCTCCATGGGGTGGGGAGGGGGGAGGGAGAGAGAGAGAGAGAGAACACAAGAGTGAGGAGTGAGCATGTACTCTGATGTCTCTTCTTATAGGAACACTAATCCTATTACATCAATGACCCCATCCTATGATCCCATTTAACCTTCTTTCTTTACTCCAAATACAGCCACACTGGAGGTTAGGGCTTCGTCATATAAATTTTGGTGAGGCACAAACATTCAGCTCATGACAGAAGGAAAGGGAAGGGATATGCATACTGTAAACCAAAAAGTTTACACCTGAGACAAGTCTCAATCAACTTAGAAGTTTATTTTGCCAAAGTTAAGGACATATCCATGACACACCCTCAGGAGATCCTGACAACATGTGCTCAAGGTGGTAGGGCTACAACTTGGTTCTATATATTTACGGAGACATAAGACATCAATCAATACATGTAAGATGTACATTGGTTCAGTCCAGAAAGGTAGGACAACTGGAAGCAGGAGCTTCCAGGTAATAGGTGAATTCAAAGATTTTCTGATTGGTAATTTGTTATTATCTAAAGACCTGGAATCAATAGAAAGGAATGTCTAGGTTATGATAGGGGGTTGAAGAGATCAAGGTTTTGTCTTGCAGATGAAGCTTCCAGGTAGCAGGCTTCAGAGAGAATAGATTGTAAATGTTTCTTATCAGACTTAAAGAGTCTGTTCTATCAGACTTAAGGTCTCTGTGTTGATGTTAGTGCTGGTCAGCTGTGCCTGAATTCCAAAAGGAAGGAGGGAATAATAAGGCATATCCAACTTCCCCTTCCCATCATGGCCTGAAGTAGTTTTTCAGGTTAATTTTGGAATGCCCTTGGCTGAGAGAAGGGGTCCATTCAAATGGTTGGGGGGCTTAGAATTTTATTTTTGGTTTACAGTACCTATTATATTTCAGGCAGCTTCACACATAATCTCATGAAATTCTCACAGCCATCTCATAAGATAGGTGTTACTGTTTCCCATTGTGTATGTTGTAATAGCAATAGTAAAATTTATTAAGCACGTACCATGTGGCAGGCACAGGGCTATGGGGGATCCTTGTTAAGTAGTGGAAAAACACTTACTGAAACTGTTGCCTGCGATTATGTGGAAAGTAGAGTGTAGGTGATGAATGTGGTTATTTAGTTAACAAGATTTCCAAGCAAAGTGTTGAAGCTGTGGGCTGGTTTTTTCTTGATGCTTATAGTAAAATGTGAGAGGAGAGACATAAATTGAGGGAAGCACTTTTAAACCCAAAAGAAATCAGTACTTGATTCTTAGTCTCTCCAGATGGCAAAAGATGCTAAAATTAAGAAATGGCTTCCAAGCACTGCTAGGAAAGCATGGCATAGAGAAAAAGCCAACAGCAACTGGACAATCTTTTGTTAAAATCTCAGATCAAAGGATCAGAGTGGTATTCAGTCACACAAAGGGCCCTTTCAAGAGATTAAAGGTGTGGCTCCAAGAACCTCTCAAACAATAGGGCCTCTTAGGAAACGTAAGAGTTGTGTACCTAAGCCATCACAGAAGGAGTCCAAGGTAAAGAAGGGCTTATCTCAAACAGATCTGTGGGTATGTCTTTTTCTAATGGAGCAAACTCCAGTTAAATCCACTGAAGATTCGAAAGTTTTGGAGGAAGTTATTTAAGCAGAAACACTGTTAGCTTGGATGGAGACAGACAGCATACAAAATTAAAGATAGCTGCTGGACCCCTAAAATTCTACTGGCAGGGAGCAGTCTGATAAACTACTTAGCTGCACACATGTGCTACCTTTTGTGGAAAAGGAAGGACAATTCAGAAGGCAGAACCAAGAGACCAAACAGGACTTAAGAACTAATGAAGGAACATCCAACATTTGCCCAGCTGGATTTCACAATTGTCATGGACCAGTGCATGCCTCCCATTTCCCCGCTCCTTTTCAAATGGAAATGTCTATAGCAGTTATCTTAAGCCTTCCCAACATTTTATGTTGGTTTTATGGGAGGTAGATTACATGTCTCTTTCATTTTACAGATCAACAAATTGAGAAGAATTTTGCCTAAAACATTGCATCTTCACCTGGACCTGATTTAGATCATGAGATTCTAGACTTTAAGCAGATGCTACAATGGGATGAGATTTTGAGGAATATTGAGAAAGAAATGAATGTATTTTGCGTGTGAGAGAGACATGAATCATTGGAAGTCAAGGAGTAGACTGTGGCAGAAAGACTCTAACATGGCCTGTGTGATTTCTGCCTCCTGGAATTCATGTTCTTGTGTAATCCTCCTCCCCTTGAGTGTGGGCAAGATGCTGTGATTATGTTACATAATCTTGCAAGGTGTCTCTTGTTAGGAGACTCACTTCCTTGCTTCATCTTCCTTTGATGAAGCAAGTGGTCATGTCGGGGAGGTTCACTATGACAAGCATGTTGGTAAATTTTTTTTTTTAGTTTCCCACATTACACTGATGTAATGATGGTTAATTTTATGTCAATGTGGCTATGTTTTGGTACCCAGATATTTGATCAAAGTTTATTCTGGATGTTTCTGTGAGGGTGGTTTTAGATGAGACTAACATTTAAATCAATGTGCTTTGAGTAAAGCAGATTTCTTAATGAGGGTGGACTTCCTCCAAACAGTTGAAAGCCTGAATAGAACAAAATCCTGACTTCCCCAGAACAAGAGTGAATTCTGCCAGTTCATGGCCTTTGAACTTGAACTGCAACACCAGTTCTTCTCTGGGTCTTCAGCCTGCCAGACCACCATGAAGATTTTGAACTTGCCAACTTCCATAATTACATGAGCCAATTCCTTAAAATAAATCTCTCAATATACACATGCATATGCATACACACATGCACACACACACACACACACACACACACACATCCTAGGGATTCTTTTTCTCTGGAAAACTCCGACTAATACAGCAAGAAACTGAGTGGCAACAGGTCAACAGCAAGCTAGGAACTGAGGCCTTTGGTCTGATAGCCCACAAGGAATTTAATGCCACCAACAATCGTATGAGCTTAGAAGTGGATTCTTGCCCAGTTGAGCCTCTGATGAGAGACCGGCCCTGACCAACACCTTGACTGCAGCCTTATGGAGGACCCAGCTAAGCCATGCCAAGACTCCTGACCCACAGAAACTGTGAAGTAATAATTATGTGTTGTTTAAAGCTGCTAAGTTTCTGGTAATAGTGTTACCCAGTAACAAATAACTAATACAAGAAGATATGGAAACTTGAGGATTCCTGTCTATAAACTGAGTTTGATTGGCCTTTACTTTTTCTTTCAAGGGCTCTCCTAGGTTCCAGCAAGTCAGCCCTGTGTAATGCTTCCTTTGCAGAAATATCCCGTGGCAATATTTGAAACATTGTGGTATTGTAGAAAACAACTCAGGAGTCATACAGCTCTGGACTTGAATGCCATCTCACCGCTTACTATCTGTGTGACCCAGAGCAAGTCACTTCACCTACCCACTGGCATACACTTCCCTTTCTTTATCTAACATAAACGGGTTTAATAACAGTATCTACTTCTCAAGGTTGTTGTGGGGGATTAAGCAAAACCATGGAAGTGAAGCATGAAGTCTAGTGCTTGAAACAGAGCACCCAACACACAGAACTTTTAAGAATAACTTGCAGAGGATTCCTAAGCCTGTAAAACTCCAAGGACAAACATTGTTCTCTCTGCCTGCGCCAGATCCAGGGCCACTTGGTCATCTGGGGCAACGGCTGGTAGTGGTATGATAAAAGTCTGGTTGCCATAGTCACCATTTTCTCAAGCTAGAGAAAGCCTAGAATCCCCAGGCCCAATAAATATTTGCTGGAGGCATACAGGGAAAACAAATCAACAAAAACTTCACTAGACTGCAAGTACTGTGAAGACAAGGCCCGTGTCTGTGTTGTTATTTGCTGCTATATTCCCAGCACTCAGCACAGTGCCTAGAACATAATATACGTTCAATAAATAGCTGCTGAATAAGTGAACAAATGAATGAATGAATGGCTACCTCATATATGGAGCATGAAGAGAAGTACACTGGGTGTTTATTTCCAACAAGGGGCACCTCCACCTGAATGGCTCCTCAGAGATCCTTGATAAGAGAGCACTGCAGTAAGCCGGGGGCTCCCCTCAGGCCAAATTATTTCTACTGCTGTCCTGGAGAACTGCTAATTTCCCCCAAAGAGAGGCAGACAGCTGTGAGAAGAGGGGCTTTGGTTATCTCACTAGAGTGAAGTAGAAAGGGAAATTCCCTTTTTTGAGAACCTACTGGGTACCAACCAGGCACTGCTAAGCTTTTCACACACATTACGTGTCTTATTTATTTCTTACCACAGTTCTCTGGGTTAGGTATTAGTATCTCCATTTGGCAGAAGAGACAATTGAGAGACAGAGAGGTTGGGTGCTTTGCCCAGACCACACAGCAAGTAAGTGGCAGAGCTAGGATATGAACTTAGGTCTGTCAGACTCCAAAGCCCATGCTCTTTCTACTACACCAGTATTGGAACCTAGCAGGAGCCACAGCCTTTTAGGAAGTCAAAGGGGAGGAAGCCTATCTTATTAGACTATGTGCGTCAATTTCTATCACAGTAGCTGTTCAAATAGCAGAGACTCAATAAATGTTTAATGAATGAGCCCATCAGTGAAGAATTCTTCCCATTCACTCAATACATATTTATAATGTTTATAGTGTGTCTGGTAAGTCTAAGTAGAATCTGGGGATACAAGGGTGAAAAAAACCTATGGAACTAGCAGGGTGTGGTGGCTCACTCCTACAGTCCAGTCCCAGCTACTTGGAGGTTGAGGTGGGAGGATCGCTTGAGCCCAGGAGTTGGAGGCTGCAGTGAGCTATGACACCACTGCACTCCAGCTTGGTGACAGAGTAAGACCCCATTTCTAAAACAAACAAACAAACAAAAAGCCTATGGAACTTACATTGTAATTGGGGGAAGATATACTATAAACAAACAAAAAAAATATCAGATAATGATGACTTCTCCAAAGAAAAAAATGAGCATGATGCAATTAAAAATGGCTGGGGGGTCAGGGAAGCCCTCTGTAAGAAAAGACATTTAAATTGATTGACAAGAAGGAGCCAGTCATGTGAAGGTCTGGGGGAAGTACATTTGAGAAAGCTAAAACATACAGTGCAAAGATCCTGGGGTGGAATACATTTGGTGTGTGTGTGTAACTGAAAAAAAAAAAGATACTGTGCTGGGGGCAAGTGAGAGAAGAGGGTGAGTGGTAAGAGAGGAGGCGTGTTAGTTTGCTGGGGCTGCTATAACAAAGTACCATAAACTGGGGGCTTCAACAAGAGAAATGTACTGTCTCACAGTTCTGGAGGCTACAAGTCCAAGATCAAGGTGTCAGCAGAGTCGGTTCCTTCTGGGGGGCTAGGAGGGATAATCTGTCTCACGCCTCTCCCCCAGCATCTGGTAGATTTTTGGTGATCTTTGCTGTTCTTTGGCTTGTAGAAGCATCACCCCATCTCTGCCTTCATCTTCACATGATGTTCTCCGTGCATCCAAATTTCCCCTTCTTATCAGGACAAGAGTCATATTGAATTAGGGGCCCACCCTATGCCAGTATGACCTCATTCTAACTTAATTACATCTGCAACAACCTTGTTTCCAAATAAGGTCACATTTAGAGATAATGAGGACTTCAACATGAATTTTTGGAGGACACACTTCAACACATCAAGTTAGCAAGCCATACCACATGAAGGACGTGGAAAACCTGAGAGACCAGGGGAAGGGGTTGGATTTGCCTTGGATATAATGGGAAGTCACCAAAAGGTTTCAAATCCAGCAAGTGACATGATCTGATTAATGTTTTAAAAGGATAATTCTGGCTGCTGTGTTAGATTATGAGAGAAAACAGCCCCCGATGCCAGCATGAGTCATATGGCCCCCCCGCTAGGGATGGAAATTCTCATCATAACATCCACTTACTGGACCTGAGGCTTTAGTTTTCATTGTTCATCATTAGTTCATAGGAAAAACAAATTTAGCTTCCAATTGATGAGATGAACACATCCTTATAATCACATATAAAAATATTATTTCCTTTCCTGGATCT
The DNA here is from genome assembly GCF_000001405.40 of Homo sapiens. Lineage (NCBI taxonomy): Eukaryota > Metazoa > Chordata > Mammalia > Primates > Hominidae > Homo > Homo sapiens. The sequence goes on along the minus strand of NC_000023.11, from coordinate 50,103,882 downwards.
TTACTTTACTTGTAAAAAAATAATAAAAGTAATACAAGCTCTTGGTAAAACTCCAAATAATACTAAGGGAGGCAAATTAATAAATACAGGACTCCAGACACTGCTCCTCAACCCCCACCCATTTCCACTTCTCAATTTCTTCACATTCACATTTTAAAAGAAATCTCTTTGGAGATCCCCTTCCTAGAATTGTTTCTAATCATCTATATGTCTCTATACAGATTCTTACCCACAGTAAATTTTTAACACCAGGCCAACTGCCCAACTTCACCAGGCAAGCTTCTGTTACCTTCTTCCCATAAATTGGCCTGAAAATGTTCAGGATGAACAGGAGCACTGAGCCACAAAATTAGTAGTAGATCATTGGGCTTGGGGTCAAAGACATTGAGTTCCAGTTTCTGTTACATCACTTCCTGCCTCTGAGTTACTGAGCAAATCACAACCAAGTCTTGGGTTCTTCATATTTTGCCTATATCACAGGGTTGTAGTAAAGTTCAAGGATGTTTGTGTAATAAAGCACTTCTGGTATATTATTGCTAATGAAGACAACCCTCATTTCCACATACACACAGTCATATCTGTTGGTATCCACTTATAGACAAGGGAGTTTTTATTTTGTAACTAGAACTAGCAAGAGGCATCATGCTTGAGGACAAGGTGAGGGCGGATGGGGTACAAGGAACTTTGTCAGGCTGGGTGATCTCTGGGGCAAGGGTTTTCTGAGTGTCTTTGTAGGCTCAGATGTGGCCAAATGGGAGTTGGAACAGGGAGGAATAAAGTGAGTGTGTCCCTCTTGAAAACCATAAATGACAAGACTGGTTTGAGTGTACCTGGGATGCCCTGATTTAGTGACATATTCAGAGTCTCAAAGGGAAAAATAGTCAGGAAACATTGTGGTGGGAGAGGTTCCAAGATTCTGTTAATATAAAGGAGAGGCTGCCAAGCCCGCAAACATTGGACTTGAAGGGGTAAAAATATCTTATCACTAGAAAAGACTGCTGGCCATCACTTTGGGAGACCAAGTCAGGTGGAGCTCTCGAGCTCAGAAGTCTGAGACCAGCCTGGGCAACATGGTGAAACCCCATCTCTACAAAAAATACAAAACTTAGCTGGGTGTGGTGGGGCATGCCTGTAGTGCCAGCTACTCAGGAGGCTGAGGTGGGAGGATTGCTTGAGCCCAGGAGGTTGAGGTTTCAGCAAGCTATGATCAGCCACTGCACTCCAGCCTGGGCAATAGAGCAAGACCCTGTCTCAACAACAAAAAGACTGCTGGTTTATGCCATTCAAAATGGACTATTTTGGATTGTCATGCAGGGAATGGATCTGTTTTTTCCTTTTATTGTATCCCTAGTACTTAGTATAGTACATGGCACTGAGTAGGAGCTCATTAAATATTGGTTGAATGAAGTGACTATTCCTCATACATTAGCTCTTTTAGCTCACAGGACCAAATGAATAACAATGATGTTCATATAGCCAATTTGTAAAGCCCAGTGAGTACCTACTTTCAATTTATCATCTTGATGGTCCAATGAGGCAGGTTTTATCATCATTCTTAATTTGCAGATGAGGTTACTGAGGTCCAGAAAGGTCAAGTCATGTGCCTAAAATCACTTGGTGAAGAAGTAAAAGAGCCTGAAATAAGCATGCCCTCCATCACTCACACAGGGTTGTACTTCAATGGTGATGATCAGGTTGTGACTTGTAATGTAAGAGCCAGAACCCCCTGTGGCCGGGTAAGTGTAGTGTGCCCAGAAGGTGGTATACAACCAGGTAAGAGACATATCTCCAGGCAGGAAACAGGAACTAAGCAGTCCAGCTTTGCACCACCAGCCAGTGTTCAGCAAGCACTGTATTCTCTGAGGTCCTGCTCTGTGCTAGGCACTACACTTGATGCTTGGGATACAATAGTGAACAAGCAGAAGGACAAGGAGTTCTCTCAGGTGGTGGCAGGTGTTAAGATGGTGCCCACACACAGGAGGCTGATATGACTTTAGGGTGAGATGAAGCCTGGAATGCTCTTCCAGGGTTTTCCAAATACTAGCTCAAGGTCTGGAGCCAAACTGTCCAGGAATCTCTTTTTTAATACCCAGATGATTCTGATGTACAGCTAGGTTTGGGAGCCACCAATATGGGTGAGCTAGGCTGATTTCATGGTACATCACGAAGGCTCTCTCCCATTTTTCCCAAACTTTTAGATGAAAAGTTCTACTTTCAGCTCAGCTGGGCTCTGGAGGCACACTTGAGCCAGAATATTAAAAAGGGGATGATCTCCACCACACCCCTAGGCCAGTGAGGTAACTAGGAAAACTGCCTCCAAGGCAAGGAGAATCTTGTGGAACACAAAGCCATACTGTGAGATGCAGAAGCCCCTTTTCAAGAGGAGGCTGTTCATCCAAGGCCAAACATAGAGATCCTGAGTTTTGTTTCATCAAGGAAGGTAGCTGGTCACAGTGGTTCATGCCTGTAATCCCAGCACTTTGGGAGGCTGAGGTGGGAGGATCGCTTGAGCCCAGGACTTTATAGATCAACCTGGGCAACACAGTGAGACTCTGTCTTCAAAAAAATAATAAAAGAAAGGTAGCCAATTCCTCAAGGTAGTAAACCTTGAGTCCAGGTCCTCTGGCATCAAATCCTATGCTTATTCCCTCTTCTCTACCTTCTCTTCTATCTGCAACCTCTGGAATGAAGATGCTCAAATGGTCGATTTAGAGACACTAGCAGTGGGCAACATATAGGTATAGAAAATCCTCAACCTGGCAGCTTGAGGAGGCCCCAGTGAACCTCTTACCCTGAACGTTGCTCTCTTCTCAGAGCTCTATTTTTGTTTTTGATATATGAATTTTTTACTTGAGGTTGTTTGAGCATTTCTCTTATCCCACAACCCAGTGGCAGTTGAGAGGGCTTATTATGAGGGAGGAAAGAGAGTCCAGGGGAGGGGCCTTGGGAGCTCAAGGGGAGGGCAGAGCCTGAGATGCTAGGAAAAGAGCTTGGGAGGCCTGGAGCTAGACTCCAAAGGACAGGAGCTGAAGATCCCTGAGGAACAGAACCACCGCACTTCTTGGTTGCCCTGGGAGAGTCCTAGTTTATGCCTGTTGTCCCTCCCACTGTCAAAAGTGCCCCAGTCATACAGCAAATGATATGGCCACCCCTACTGAGGGAGGAATTAGAGCCCTTCTTTCCTCAATGTTTTCACCTGGGACATTGCTTAGAAAAAGAAACTACAACTTTCAGATACCAGGACAGTAAGCTCCTTACAGGCAGGGACTGCCTTGTGGTTGATTTCTTTAAAAACAATAAGAAAAGCATAAAGTGTATTATATACATTAAGAGAATGTCTGATAAAGGAAGAAATACTCATATGATTGAATTTTGCATTCCCAGCACCGAGCTACATATATGAATTAATGCTTCCTGCCCTGCCTACCCCTCACAGTTCCCCTCCGGCCAGACCTCAGCCACATCAGTATTTTAATGATTGCACTGACATCTGGTGGTTATTTCCAGCTTTTTCTCTGGGCTGCTCCTGTAAGAGATGATGGATAGGTCTGTACTTCATACTCCATCAAAGCACCTTTTATCTGAGCTCTACAGTGACTAGACATGACACTCTGATTCACAGCAAGTTGTTGATAGCTGGTAACAGATGTAATGCTATTTCTTAAAAGGTATAGAGATTAGAGGCAGGAATGACGGTAGTGTGGAAGGGGTACGGTAAAATGATAAATAACATCAATAACTGAAATTTTGTGGGATTTTAGGCTTATGAGGGAGTCATTTTCACACAGAGGTGTCCTTCCTGAAATGACACCAACTAGGCCAAAGGCATTAAAGTTCTCAGTAGCAACAAGAAATCAAGTCAACACCAGTGCAGGTGTGATCAAATGTCAACTAGGGAAATTCTTAAAGTAAAACTTGGACACATGGTACACTGTCTTCCTAGTACTGCCTGGCTAACAGAGAGCAGGAGTGAGTGGGGGAGTGAGACACAGGAAAAATAGAGTGAGAAAGTAGGAAAGCTGTACTTCAAAGTGTAGCTTTCCGTGTTCCAGCAAGGCATGAAAATGTCCACAGATACAGCAACCTCCCCATACCTCACCCCACTTTAATCTACAGGGTAACTTCAGAGGATTTCGTACAGAAGACATTTTAATCCCAATACACCATAAAGAGGGTACTAAGAATCCTAGTATTCATGGGAGGACCGTTTTGATTACCCATCCTCCTCCTTGTACAAAGTAGCTGTAGGCAAGAGGCCTGTCAAAGCCCACGACCTTACATCATTAAGAGCTCAAAGAGAGAGAAAAATACAGCTCCCAGCCAATTCTCACATCATCAGGAAAGTATCACCAATGTATGAGACAGGAACATTTAAGTAGCCACAATGAATGAGGTATCCGGGTATCTGGAACATCTCCAAAAACGCAAGCTGCCTCTTATTTGCCTCCTTATGGTAAAGAGTATTACTGAGTCTGTAAATGTGAAAATAACTATTTAATAAATCTTTTTAAGCAGTGGGCCTGCCAGTAGGGGTTTGCAGTTGTGTTTTGTGCTACCCTCCCCTGAACCTTCCACTCTGCCCCTGTGGTTTTCTGATCAGAAATCAATAGCTACCAAGTTTAGGGTCTTTAGAAACACACCAGACACCAGGGTGGATAAGGCTGTGCTTTATTACATGCATAATTACAAATCTGTGCTAAGTGAAAATGTATAAAGCAATGGCGACCTGGGTTTAAGCCACACAGAGAAAGGGCTGGACAATCCATTAACCCTTCTGCCAATGTCCATTCCATTGCTTTTAACATGATTGTTTCCATTTCTTACAATTTGCATAGCACTTACTTGTCAACTTGCTTTGAATTCATTGTCTCAGTTTATCCTCACAACAACCCTGTGAGGTAGGTAGGGCAATTAACACTATCCCCATTTTGCAGATGGGAACACTGAGGCACAGAGCGGTTAAGATCTCGAGGCTAGTTAGTAGAAGCATAGGGAATAGAAATCAGGTCTCCTAACTCCCCAGTCCACATCTTCCTTTTTAGACTATGTTGTTCCGCATGACTAGGGAGTAGAATAAAGCGAGCAGTGAGCCATAGCTCTGGTTCAGGCTATGCCTAGGAACAGGCGAGAATAAAGCTAAGAAAGCATGGCTAAGGGCTAGCAACACTCAGATAAACAACTGCTCTGGACAGCTCAGCACCAAACTTCCTGCGGAAACTTGGGCTCTATTAGCTTTGGTTGAAGCTACTTTCTGGATGCCTAGTTACTGCTGATGTCTAGACATTAGCTTCAGCTGAACTTTCACCAACTCTCAGGCATTAAAATGTCGAGTCAGACAGGTTTTCTTTGGCTACTGCAGTTGGAGCCAGCCCTACAAAGAGCTTACTACAGAGAAATTCAAATAGTGGCCCATGGGCCGGAACCCAGCCCCTCTGATCTTCCTGGCCTCATTGGCTCACTCAACAGGTGGTAGTTTTCCCATAGCCAGAAATGAATGGGCAGAGGTAAGAACAGGAGGCTGGCCTTGGTCAAATGAAGAAGAGTCACCCACATGACATCACTGTCCCCCTTAGCTGACGTGAGCAAGGTACTGACTGGGCCACCTCCTTTCTGGCCTATACCTGGTTAGCAGCATAGCTTCAAAAGAGTTTAAGAGAACAAAATATTAAACACATCATTTTAAAATCCTGAATGGAATAAATTCTTAATCATCACAAAGTCCCAAAGGACCAAATATATAATAAAAAGTAAATACATACTTATAAAAAAAAGCTGAGTGCTAAAAAGCCAGGAAAATGGGAGAGAAAGGAAGAAGAGGGGACAAAGTGAAATGGAGGAAGGAAAAGGAACACACTGGAAGGACCATGTATTTTGAGGTACCCTTAATGTGACAGTGAGGCTGAACATTCCCCTCTCAGGCCACACTCTCTTCTCGATTTTGCCAGATGGCATTTCACTCACCAAATCTTAGACTGCCCCTGAATTCCAACAGATTTGTACTAGTAAGTAATATAGTTTAGCAGTAAATACTTCATATGTCTGCCTTGAGATGCTAAAGCCCTCATCACCCCCGACAAGTATCAATGGCTTTGGCCCTCACAGAGGAGCAAAGCCCTGTTGGTCCCATCAACTCAGACGTATCTTCCAGTTTCTGTTCTCAGAACAATCCTCTCCCTCCCACAAAGTCCACATTCAAAACAACATGCCTATAATAAAAGAAAGAGAAATCTGAATTCAGCGCATGGTGAGGGGAGAGAAAGACAATGAGACAGACAGCAAGGTGGGACGAGGCAGAGAGAAGAGAGGCAGAGATCTTTTTTTTTTTTAAACTCTCATATTTTTATATTATCACATGCTGTTTTTCTTCAAAAGGCCAAACTTTAGGCAAAGCATTCATTCAATAAGTGTGCACACAGAGGCTGAAGGCCCTTTGGCAGGAACTAAGAGGTAGGAATTTATGACTGTAAGACTGGGCTGGGTGACCCGATAGGTCCCATCCAAGAAATGCAAACTCCACACGTCATATACTTTCTTTCTTGGGTGATTTGGCAAAATTAGACTACACCATGGAAAAACCAATTTTGTTCCCTACATCTATTCAAACCTTTACCCAGATCCAGATGTTTAGAAATGAGAATGTGGCCAGCAAACGTTTGGGGAGTAACTTAAAGTTGCTAACACCCATTGTTCTCAGAAATTCTCTCCTTGGAGCAAGCAACTGAAATATGAAACAGAGCAGAGTCAGCGATCACCCCAGGACAACTACACTGATTGAACTTCAAATTGACACAGCTACTGAGCTCTGATCTGAGGAACTCTTACTTTTTTTTCCATATATAAGGATGTACGAGGAGGCAGAAATATAAATTTAAAAAAATTTGCTATCAAAATTCAAGACAATCTATCTAAACCTTATAGTTTAGGAAATGGCAACAGATGCCACATTTCTTCATGAGCAGATGTCTTGGGTCGGCCCTATCCATAAAACCAGACTGCCCTTGAGCCAAACACTGCTTTGAACCACTCATTTGCTTAGAAAGCCTGGCCTTTGAAGCATTGCTTGACTTTTTCTCCCCTTGAGGCACACAATCAAGCAGTTTATAAATGCCAGAACATATGTTGTAGGGGTGTGGGATGGCTTTCCTTCCACCATCTTACACCATTCAAATATTTTCTTACCAGGGCTTTTTCTATGGCCATAACTTTTAGTTTCTTCTCCAAAGGGAACCCAGGCAATCCCAGAGGTGGCTAAAAAAATCAAGGTTTGGCTGGGTGCGGTGGCTCACACCTATAATCCCAGCACTTTGGGAGGCCGAGATGGGTGGATCACGAGGTCAAGAGATCGAGACCATCCTGGCCAACATGGTGAAACCCCGTCTCTACTAAAAATACAAAAGTTAGCTGGGCATGGTGGTGTGCGCCTGTAGTCCCACCTACTTGGGAGACTGAGGCAGGGGAATTGCTTGGACCCGGGAGGCAGGAGGCAGAGGTTACAGTGAGCCGAGATTGTGCCACTGCACTCCCACCTGGTGATAGAGCAAGACGACTCCTCAAAAAACAAAAAAACAAAAAACAAGGTTTTAGGACACTTAAGTTCAGACTACATATTTAGACATCAATTCTTTTTTTTAAAAAAGGACTCAATATTCTACCTCCCACTTACTTTCTAAATTCCTAATTTTTCTCCGGGTTTTTAAGAGCTCAATGTTCTATGCACCACCCAAAAGATGTTTTCCTGCTTCCTCTGAACTGATGGGTGGCTTGCATTTGGCTCTGATCCAGTGCAGGGGACCCAGTTCCTCACAAGACAGTGTGGTCAGTCATCAGTAAGTACTTTGGCAATATAAAATATGCTGGCTGTTTCAAGTTCTCACCATTGTCTTTGCTATCATTATTAAAAACTCAAGTTCAAAGATTGCACTGTTCATTATTTAAAAACAAAACAAAACAAAACAAGAGATAGTGTGGGATAACAAGTGCATCTTCCTACTTATCACCTAACAAAATAAACAATAATCAAGACTGAACCACAACAGGTGATTGAACTACTTAAAACATATAGCAGTGGTTAATTTCTATAATGGACTCTATTGCACACTAAGTTTTTGAAAACATATTTGCCCCCCTCACATCTGAATGCGTTCATAAGATCTTGGTTGTGAATTACTTCACGGCCTTAGATCTCACTAAACCCTGGTTACTTCATCATGTTCAAACAGAATTGAAGATCTGCTAAGAAATGTATAGTATGCTCTGCTCTTCCTGTAAAGGGTTTAGATTCAGCCTCTGGTGTCAAAACAATTCAACTGCTTTTCAGTTCAATCACAAATTAATCGTTTGCTTCACCAGCTGGTAAATTCAAAGTATCATCAATGTCAGCTTATCTACCAGAGGATATCTGTTCTGTGGATCTTACCACCTCTACTCCACAGCTGGGCTGAGCCAGGATGCTGTGGCCAGAGAAAGAGGAGAGCATTGGAATATGTTTCTAACCAAACATCCACGTAGAAATGATCTTTAAAGTTGCCATTATTTTGTATTATCAGTCCCCTGCTTTTTCCCTCCAATATAACGAATCATGCATTAACTGTTTCAGGTTCTTTAAATTCTTTATATTGAAGATTTGAAGATACAAAATATAGCAGTTTTACTTTTACAAATCTATAGACTCTCGTTCCTTTTATGGCTGGATGGCTACCAGCTACTCTTACTTGGAAAATCCTAACTCTGTTGAAACACTAATTGGCATTCTTTTGTAAACCCTTCCCTTGTGTTAGGCAATTTTCTCATTTAATACCAAAATAGTCTCATCTCGACTCATTAATTTTTAAATCACAAACCATCTAGTCTTTTGCCATTGAGGTATGTGGCCATTTGATGCTACTGACAGTCCTCCCTATACTGGCTGTATTTGTTGCTTAAGCATGTCCAACTGTTAAAGTGGCAATGGCAGAAAGAACATTTTCCTTCTCCTCAAGACAAGAAACTTCAAATGTCAAGGTGCTGAGCTAGCAGTTGAGAGCTCTAGCTGCAATTAGCCAACCTTTGAGCCAAACCATAGGACTGGACATATAGTGGATACCATATACCATAGCTACTTCTAGCATACAAGCTACAAGGATTCCTGAGAAGCTGAGGTTAATGAATGAGATTGATCAGGAGTGAGGTATCAAAGGGATATTGTCATTCTCTGGAGGGCCAATCGGTGCTTAGCATCTACAAAGTATACCTTGGCACAGTGTTATCTGATTTCTCTAATTTATTCTCTGAAGTAGCACCTTAACACTGGCTCATCTGTCTAAAATCAAGAACAAAGCCTAGAAGAAACACAAAAGCAAACTTGAGACACCCTCCTTATCGCTACTGCACTATGAAATATGACCAAACCTTTCATTGTCATTAAATACCAGAAATAGTAACATTTTCTGTTTTGCAAACTTTAGTGGGGAAGGACAACTAATAAGACAGGTATTGGACCAGAAATGTACAGATAAGAACTTTGATTTCTACACAATATACAGGGTAGTCAAGCCAAATAGTCTCATATGAAGGAATCAGTGACATGGAAAGGACAAAATATGTGGTTACTGAGCCATTACTATGATACAACATACCCCAGAAAGATTTTTTTCTTTTTCATTAAAATGCTAGAGTGATCTATTCACAAGGAGAAACTCTAGCGACTGCCTTGATTATTTTAAAGATAAAAATAAAATAACCCTTGGCTACCCAGTTCTGAGCAAAAAAAAGAATTTCAGATTTTGGAAAGACAAGAACTATGGGTAAAAACGTCCTAGAATCAGGGATCAGCAACTCTTAAAATGAGGTACACTGAAGTGTTTGGGGGTAGAGGGTTGGTGGGAATATGCAGAATGACCGCTGATTCTGGGCTGGAAGGATGATGAGAAGTGCTAGGAACAGAGCTATAAAATCATCCAGGCTGAACTCTTACCCCGGCAGTGAAATCTCACTGCCGTAGGCATCCAGTGTGGAAATGGAGGCATGGCAGCAGCAACTGGGCCACATGGCAAAGGAAATGGCTGTGTGTCACCTCTGGTCCATGTGTTGTGAGACTGCTGAGCCTTGGTTTACAATTTAACTAGCCCTGGGAGTTATTTTTTTTTGTAGTAGGAATGATTAACCAGGAGCAGCGCTCAATCCCAAACAGAGGATTTGGTACTAAGGAGTAAGAAGTGGAACAGAATGGAGGGGGAGTAATTGCACACAGGTAAAACTACAGAAAATGAAATAGTGGTTGGAATGATGATGGTGGCTCTGTAATTCCACCAAGTGTCCCCAGAGTGTGATTTTTTTTTAACTGCAATAAAGGTGGTATGAAATTGAGACAGGCACCTTTTCAATTGGATACAAGCACCTTTGGTGTCACCAGGCCTTGTCCATACCCCTGTGTCTTAGGATGGCTCTGCATTTTATTTAGAATTCTAAGGACTCTTGAGGGAGTCACAGCTGCCTATCCTGTTCCAACACCTTGAATATATTTGGAAGCATCCCAAGCCTAATTCATGATCATGGGGACAACACACTGGCCTGTTACACATACTTATCGCTGGGAGGTACAATGAGTGTCCAGTTATTTTAGTACTGGTGGTCTTTACAAAGGAATGCATGAGGATGCATATGCAGTTCTGAGTCTTCCCTGGTTTACCAGTATGCAGTCTAGACTTGGTTCCCTTTGCTGTTTTTACATATTCCAGAAGCCTAAAGCACCATCATTCATGGAGGTGGCATCTGGGTAAGAGAATTAGTTAGGACCTCACAAACATGTGAAACTCCTAGTCATTGACTTTGCTTAGAAGTTTACTAATTATTCATTTCAAGGAAGCTGGAAGAAATCATTCCTTGCTACTAACAAATTCACGGCAAAGTCCTTGTCTACCAGCTAACAAATGCCACCTGGAAAATTACCGTTTTTGCAGACAAGGAGAAAGCTCTATAACTTATCTTTGTGCACTTCAAAAGAGTACCAGCAACAAGCAAGCTATAAAAGTCAATCTCTCTAAATTCATTTAGAAGAGATTAACCAAAGCAGCATTGTCTTATAATCAGAAATTAAAATTAACATAAACATACACACATAACAAACTAATAATGCTAAATATTGTAACAGGAACAAGGATAACATTTGAACTGAATCTTCACAGTCTAGAAAATACCATTACTCTTTTCCTTCTGGCTTTCCTTTCTCTGGTTTGAAAAGCAAAGCCCCTTAGTTTACACTTCGTCTTCCAGTAACAACAGTTAGATCCCAAAAGAGTGACTTTTTCGTCGGTTTCCTACAGGTTATAGGTCAGGACGGTTGGAATTTCTCTTGCATAGTTTTCAGTGATTGCATATTGGCTAACTACTTTTTAAGTTAAAAAAATCTTTTAAAAAGCAAATATAATTAAACCATAGCAATCTTATTTATTCTTTCATGATATCTTCCTAATGTAACATCATGGAAGCCTAACTATAATTTCTCCTAAAGAGAAAATTAATTTCCAGAGATTATGTAGTGCAACTGGTTAACTTGTAGGAAAGAGACAACACACTAATGTGACTTCACCATCCAAATATGGAAAATGTGTTTTGGGTACCCAGTTAATACAACATATCCATGGTCTGTAATGTCCTTCCCGCTTTACATCCAGAACTCTATGATTCTAGTTGAAGAGAATGGAATCAGGATCTTGGTTCGCCATCTGTGCTATATGCTTTAACACATCCTTTTTGGTAATGATTCCAAGCAATCGCCTAAAAGACAAACACAATACAAAAAAACAAAAATAAATCTGTAGTTAAAATAGCATTCCCAAAGGTGATACTTGTCCTCCTCAGTCCTTTTCAACTTTGTCTTTGATCACTAGCTGCCCTTTCAGTATGAGATCACAGGAGTAGGACATGTGCCCCAGGCAAATAGGATGATGTGTGGATTCCTAAATGTATGCAAGTGTTTCTACCTCTAGGTCTCAGACCCTGCGATTTCCTCTGGTTTAAATACTCTTCGCTACATATCTGAATCTTATCTACTGCAGCCCAGTTCAAACGCCCCTATTCCAGAGCACCTTCCCTGATTCTATGAGCCAGCAGGAACTCTGCCCTCCTCACAGCAACAGCATGCACATTCTTTGCAGGCCTCCTCAGTGGCACTTGTCCTCTTTGCTATTGTACTATAACCACTGCTAGGTTCTTGCCTTCCTTAAAACACTGTCTGCTCCTTGAGGGCACAGAAGGGTCTTATTAATTTTTGTGTCTCCCTGGAATCCAGTGGAGTACCTTCTTACATGGAGCAGGGATTCAGCAGATGTTGAATGAACCAGTTAGGGAACTCCCCTTACTGATTTAAATCCTGCAAGGCATCTGTTACACCATTTAGAAATTTCAGATGTGAAATTCTTATATAATTGCTGGATTAACGTAGCATGTTTGGGAAAAAAATCCACCCCTCTCCTCAACCTCCTTTCTTTTCCAATAAAAATAGAAGGGTTCCCTTTACTGGATAAGAACTATCCCAGGAAGGAAAGAGCCATGGGCTTGGGAGTCAGAAGACTTGTGTTTAAAGCCTTTCTCTACTATTTATTAGCTGGAGAACTTTGTATAAATCTCACCTCACTGAAACTTGGTTTTCTCATCCTCAAGTAATAATAAGGAGATTGTAGGGAACAAACACCCAGCAAATACACTATTACCTGATGCTACTGTAATTTCAGTGCTGCCTATGCACAAAACACAGGTGTTTCCTTTGTCAGGGAGGAACTGGGTTATTTATAATATGCAACCAGCAGTTCACATCTCTCAAACACATGTTCTTTCCCAAACTCCCTTTACATTAATTATGATTTAAAAAAACCTATCCACTTTCATCTCAGAGCTTCAAGAAGTCCTAAAAGTGCTACTAATGTTCATTTAAACTGGGTTCTACTTCTTTCTACTTCTTTCTATCTCTGCATTCTCTTTCTCCCACAATTCAATTTGACTTCACTCAAGACTTCTTACCCGTTGTGTGTAACCAGGCACTGCCGCAGTCCCAGCTTTCGGAAAATATCCACTACGATCTCCATGGGTGTAAGGTCAGTCACAGTGAAGGGGCTGAGATCGAGGATGTTCCGAAGCTTTAGAGTGGGTGGAGTGTATGGTGGCAATGGAGGAGAATGCTCCGTGAAATAAATGATGGAAGTGCTAACAACCCCATCCTGTTTCTTTCGAGCATTTTCTATTCAAACAGAAGGAAAAAACAAATTGAAGATGGACGTGCTAGCTCTATCCTTCTGGCTCCTAACCAGTCCCCCCTTCCCTGTCTTCCCCCATTTCAGGCATATTTATTGAGTTCCACAGTGGATTCCACTATCCCCTTTCTGAAATCCTTACCAATTGAAATAATGAGATCTCTTCGGAGGACAAAGCCCACAAGTCTTTGGGACTCCCGGGATACCACCACTGGGAAGCCACTGTAAGTGGTTTCACTGATTATGGTCTCTACATCTTCCACAGTCATACTGTCCTGAGTAAGGACAGTCAACAAAGGATCATTTCTCCGGGGTTTCATCACATCCATTGCCAGGGTCTTATGAGCAAACTCTTCTTTGGCTTCAAGAAAGGGGTATCCATTGAGACGGATGTGGGCATCATAGATGCCCTCCCGCCCAAGAGCATCTGCCACCCACTTGCTTGTCATGGCTGCAGCCATCAGAGGCACGATGTATTCTAAGCCACCAGTCAGTTCAAACATTATGACAACAAGAGAAACAGTCATCCGAGTCACCCCACCTGCAAAGAAATAGACACAGTCTACTCAGGTAGGCAAAATACAGGATTCTTACAATTATGGGCCTTTCCAGGAAAAGCTGACCTACCAAAAACAATGAGGTCTCACCTACAACTGTGCAGACCCCAGAGATTGCAAGAAAGCAAGGTCACAATGGAGACGATTCAGAGTTCTCAAAATAACATCTACAAGAAGCCTTCTGTTTTTCTTTTTTCTCTCTCTTTCTTTTTTTGAGACGGGTTTTGTGCTCTGTCACCCAGGCTAGAGTGCACTGGCATTATCACTACTAACTGCAACTGCCATCTTCCAGGCTTAAGTGATCCTCCCACCTCAACCTCCTGAGTAGCTGAGACTACAGGCATGTGCCACCACACCTAACTAACTTTTTATTTTTTGTCGAATTGGGGTTTCACTATGTTGCCCAGGCTGGTCTCAAACTCCTAACCTCAAGTGATCCTCCCACCTCTGCCTCCTAAGTAGCTAGGATTACAGGTGTGAGCTACCATGTCCAGTCCAAGATGCCTTCTTGTTTCTTTGTTCTTTCATTTTTCTGTTGCTTCTTTTCCCTAATTAGAAAATACATGCCATTGTGGAAAATCCAGAAAATATAAAAGAAAGTCATTATCTATTAGCTGACTGCCAATAAATAAGCAGAGTAAAAATTCTGAATGACTTTTTCAAGTTTTTTTCTATGCAAAAACATATGTTTTTAAATGAGTGAACTCACATTATATGTTTAATTTTCTGCCATGTTTCCCCCTCTACTTTATGTTGGGAACATTCTGCATATTATTACAAATTTATATAACATCATATTTTAAGATGTTAAACATATTAACAATTAACATCACATTTAAAGGCTGCATTGTATAACATCATATGGATGTACCATAATTCATTTAACCAGTCCCTCAAGTGCAAATTTAGGTTGATTCTAATTTTTTGCTCTTATACTATGATACATATTCTTGTGCAGATATCTTTGTCTAAATTTCTGATTATTTCCCCAGTATGAGAGTAGAATTCCTTTTCTTTTTTATTATGATTTTTATTTTTATTTTTTTTAGTTTCCTCATCTGTATACCAGATGCTTTCTTAATGTGCTTGGAAAATGGCAAACCTAACTGGAAAGGGATGGGCATTTAAATTCTCCTACAGTCAACTGTGTTTAATAAACTCTTCTGTTGTATGTCACCTGGGTAGCAACTTGAAATTAATGCAAACACTACTCACCTAAGCAGGCTGCAGCCCCAACCATTGCATAAAGGCCGGGGGTGATGCAATCAGCTCCCTGACTACACCAGCTATTGAAGACGGTCCATTCCTGGTGGTAATAAGCCAGCTGTTCCATTCCTACTCCTAGAAGTCGACCTGCTATAGCACCAACAGCCATGCTAGGGATAAAGAGGCCAGAAGGGATCTGCAAAGAGAAACCAATAGATGGTTAGTGAGAAATGATGTGATTGCTTGGCACATGGTAAGGGCTGGAGGACTGACCCTCTGCAAAGCAAACAGGCCGATGACAATTTAACTATGCACTATGCTAGCAAGTGGCTGTAAAGGTGTGTGTAACACTACAGGGACTAGAGGTTCTCTGGGACGTGCAGGCAAGGACGACTGCAAAGAAGCTTACCCTGATTCGGGGTCCATCAGGCAAGAGCCTGAACTCTCCAGACCAACACAGAACTGGAGGCAGAAATTGGGCCTTTCCCAAAGAAAAAGGAAAATAGATGGAGTTTCTCATATATGCAGACATTTCCACCAATTTTGAATTCTTATCAACAATGACTACCCTTTATTGAGTACCTACCATGTTCTATGCTGGACGCTCTACATGCAAGATTCATGGGTTCTTTATAACCCCAGGAGGCAGGCATTATTATTCCCAAATGCCAAAGAACCTAAGGTTCAGAGAGGTTAAGTAACCCACCCAAGGTCAAGATTTAGTAAAGACTGGTGCTGGGATTTAAATGGAATGCTCATAACCATGCTCATATATTGAATCTTAGCCCATTGCTCACACAAAAAGGATATAGCACATGAGGTTTCAGTCTATTTTGTAACAGTATCAAGAAAGATTAAACAATTAAAAAATTGTAATGAGATCATGACTATGGTTACAAGATTAACCAAAAAAGTAAAGCTCATCTATCTCCCCACTCTTTTTCTTGACTCCTAGGATACTATAGTAAATTCTTAATATTCTGTACTGAGAGAGGGAAATGATGATAAGGATAACCAAAACAGCAGATTCTTTTAAAATAGCCTGTGTTTGATTTTGGAATGCATTTGAATCTGGTGTTCTGATGGTTTACAAATTCCCTTTAAGTGAAAGAATGCAGGCATGAGGTGAAAATTAACTCAAGAAGCACTGCAAAATTTCTCAGGGTCTCCATCCCTTCCCTGTATTGAGGGGATGGATGGCGTCATCTTAGAGATTACAATAATGCCTAAACTGAGTTGCTATCTCTTCTGGCTTGAATCTCCATTTCTCTAGAGAATAGAGGAAAATAACTTGGTAGTTAGGGTGCTAAAGAAAAGAAAGAAACAAACAAAAACCTAGAAAGGAGGAGGAAAATACCTTAACAAATTTTCTTTTCTGGCTTCTTCTGAAACGTGGAAATGGTAACAGGTACCTAAAGTAAAACGTGCCAGCCTGATGTCCACTTTTGATAGCTTAAATATTAACTAAGGATCACCTGTGAAGTGGATCCCACTTCTTGACAACTGAACATTGATACCACTGTAAAAAACTATATTTAGCTATATATTGGGTTGAACCACAGGAAATTGCCATTTTAGCAGTCAAAATGGTCGAATCCCAGCAACTTCTTTGGTTCAATCAATATTGTGCTTTATTGGTAAACTCTAAAGCCACCCTATAAGGAGTAACACTGTGGTGGTCAGATATCATTTTAATATGAAATGTACTGGAATAAATACTTCACCATCATTTTTGAGGGGCAAAATATGTTTTCCACAGAAAAGGAGCAAACATTCTTCCTAAAATTTCATCACTGAGGCTGGCATTTGGACAACTCAAGGCTTGGACAATTTGAGATAGAGGTACAAGTGTCTAGCAAATTATGAGAACGTGTGGGGTAAAAGAGGCTTTGGGGGTGGGGGAATAATGTGAGGGGGATTTGAAAGCACCATATGAGCTATCAGGATTGTATGATACCTGGGCTCTGCCCTCCAAAACCCACAGCTACGCATGCAGCCACTGAGTCCCAAAAGAATTCCTCACCTTCATGCCAAAGGTGAATATAGTAATGACAATTTTCAGTATGAGTGTTAAAGCCAGCTGCCACATTGCACTGTAGACTCCCACGCCAGCCGGTCTGTCAGGCAGTTCACCCCCTTTGCTTGTGTTGAAACGGTTCTCATAATCACAGAGCTTGGAGGAGTCCAGAAGGCCACAGTCATTAAACAGCTCAGAAATGAGCTCACTTGTGCTCATCCGAGTGTATTCATTGGGGAAAGCCAGGATGGCAGTGATGGCTGTCACGACGAGTACCTCTATAACAGGATACTTGCCCAACTGGGTGGTCTTTCGCTTCCGACACCAGGCAATGTTTGTGCGGATAAACAGTGCTCCCCACAGACCACCAAATATGCCCAGCAGAATGAATGGCACGAGCTCAAAGAGATGCCATGGGGTGTGAAACTCCACATAAAATAGTACCAGGCGGCTGTTCCCAAATGGATTGATGGAGCGTAGAGTGAATGCTGCCACCAAGGCAGCAAAGAATGAACGCCACAATGTTTTGAGGGGAAAATAGTAGCTGACCTAGAAGAAAGAAGGTGAGAAAGCAAACTCAGTCAATACGCAGAAACTATTTCAGGTGAAATGTTGTGCTGCAGGCATGAGAGTCAACTAATGGATGAAAACTGCCGACTGGATTTCTAGTCACATGGTAAAGCACCAAGTTGGGGAGAGCACTCAGGGACTGGGATATACACAGATATTGTACATTATGTACAAAATTATTGCGCTGCAATGTACAAAATTCCTGACACAAAAGCATGCACATGCTGTACAATGAAAAGTTGTTACCTCTTCAAGGCTGAATAATACTCCACCTATAGGTGCTCCAAAGGCTACAGATACACCAGCTGCTGCTGCAGCCGACAAGACCTAAAATCCAAAACTCAGAATTAGTGACAGAATAATGCTGCTTTCCTCAATCACTCAATCACATTTTTAGAAGAAATGTTAGTAGTTACTGAACATTTAAAAATACCTCTAGATGTTCCATATCATCAAAAACAAAATTCAAACACTGTATGCTGAATTTTGAATACACATGCATAGTTCACATGCTTGACCAGGTAAGAGGACCTTTCCTTTGTAATTCATTTAGCCATGTGTTTTATTCTAAATTATGCACCGCCCCCCCGCCCTTATCTCCCATACTCCCAATTCAGTAACTGCATTTGAATTTCTAGGCCTATTTGTTCACCATCTAAATGATGTACTTACAGTGATGTATTTATTTATATGGAACTTTGCAAAGGAATGCTTTTTAAATGAGATGTTCAAGAAGGCTCTAATGACATAAAACTGAAGTCACAATTGGTTCACAGTTATTCAGCAGCTGCAAGTATTCATGCAATAGGTATTTAGAGTCTCTCGTACCCTGTGTCCTACTCCATGCCCAATAACCTATGGACACAGAAATAGGGAGGTGACTAGATTTTTAAGGGAAGACTTAAGATATGGCAAGGAAAGGGACTAGGAGAGAGTGGGAGAGGAAGAAGGAGCCAAAGGGAAAAAGTGATAAAGAGAGAAAGAATAGTGATACTTAGAGACCTCCACCTCTGTGTAGGTGTGTGTGTACATGTAAAATGTACATGACAAACACTAATAATGGCAAACAAACCAAAATTAATAGATGGACCAAGTCCTTTCATTGGATTCTGGTTGCTATGGAGAGAGATGATTTGAAGAAGTAAAGAAATATTTTAGAGAAAGTTGAACAAAATTACGAGTTTTGAAGAATAAAAAGGTCCTTGGCAAAATAAGCATATAGGATTATCTGGAAGAGTAGGATGGCTCAGGAAAATGATGGGGAGGAAAGAATGGAATCTCTGGTGCTAGCTGGAAGGGCTTTGAAATTCCTAGCTACAATGGCTTTCATTTAAGAAAGATGAGGACAGCCAACATGCAACTTGAGAAAGGGGATTTCAGTGACTATGTTTAGGATGAATCAAGAGACAGAAAGAATCGGGGTAGCTAGTTTGCTTTAATTTTATATTGTAGAGTGGAGTCTGTCTACACCCTTCTTTCTCAAGTCTGTTTTACTCTCAACCATCTGCCCACTTTGACAAGGCCATAAGACAAAAAAGGTTGCCGCTGATGATGAAAGCAACAGGAAAAAATAACTGGAAAGTCTAAATAAGTGCTAGAAAGTAAATTTAAGATTCAAATACTAGCCGGTTGTGGTGGCTCATGCCTGTAATCCCAGCACTTTGGGAGGCTGAGGCAGGAGGATCACTTGAGCCCAGGAATTCAACACTGGCCTGGGCAACATGGCAAAACCCAGTCTCTACAAAAAAATTCACAAAATCAGCTGGGTATAATGGCATGTGCCTGTAGTCTTAGCTACTGGGGAGTCTGAGGTGGGAGAATTGCTCAAGCCCAGGTGATGGAGGTTGCAGTGAACTGAGATCACACTACTGCATTCTAGCCTGGCCAAAAGACTGAGACCCTGTCTCCAAAAAAAAAACAAAAACAAAAACAAAAAAAACCAATTCAAATACTGTCACGCACCACGTAACAACGTTTCAGTCAATGATGGACCACATACAACATGGTGGCCCCATAAAATTATATTATATTTTTACTGTGCTTTTTCTATGTTTAGATGCACAAATATTTACCATTGTGTTACAATTGCTCACAGTATTCAGTATAGTCGCATGCTGTACATGTTTGTAGCCTAGGAGCCATAGGCTATATCATAAAGCCTAGGTGTGTAGTAGGCTAGACCATCTAAGTTTGTGTAACTTCAATCTATAATGCTTGCACAGTGACGAAATCTCCTAACAATGCATTTTTCATAACATATCCCTGTCATTGAGACATGACTGTATTCATATGAGTCTAACTGGAGAAATATATGGCATCTGTAGAGAGAAACAGCCAAATCGAATTCCCCTCTTATTTTATTAGAAACTATTTGAACAAAAATGCCAATTTTTAGAATGAAAGTCCCCAGCAATCTGTAGTTTCAAATTCACCTTCATCCATGCAAAACCAGCAACAATCACCACTTCACTCTTAACCATTATAATATTTTTTTAAAAAAATTTCAAACACAGAAAAGGTGAAAGAATAGCACAAAGAAGTCCTACATATCTTCATGTAGCTTCTGTAATTGCTACCATTACTGCATTTGTTTTATGATTCTATTTTTTTCTGAAGAATTGGAATTTCACTCAGAAAAGTCAGTTGCACATATAAGGCTCATGTACCCTGAAATGCTTCAGTGCATGTAGGATATAAATGCTTTTATGTCCTAAAAGCAAAGACAGTCTCTTCCATAATCACAGTTCAATGATCAAAATAGGAAATTTACACTAATAACTGTTATTTGATCTATAAATCTCATTCAAATTTCATAACTGTTCTAATAAAGCCCTTCTAGAAAAAAAATGTTTTCTCAACTCTTCCCTTCTGTTGAATGTCATTCCCATTTAACAACCTCACCAACTTAACACTACCTTTAAGTCCCTCTACTGCATGACAGGTAGTTAAACAATCTACTCATATTTCCCCATCTTCTCTCCTGCTAGCTTTCCTCTCCTTTCTAACAGTGCCAGGACCTTTCTCCCTTGAACCAACAAAATTTATTCTATATTTGAAATCTCAATATCTTTGAGTTTCCTTCTGGGTCTTGTGGTTAATTTTTTTTTTTTTTTTGGTTTTCATAAGAAATCATTAGGTTCCTGTTTTGTGAAAAATCCTTTTAAGTGAAATGACCTTAGTCTTGACCCATTCCATATGTGACTTCTTTGTAATTCAAAGAAAATAAAGCAAGAGCCATTATTCTCTTAGGCCCTTAATTATAGCAAGAAAAAAGTAAACCAATGACTTGGAACTTTTTTTTAAAAAAGTCCTTCCTCCTCAAAACAGCATACATTAACAACTGCATAAACATGACAGCCACTACAGAGGTGCCATGGCGGGACTAATTTAGCTGGGCTGAAACAAAAGGTAGAGAGAGGTCCAATACAGAGAGAAACTAATTCAAGTATAGTGTTAGATAGAAATAGAAAGTGAAAAAACCGACATCTGAAACATACACTGCACTTATATGTACTATTCCATAGCAATAAACAACTTCTTTTAAAATCTATTCTTTCTGTAACTTATTTTGTAAGAGAAGCAATATATACTTGAATAGAATTACATACAATAAAAAGTTAAAATCCTTACTTCTCCTTCACTACCCCTCACTCTCCCACTCACCATAGATAAACATTTTTAACAGTTTGACGTGAGCCAGGCATCGTGTCTCATGCCTGTAATCCCAGCACTTTGGGAGACTGAGGGAGGAGGATTGCTTGAGCGCAGGAGTTCGAGACTAGCCTGGGCAACATAGTGAAACCCCGTCTCTACAAAAAATACAAAAATTAGCTGGGTTTGGTGGTGCGTGCCTGTAGTTTCAGCTACTTGGGAGGCTGAGGTGGGAGGATCATCTGAGCCAGGGAGGTCGAGGCTGCAGTGAGCCGTGATCATGCCACTGCACTGCAGTCTAGGTGACAGAGTGAGACCCTGTCTCAAAAAAAAAAAAAAGTAAAACCAGTTTGGGGTAAAACCACCTTCCAGACATTTTCTATCAATAAGTGCATGTACACTTTTAAAAAATATGAATTATATTATATACATTACTCAGAAACTGGCTTTTAAAATCAAATGGTGTTTCATAGCCAGAATTCCAAGTCAATATATAAAAGGTTATCTCATTTAATGGTTGCAAAGTATTCTACAGTATGAACAGAATAGTATTTATTAGATCAGTTCCCTATTGATGGACATTTTTGTTGCTTCAGTTTTTTACTATGTTGACAGACGCTGCACTATCCTTATACACCTTTGTGCACACACATGCTAGGATATCTGTAGGATAAATTCCTACAAGTGGAATTGCTGGGTCAAAGGGTGTTTGCATTAACATTGGTAGAACTCTCAAATTCTCACCCCCTAAGATTGTATCATTTATGCTCACAACCAAAAAGAGACTATTAAGGCCATTCATTATTACCTCTCTGCGCTTGGCTTCATTCTTCCTGTATTTGTTGAAGCAGTGGCACAGGATGTTCCCACAGCAGCAAGCCACGTGCACTAGAGGGCCCTCTTTGCCCAGGCTCAAGCCAGATGACACTGCCAGCACCAAGGTGATGGTTTTGATAACCAGAGTCCACTTACCCAAATAGCCCCTAATAATGAAACCACTCAAGATAGTTTTTATCTGCAGGTTAAACACAGAAAGATTGAATATAGACTAAGGAAGTCAACAAGGCTAAGAAGCAAAAATCTGGACCTCATTATAGAAACTGCACCTTTTGAATAAGTGACATATAAATGCTTGACCTACAGTGATCCCTGTTTGGAAGAGAGCCCAGGAGCCCAAGAAAGCAAGAACTGTTCTTTAAGCTTTCATGTTCCCCCTTTTTAGGGGGAGGGGAGTGATAGCTGGGCAAGGATGTATTGTAAGTATGAGAGTGTGCATATATGAAGGAGGAGCTGGAGAGGGAGGGATAGGTGTTTTCCTCATGTTACAACGTGGTAGCCCAAGAGGCATGTTTTGAGAGGACAAGGCTAATGTCCCTGAAACAACCTTAAAGGTTAGGTATAGTCTTGATTCCCTGGCTTAAAAAAAAAAAAAATTGTGACTTATTACCTGGTCAGGAAACAGGGAAGGGCAAAGTCATCCTGGTAACCTAAGTCTCAGTGTCTTTAGTCACTGTCAAGCAATCTAAGCCAAAAGTAGTTAGAAACAGGGTTTTAACCATCCCATGTAGCCTAAATCATATTGTGGGAAAGGTACCAAATGATTTTCTTTCTTTTGCCCTGAAAAAGCTGACAATAACACTGCTTTTTCAGGTCAGAATCTTGGGATATACTCTGGAAGCTTTTTGGATAGGGAACAGGGGAAGTTTTCCAGAGCCTGGCTCAACAGGAACCCTCAGGAGGCTAAGAATCAACTCCCTTTAATTTCCTGGTAGCCCAGGCTGAGAGGGACTTGTGGAAAGACCTAGGTCTTAGATGGCCTCAGGATCTGATCCTGTTTAACATTCATCAAATTGTGGTATGTGCTGGAATACATATTAAGAGATTTTAACCAAAAAGTATTCATATTGTAACCATTTATAAACCATTTTAAGAGACTCACCTCAGGGATTCCAGAGCCACAGGCATAAGGCGCAAACACCTTGACAAGAGATACGGCAAGGAAGGCAAATAGGAGAGCCCAGAGGACGTACATGAAATAATTGACTATGTAGGCAAAGGCTCCCTGGAACAGGGGGAAAAAGAAGCTTGTTTTAGCCTAGACAGCTTCAGTGAGACATGCAGCTCTTCTGAGTAATGTTTTTTCAGGAAAAAAAGTCCAAAAAAAAAAAAAACCACCGAGATTAAATTGTTCAAGACTTTTCTTTCTGAATTGTCAACTACTGAAACACTGTCAGGCCACTTAGTACTGAAAATGAGATGCTTTGCTACACCCAAAGGAAATTTACCATGGATTCTAAGGATGAACAAGGAAAAGAGCAAACGGAAAACCATGAAACAAAATTCTCTTTCTATATGAGTGCTTTGATGGGTTTTGTAGTCAAATATATATGATTCCATGTCATTTTACCAAGAGTCTTAAGAGCACCCCCCCAGCTTTTTTGGAATGGCTGAACCTTGGCTTCACATCTGAAGTGAAGAGCGGATCTAAAGTTCCACTAAATTCACCTTTGGCTACTTACCTTGGTGTCAAATTCTCATAGTTTATAGTAACAAAATTTTGGGTGTTTGGCTTTTTTCTTTGCTTTTTAAAATTTTTTTATTGTATGTATTTAAGGTGTACAACATGATGTTTTATATATATACATATAGCGAAATTGTTACTACATTGAAATAAACTTACATGCATATCACCTTCCATAGTTACCTTTCTTTGTATGTGTGGTAAGAGCATCTAAAATATACTCTTAGCAAATTTTTAGTATACAGCATTATTAACTCTACTGTACATTACCTCTCTAGACTTATTCACCCTACCTCACTGCAAATTTGTACCCTTTGGTCCACTTCTCCCCATTTCCTCCTCCTCCATGCCCCAGGTAACCACCATTCTGCTCTCTGGTTCTGTTTACTCAACTTTCTTTTTTAGAGTCCACATATAACTACATCTTCAAGAAAATTTTGGTACCACAGACTCAGGAACAACCATATAAGTAGAAAGTTTTGGACCCTGGTGGTACCAGATATAAATAAATAAAATGGAAACAACTATTTTTTAAAATAGAAAGAATATACTTTTTGAGACTATTCCCCTGTGATAAATGAAGCATGCCACAAAAGAAATCTAGCTTTGACCAGCAGGAAAGATTCATCCATATTAAAGGGCCTGCAAATAGTCATGTCTTACAAAAAAAGCAATTTTGATTAGGAAGTTATGCTTGCTGGTAGAAATATTAGGAATTGCAACTCACTCAGTAAATACAAAACCCAATGGACTTTTGACTTCATAACACAAAACACTATTAAAGTAACTCACTGACCTAGACAAAGAGAACCAGAATGCTCAGGTTTTTTCTGAGTTGTAAATTTGACACAGGTTTTCCATTATCTTAGGCCCTCAGAGGAACACATGATTGCTATTTCTTTGCCTTTCCAATGTAGCTAAGGAGGAAGAAGACTGCAGAGGTAGGAAATGAAGAGGGTAAGGGAGTGAAAGGAAAAGTAACTCAAACTGGCCAGAGGCAGAGACCAGGAGGGCAATTTCCTGGCATTTGGAGAAGGCTTCTTAAAACCTAGAGGAGGCCGAGGCGGGCGGATCACGAGGTCAGGAGATCAAGACCATCCTGGCTAACATGGTGAAACCCCGTCTCTACTAAAAATACAAAAAAATTAGCCGGGCGTGGTAGCGGGTGCCTGTAGTCCCAGCTACTTGGGAGGCTGAGGCAGGAGAATGGCGTGAACCCGGGAGGCGGAGCTTGCAGTGAGCCGAGATCGCACCACTGCACTCCAGCCTGGGTGACAGAGTGAGACTCCGTCTCAAAAAACAAACAAACAAAAACCAAAACCTAGAGGACTCTTTCCCCAGGGAAGGATTTCGTTCATAAAAAGAAGAGCCAGAGAAATCTGTCACTAGAGCAAATCTCAAGCTCCAGTTTGAAAGTAACTGTTGGAATGCTTACACACATACAGCTATAAAGGGGCAGCATGAGGCAGCCCTGCAGTGATAGAACAGTTCTAAATCTTGACTGTGGTGGTGGTTAAACAAATGTCCACATAGGACAAAATGGCAATGAACTATGAACTACATGCGTGCGCGCACATACACACACACAAATACATACATAAATCAATGTGTGTAAACTAAATGGTGAACTAAAGTCTGTGGATTGTACCTATGTCAATTTCCTGGTTTTGCTATGGTACTACATTTATGCAAGCTGTTGCCATTGAGGGAGGGAAGGCTGGGGGAAGGGTACTGAGGACCTCCTTGTACATTGTTTTGCAACTTCCTATGAATCTGTAATTACTTTTGTGTGTGTGTGTGTGTGACAGGATCTCACTCCATTGCCCAGGTTGGAGTGCAGTGGCACTATCATTGCTCACTACAGCCTGGATCTCCTGGGTTCAGGGAATCCTCCCACCTCACCTTCTGAGTAGCTGGGACTATAGGTGGTTGCTACCACGCCCAGTTTTTTTATTTTTAGACACAGGGGTCTTGATATATTGCCCAGGCTGGCCTCAAACTCCTGGCCCCGAGGGATCCTCCCTCCTCAGCCTCCCAAAGTGCTGGGATTACAGGCATGAGGCACACCTCACTCAGTCCTTGGAGGAGAGGATTTTTTTTTTTTTTTGAGATAGAGTCTTGCTCTGTCGCCCAGGCTGGAGTGCAGTGGTGCGATCACGGCTCACTGCAACCTCCGCCTCCCAGGTACAAGTGATTCTCCTGCCTCAGCCTCCTGAGTAGCTGGCATTACAGGTGCTCACCACCATGCCTGGCTAATTTTATATATATATGTGTGTATATACATGTTTTTTTTTTTTTTTTTTTTTTTTTTTTTTTTTTTTTGTAGAGACAGGGTTTCACCATGTTGGCCAGGCTGCTTTCAAACTCTTGACCTCAGGTGATCCACCCACCTTGGCCTCCCAAAGTGCTGGGATTACAGGCCACCGCGCCTGGCCAATTACATTTAAAATAAAAGAATCCCCCCAAAAGCAAGGGAAATACACACACACACACACACACACACACACACACACTCTCTCTCTCTCTCTCTCTCTCTCTCTTTCACACCCACCCTAAGTTGTAGGACTTCTCAAACTTTTCTACCTAAGTTCTCCTAATCTAGGAGAGAGTAAACAAAGGCATCAGAGTATGGGACAGGGTACCCGGGAGCAGAGCTGAAAGATTTTTTTTTTTCTTAACAAGTATGAAATTTTGCATTCCATTTTTAAATGATTATTTACATATAATTTTTGAAAAAAAATTCCAAATATTCAGGAAAAAGTAATGCTCTGGGAAGGCAAATAATGTTTGTCCTATAGTTTCACCTACCCTCTGGCACACTGACCTTACCCTAGTTTGAGAAGCATAGACCTAAACTCTCTCAAACATACGGCATGTATCTATCCCTTTTATTGAACCCTTTACCTAAGCCAAGATGCATAGTCATACATGTATATAAACACTCCTATTTCTATCTTTATTCTTTTTCTATCCTCCTTTTCCCTGGACTGTTTGTATTTGTGTATGTGTGTGCACATGCCACCTCAAATTGTTTGTAGACCAAGGAGGGTAATATAAATGTTTAAAAGTACAAACATACATCCTAGTCTTGTTTCCCTCACTAACAAAATAGATGAGTAGTGAACTAAGATGGTACCTGTCTTTGTTGGTGGAAGTCAGGGTGGAATTGGGAGTTGAGAGTTTTTTGCTTTGTGTGCTTTTGTTTTCAGTGGGAGAGATCAAACATATAACTGAGTGGTAAAATAAAGGTAAGGAACTGAAAAATAAGCAAAGTTACCTTGGCATCAAAAAACATATGGTAGGCCAAGCACAGTGGCTCATGCCTGTAATCTCAGCATTTTGGAAGGCCAAGGCAGGAGGGTCACTTGAGGCAAAGAGTTCGAGACCAGCCTAGGCAACATAGTAAGACTCCATTTTCACAAAATAAATAAATAAATAAATTATCTAGGTGTGGTGGTGCACGCCTTTAGTCCCAGCTACTCCTGAGGAGGACTGGTGGGAGGACTGCTTGAGGCTAGGAGGTTGAGGCTGCAGTGGTGAGCTATGGTCATGTCACTGTACTCCAGCCTGGGTGACAGAGAAAGACCCTGTCTCAAGAAAAAAAACAAAAACGTATGCTAGAAGACAAGGACAAATGAAAATATTGATTTGATTACAAAATGGGATGATAGGCAATTTTATTCCTGGGTTTCTGTTATTTTGACATGGAATGCATTGTACTTTTTTCAATGTTCTAATGCAATGCTCAGGGAAAATCACTTTTCAAATCCATATACATAAACACATTTTTAACTCACTCTGTCCTTCATTAGAAATTATAGCTCACCTGTTGGCTGCCTCTGACACTTCTTTTGAAATGATTAGAAAAAGAGAAATTCAGTCACACTATGTACTAGTACCTAAGAAGAAATACCAGGCTTAGTAAAGCAAACAAAAAACCATTTTAAACATAAGCGTCAAATGACTCTACACATCAGCAGAGATGGAAATAGAGCTGCACTTAAACCACAGAGAAAGGCAGCTGGTACTGGTTCCCCTTTCTGTGGAAAGGAAAATAAAGGAAGATTCCGCAATTGCTGTGAGCACAGTATAAGAAATAAAATAAATGTAAGAAGAAAAGTCAATGGCTCATAAAACATCACTACATGTTACCTCATCTGTGCTGATGATAAGCTGGGACCAACTATTCCACTCTGGACATTTGTCTCTCTCTTCAAAGGTGACATGCTCAGAGTTCCAGCAACAATGTTCATGGTTAAACCAGAATCCCCCTGTGCATATACCTTCTTTTAAGTCTGTCATCCAATGAGCAGAGATGTCTATCAAACCAGCTAACGAACCTGATTTGTGGGGAGGGAGGGAAAGGCCAAAGTTAAACTGAATCTCGGAAACTGTTCTTTGGTCATCAGAATAAGCTTTGTCAGAGAAAATGAGGGGAAAGGAATCAAAGTAACAGATAAGCACATACTTCCCCATTCCACCTGTAACCTCTTTCTCATTGTGTGTTTGCTTGATTTTCACTTATTATCTCTGCACTAAACACTGCCATCTGTGGAATTTCTACATAGAAGGGACTTAGGGAAAGCAAAATGGTTAAGTGGGAGCAAGGGGCTAGTGGGCCTGTCTTTAAGCTGAACTAACAGGGCAAAAACACTATTTTGACTTCAACTTTATGAATACTGATCCATAAAGAGTCAAGTTTATTAAAGATTCTTTTATTCTCACATATATATATATACATATACATATATACATATATACAAGATTCAGAATATGTGAATTGCCCAACATTGAGGAATATTCTATGATGTTTATTTGAGATTGCTTAGAGAGGAGAGCTGACGAAGATTATGGGGAGAAGGGCTAAGCCTTAATAGTAGGATTGTGCTCCATGGACAAGGGAATTTGAGCAATGGCAGGAAGGCATTCTAGGCTAAAGGAGCTGAATCTATCAAAGCACAAACTGTGATGTGCATGGAAGGTGAGATGAAGCTATAGACATGTTGAGGCCTCCTGAACCTAGGACATGAACATCCTGAAGTTTTCTTACTGAGAAAGAGCAAACAGTATTATACACAGAACATTCACCAAAGAAAATGATGGGAAATGGAATCGTGAACTGGGGACTTAGGATGCACTGTGGCTAATAGACTGATAGGGTTAAGACAGTTATAGTAATTTAGATTCTGGCCTTCTCATCATTTCTGTCATCCAGATGAAGAAACTCTGGCATAAAGAAATTAAATGGCCCAGAATCATGCTTTAGGGAAATAGTAAAGCCATCACAAAATTCACAGCCCTTGAATTCCCAGACTGTTCCAGCATTCAGACACACTGCTTCTATTGTTGCTCTCCAATGCTTAAAAACAAAATACCCTGTGTGTACAAGGGAAAGAAAAATATTCACTGACCACCTAGTGACAAGAAATACATTAAAAAGTTGAGGATATTATGCCTACATTCCAACGGGCGGGAAGCCATGTCGTGTATGTTTTGGTAGGTGCTAAAAGTGTTAACACAGGTTACTTACATACTTGAAGAATCTAGTCAAATCTAACACATTGTTTGACACCTACTCTTGGCCACTCCGGTCCACAATCTTCTCTGCCTTCTATCTGTTACTGCCTGGATTCGGAAAATTACCATGATGTTATACAGTTTGGCTTATTCTCTGGTTGTCTCACGTGTACATGTCTTATTTCACCTAACACTGGTACCCTCAATCCTGTCTTCTCCTTCTACCTCTCCTCCTCCCCAGAGTCAGTTCTTTCTTCTCTGGTTACAAATTGTATTAGGTTTCCCCTACCCTGAAGAATAAAATGCTGTCCCTTGTCCTTGTTATCATTTCAAGCCTTTACCCTTCCTCTCTCTCCTATGACTACCAAAACTTCTACAGTGGTTGCCTTCCCTTGAAATCTATTAGGTTGGTGCAAAAGCAATTGCGGTTTTCGCCATTAAAAGTAATGCAATTACTTTTGCACAAACCGAATAGATTTAGCTTCTAATATTTTTCTGAGATGGCTTTTCAAGGTAATTGCTGTGTTCCTAACTGCTAGGTCATATAATCTTTTCTCAGCCATCTTCCTTGTCCTCAGCCTCTCTGCAATACTTAGCATTACAGACCACCCAGTCTATTATTAGGCAGCTCCAAAGAGCCAGACCATGTTCTCTCTCCTGTAAGAGCCAGAAGGGGCAGAGTTAACACCCTAGGCCATGGGTTGGCAAACTATAGCCCAAGGACCAAATCCTGTCTGTCTCCTATTTTTGCAAATAAAGTTTTTCTGGTCACAGCTGGGCTTGTTTACCTATTGTCTATGGCTGCTTTCGTGCCACATCAGCAGAATGGAGTGGGTGCTAGAGAGAACACTTGGCCCACAAATCCTAAAATATTTACTATCTGGCTCCTTTACAGCAGAAGTTTGCCAATCCCTGCCCTAGACAATTTTTTAAAACCCAGCTATAGATAAGCCATTCTTCATTTGCTACAGTCACATTCTACTCCATGGCTCATGAATTATTCTCTCTTGGTAACGGCAGCAGCAGCAGCATTAACAACTGTCTGCTGTGCTTAATAAGTGCTATTATGTGCTATATCTCATTTAATCCTCACAGCAAACTTCTAACATAGGGACTTTGATTATCACCATTTTACAGATCAGTAAACTAAGGCTTCCAGGGGTTAAGAAACTTGCTCAAAGCCACAAAACTAGCAAGTGGTGGGGCTTGGATTCAAATCCAGGCAGCCTAAAACTAGAGCCTCTACTTGCTGTTAACTACCACTGTATACCTTCCACCTCCAGGTTTCCACCTAACTTCTCTTTCAGCTCAAGATTACAGATTTGCCTAGGCCCTATCCTTTAATGCCATAAGGACACACCTCTTACCATCTCTACCTAGTGTCCTTGGCCCTCTCCTCTCCCCACCGGGTGAGAAACCTTCTTGGGAACTTGGTTGAAAGCTGTATTTGTACAGTAAGTATACCATTTTTAGTGAGACTGTATATTATATGGAGTGGCAGGGAAGGTTGAAGGAGTTTATAGGGCAAGGTGGCACCATTCCACCCCCAGCCACTATGAAAGAATGAGATCATAAGCTTCTTGGGAGTACGAGCCATATCTTACATGCTTTTCTGCATCACCAAATGAGAGAGTAGATGTTTAAGAAACACCCACAAAATGTCTCAGGAAGTCCTCTTCCACATCTTATCTCCTAAAACCCATGCAGTATGTATTAAAAAAAAAACTGTCTCCAACAGAAGGGCTCTTCCTCAAAACAAGCACCAAAGGGCTAACATCACCTTAAAATGGATACAGTATTTTATAGTGTACAAAATGCATTTAAATGCATTTCCTCATTTATTCAAGGTAAGAATTGCAGGTATTAGTACCCTTTACAGATGGGGACATTGAGCTTCTATAAGGTTCACCAGCAATTCATTTAAGGTAGAAAAACAGGAAAACACAGTACGTGACTCAGCTCAGGACTTACGGGAGAGACATACCACAATTTTAGGAGATTTGTTTTGAAAACTAACAGTTTACCATACCTGATAAAAGCCCAATAAGGAGCATCAACAACCAGCCGGAAAAAGCATCACTCACACTGTGAATTAAGGCCCATGTTGACTCTTTGCTTTTATTGGTAATCTAGGGGAAAATGAGAAAACATTGGTACACTCTACACACACCATTTTTTCACTTAAAAACTGTTCAACAAAGAAATACAAAGACAAATCACTGGAGAATAGAGACCAATTTAGAGCTACTTTTCACATAATCTTTAGCTGAACCAGTTTCACTAACAACTTTGAGGTTTACCGAAACCCCACCTTCATCTACAGTATTGTAATGCCCACAAGTTCCTTATTCAGAGCTTCCTCCCAAGCCATCATTTCTTATAGCATCAACTTGTTTTGCTTATTGCAGTGGTATCTTTCTATCCTGGACATCAGATATTCCAAGGGCAATCTCTTGACTCACAGCAAATAGTTTCAATGTTTTTCAAAGAATAAATAAACACAGGCTTATTTGAGTGATAAAAGTACAAATTGAGGCTTACTACCTGGGGGCTGTGGTTCAGGTCAGGCAAATTCCCAGACTTCATCCCACAAACGCCTAATTGTACAGTGGTCACCGATACTAAGTGATAGCAATGATGTATCTCTTTTCATTTTCAACAACCTGCTGGTAACATCAAGGCTATCAGGAGGTGCAGAAAGTTTTATCTTTTAAGTCCTAGACTTGACAATTTAACCCTTCAGGGCCTACATTTTAAAAATCAACATTCTGACAGTTTTGTCACTGGTACCTCCCCTTTCTCTGTACCTCTATTTCTTATCTTTGAAATGGCAACTTAGTTACCCCACCTTATCTACAGTAACGTCACAGACAATAAATTATTCTGAGAATTTCAAAAGCATTTTTTTAAATAGTTTTGACCTATGACTCTAAGTTTCCAATTTCAGTGCTGAAAAGGAACAAAGTTACATTTTTCCCTGTGACAGTGTTTCCCTTCTGATAATGAACAGTTAATGCTATAAAACAAAAAGCCCCCTTGGGCTATTTGATAAACACACTTTAACTGGTTTTGGATTACTAATTGGCATAATTTGCCTCAGATGCAACCATTAATATAAAAGGAAGTGTGCACTTGTCATATCACAGGTGACTCTCATAATCTGGATAACATGTTGAATATGCAACTGATGACAAACTGGTAAATTACAGATGGCAGAAATTCTAAAGCCCGCCTGATGAATTGATACATACGATAGAAAGAATATGTGTATATGTTCCCAAATGGCAGAAATCTTATGAAAAAACATGAAATGCTTTATAGTGATCAACTTTTCGAGTTGTGACAAGAAAACTCGGTGGAATCACCAAATATCCATGGATTAAGAAGGAATTTCTCAAAACCTGTACTTGGGACAACCTGACTCCTGGGTTCAGGTGGTCGTGAGAAAACCAGTCAGGAGCTGGAAAGGCTTAAGAACGAAAGTCAATCTCCACCTGACTACTCAAGAGATTTGCTTGGTTCTAAGAGGAGGAAATCATGAACTTGGGAGAGAATGGGGCAGCTTAAAAAATCACATTTCAAATCTGGAGTCCAAGCAGAAATAGTAAGAAAGAAAAAAAAATAATACCTATTGTGGGTTGAAGAAGTGACTCACCAGAGGACCACCTACTGAGAATCTCTGGGGTTGGACAACTATTTTTTTAATAAGCTCTCCACGTGGCCCTTATACAAACCAGAAATTGTGATTCCCTAATTTAAATGATACACAGCAACAAGTTAAAGGCAAATGACCTTGGCAAGTCTCTCTGAGAAGTTTTCACGGTACTTCAAAAAGAGAAAAGTGGGGAAATTCTCTTGCTAAATTCAAAAGAACCTGTGCCATAGCCATAAGTACCATCTATTACCTATCACATTAAGTTAATGTCCCCAGTTTGAATTTAACTGGTCTTGTGGTTTTGTTGGAGTTGAAAGCATAAGTTTACTTTGGTTTTATGGTTGTACAAGATCAATAATCACAAGGAGTTTACTTTGTATGCTTCAGTAAACACTAGGGCTCTGAGATTTTTTTCTTTTATTCCTTTAACAGAAAACCATTTACTTTTCTTAGTTATGAATATCCTGCATTAAGGAAAAAACCATAAAAGAGAGATTATATGGGAAAGGAAGATCTTTGACATTTATTTTGCCACCTTCCTCCAAGTTTGTTTTCACCTCTCTTCAGAGGCATTTATATCCCTTTTAGCTGTGAGGATCCTTTGCGACTATTTACTATAGTAAGATAAATCACTAAATACAATTTTTTAAATTTAGGATAAAAATTATGTGCAAGCACCAACATGGCACATGTATACATATGTAACAAACCTGCACGTTGTGCACATGTACCCTAGAACTTAAAGTATAATAAAAAAATTATGTGCAAGATGTCTTCAAAAATAAATTTAAAAATGAAACTCTATATTGCCAACAGAAACCAGATTCAGTCACATCCAGGGCTGAAGAAAGGAAAGAATAGAAAGAATATGTATCTTCAATTTCTTCCCCTGTATTTCCTAACACTTACCCATGTGCCATCTTTTGTCTTACCTCTCGGTGCCTATCCCGGTCTCGAGACTTCTCTCTCACCCAATCAATTGTATTGAAATCATCATAGGTCCCTACACCAGGGATTGGCTCCTCCAAGAAGTCCATGATCCTATTTGAAGAACCTATTCCTCCACCATTGTACGACTTGTCCTCTGTATTGAACAAGAAATAGACATTAGTACTTCAGAAATTCTTAACATTTTTAATACATTCTTTTTGGTTCCAAAAGGCGGGCCCTTAAACTATCAGATGACTACAGTTGGGGTTGATAAAGAAATACAGTCACCTGGTAGGAACATCCATTACATTCAGAGGTTTCTGTGGTGTAGGCACAAAATGATGAGTGGCTAAAGGCAGTGTGAATGGAAAGCAACAGATGAGAGTGACAGTACAAAGAGAGACAGGAGTTGATGTGCAATGGGAAAGGATTTATGAAACAAAAGACAAAAAGGAGGTTGGAGCAGCTTAGGTATTTCAGTTTATGGAAGGGAGACAAAAGGGTCAAAGGCACTTGCAGCCATATCACATCAAGAACCATTTTACATTTATAAGGCAATAATTCAATCCTATGAAGTGGTTTTTGCCTGGCTGGGGACTCCAAATAAAGCATGTGGGCCTCTTCACGAGTTAAGTTGGCTGGAATGTACAAATTTCCCTTCAATAGGTATAAGACTTGATCTCTGATGTAACAGGCTTGTAGGAACTCTAAGTATGTCAGCACAGTCTAAGATTTACAAGCAGAGATTTAAAGAACAGTGTATGATTCAGTGATGAAATGTCCCTCCCTGATCCTTCAACTGCAAGAAACATATCCACCTGCCCACCCATCATAGTCCCTTATCTACTTTGCTTTGGGTACTTCTATTACAATTACTTTTGTGCATGCTTTATCTTCCTTTCTAGACTACAAGCTCTTTGCTGGTAGCCTGATGTCTGATTCATCGTTCCCTTCTCTACAGTGTCTAGCACATATCCAAGAATCAGTATATATCAGCTGAACCAAAATTTGTTTGATGAACGGTGGGAATGGGGGAGAAAGTTTTAAACTCACAAGCTATACTCACACAAGGCTTAAACTTGATTCAAAATATTTCAGCAACATCATCTGATGGAATAAGATTTTGCTATTAAACACAAAATACAAAACAGTACTGAGGAATCTATGCAAATGCACACTGGGGAAAAGTGCAGAGTAATGCCATCATTTAATTCACCCAGCCAAAGCTCACATTTGCAGCACCAACCTTGGCAGGGACAAGGCTTCCTCCAGACTGTTTGGTAATGAATCCCTCTGCAGAGGAGGCCAAAGTGGGCCTGAGCTGACTCCCTCTCCTCCCATCTGCATCCCCATCTTCACTGTAAACTCCAAACAGACAACTTTAGCAATGTCATGGGGAAAGTTTGAAGGAACACCCCAAGCTGTACTTACAATTGGTTTACCAATTGTAAGTCTTCTGAATACCTAAGTCAGCATGCCTTTCACAGGCAAGGTGCACATTTGAAAGAAAAAGCTCTGCAGAGTCCAAATCATCTGTAGGGTGGGGGCGGGGTGGGGGTGGAGTGGAAAAGGTGAACAAGTTAATCTTAAACCCCAACCAAAGTCCTTTCCATATCTTCATTCGTACCTGACTGTAAAATGGATGGCTGCTGAATCACCAGCCCAGCATTTCCTATCATGTCAGTGTCATACTGATAAAGATGAAAGCTGATGTGTTTCTTGAGAGCTTAGAGGGAAAAAGCCAGCTAGGAAATGAGGGCAGAAAGAGGATAAAGTATGTGTGTGTGGAGGTGGGGGAGGGCAAGCTGTTTCAATTCTCAAGTCCAATGCTGACATGAACACATGACACCAAACAACCAGATATTTACTTTTTAAGGCAGGTTAATGCTCCAGTTGAATTTGCTCTGGTTTAAGAGTTCTCCTTTCAGAAGGGGAAAAATAGGATTTTGTGAAACTGATTTTAAAAATCATCTGATAGCTATCTAATGATACACTATATATCAAATGAGGCCCCCACCTTTAAGGATATTAAGGCAAAATGAAGATCTGCAACAGCTTCTAGCAGGAAAGAAAGAATCCTATTACATCACTAGGTAACATGAGCACCGCATCATCCTCCTTTGTAGTCTGGTTTCCTTAGAAACGCAATTGTCAGGCCCCTCTCAAAGAGCAGGCAGTGATTAGAATCCTACAACAGACTGCTTGCAATTCTCCAGATCCCCTGCTCCCGGGGGGCATGCTTCAGTCCTTGGTCAGGCTCAAGTCTGCTTACCTTCAATCACAGTTTTCTTTTTTTCTGCCTCAAGGAAGAAATAACCTTGGCAGCCCGCATTTGGTCATTCAGGTTGGGGAGCTTTTACAAAAGAAGCCCCAGTCTGAAGTGCTTTAGAAGGGCACTTGCTGCATTCTCTGCCTTTCACAGCAACAAACGCCACCTAAAGAACTACCAGTGTTCCCTGGCGGTCAGAATGTGATGTCACTGTTGGAGTCACGTGACCAGACCTTTGGACCAGCCTGGGAGAAAGGAAGATTTTTAACCGGGCACAGAAGCCTTAAAGATGTAGTCTCATCTAAACAAATGCCATCAAACTGCGGGCAGTCGGGTCAGCTCAGGAAACCTGGGTCCAGACAAGTCTTAGTCTTCATTTAGCAGAAAGTCCAAGAAGGCAAAGTAGAAATATCCAAAAGAATTTAGAGTTACAGGGGTCCTAAGTATAAAAGGGAGAAAGGCAAATATAAAAAAGGTTTTTTAAAAAATACACTAGATAGCAGCAACGTGGGTAGTCTCACAAACCTAATGCTGAGTGAAAGATACCAGACACAAAAATGCACAAAACATTCATTACGATTCTATGCCTCTAAGTTCAAAAACAGGCAAGCAAGTTATATCATTTTAGAATACAAATGTAAGTGATTACATTTCAAAGAGAAGCAAGGAAATGGCAAAAGTAAAGACAGAAGCTACCCAGAGTAGAGGGCTGCCATGTGGGAGGGGCACATGGCAAGGGCAGGGCTTCTGGAATGCTGGTCATTTTTCTTGATCTGGGAGGTGGTTTACCTGAGTGTTCACTTAATAATTATTCTTTAAACTGTACACATGTTTTATGCTTATGTACAAATCATAATTAAAGGAAAACGTGAAAAACTAAACTTCATATGAACTTACTATACAAGGTCAGTTCTTTAACAGCACCTCATCACTTTGAAAACCCAGAGTATAGTCAAGAAAATGAGTTGTTTCTGAGTAGTAATGCTCTACGCAGAAAGCAACAACAACTCTGGTACTCATTAATCCAACCTGGATGAAAGTAGCTATTTTAGCCTGACAATAAATTCACTATGATGTTTCCATGGTTTTAAAGGGTTGTGAAGGCTATTTTAAAGCAGGTCTTAATTAATTGTGCAATAAGGTCAGTCCGGTAAAGAAAAATAAAATTGCTATCTCCCAACTCCCTAAATTGGGAGGATTCCCTAAGGGAACCCAAAGGACAGCCACTGTTAAACATTAACCCAGTCACAGTGTGCTGTAATAACTGGACCCTATGTGTAGAGCTTTGAAATAGTATTACTTGCATCAATTCTTAAGGTTCGATACACCCTGAAATGTTAATACAACAAAACCTTATGAAATGTGAGGCACTGCATGGGACCTGTATGCTTTCAGTTCATCATTGTTATATTATCTCACTCACTTGATGAACTAATCTAGCATTAAGGAGGAGGATTGAAAATGAAGTGGCAACTGACTGTATTAAGTGGCCATGAGCTACATTGCTGTAAAAAGCAAAAGCCATTTGTGGCCCAACTGTGACTGTCTTTTTTTTTTTTTTGCTCTGGAATTTCTCTTTCTTTCTTTTTTTTTTTTTTTTAATTATACTTTAAGTTTTAGGGTACATGTGCACAATGTGCAGGTTAGTTACATGTGTATACATGTGCCATGCTGGTGCGCTGCACCCACTAACTCATCATCTAGCATTAGGTATATCTCCCAATGCTATCCCTTCCCCCTCCCCCCTCCCCACCACAGTCCCCAGAGTGTGATATTCCCCTTCCTGTGTCCATGTGATCTCATTGTTCAATTCCCACCTATGAGTGAGAATATGCGGTGTTTGGTTTTTTGTTGTTGCGATAGTTTACTGAGAATGATGGTTTCCAATTTCATCCATGTCCCTACAAAGGACATGAACTCATCATTTTTTATGGCTGCATAGTATTCCATGGTGTATATGTGCCACATTTTCTTAATCCAGTCTATCATTGTTGGACATTTGGCTTGGTTCCAAGTCTTTGCTATTGTGAATAATGCCGCAATGAACATACGTGTGCATGTATCTTTATAGCAGCATGATTTA
This sequence comes from Homo sapiens, assembly GCF_000001405.40. Taxonomy (NCBI): domain Eukaryota; kingdom Metazoa; phylum Chordata; class Mammalia; order Primates; family Hominidae; genus Homo; species Homo sapiens. The sequence goes on along the minus strand of NC_000023.11, from coordinate 50,065,680 downwards.
TAGTCCTTTGGGTATATACCCAGTAATGGGATGGCTGGGTCAAATGGTATTTCTAGTTCTAGATCCCTGAGGAATCGCCACACTGACTTCCACAATGGTTGAACTAGTTTACAGTCCCACCAACAGTGTAAAAGTGTTCCTATTTCTCCACATCCTCTCCAGCACCTGTTGTTTCCTGACTTTTTCATGATTGCCATTCTAACTGGTGTGAGATGATATCTCATAGTGGTTTTGATTTGCATTTCTCTGATGGCCAGTGATGATGAGCATTTCTTCATGTGTTTTTTGGCTGCATAAATGTCTTCTTTTGAGAAGTGTCTGTTCATGTCCTTCGCCCACTTTTTGATGGGGTTGTTTGTTTTTTTCTTGTAAATTTGTTTGAGTTCATTGTAGATTCTGGCTATTAGCCCTTTGTCAGATGAGTAGGTTGCGAAAATTTTCTCCCATGTTGTAGGTTGCCTGTTCACTCTGATGGTAGTTTCTTTTGCTGTGCAGAAGCTCTTTAGTTTAATTAGATCCCATTTGTCAATTTTGGCTTTTGTTGCCATTGCTTTTGGTGTTTTGGACATGAAGTCCTTGCCCATGCCTATGTCCTGAATGGTAATGCCTAGGTTTTCTTCTAGGGTTTTTATGGTTTTAGGTCTAATGTTTAAATCTTTAATCCATCTTGAATTAATTTTTGTATAAGGCATAAGGAAGGGATCCAGTTTCAGCTTTCTACATATGGCTAGCCAGTTTTCCCAGCACCATTTATTAAATAGGGAATCCTTTCCCCATTGCTTGTTTTTGTCAGGTTTGTCAAAGATCAGATAGTTGTAGGTAAGCGGCGTTATTTCTGAGGGCTCTGTTCTGTTCCATTGATCTATATCTCTGTTTTGGTACCAGTACCATGCTGTTTTGGTTACTGTAGCCTTGTAGTATAGTTTGAAGTCAGGTAGTGTGATGCCTCCAGCTTTGTTCTTTTGGCTTAGGATTGACTTGGCGATGCGGGCTCTTTTTTGGTTCCATATGAACTTGAAAGTAGTTTTTTCCAATTCTGTGAAGAAAGTCATTGGTAGCTTGATGGGGATGGCATTGAATCTGTAAATTACCTGGGGCAGTATGGCCATTTTCACGATATTGATTCTTCCTACCCATGAGCATGGAATGTTCTTCCATTTGTTTGTATCCTCTTTTATTTCCTTGAGCAGTGGTTTGTAGTTCTCCTTGAAGAGGTCCTTCACATCCCTTGTAAGTTGGATTCCTAGGTATTTTATTCTCTTTGAAGCAATTGTGAATGGGAGTTCACTCATGATTTGGCTCTCTGTTTGTCTGTTGTTGGTGTATAGGAATGCTTGTGATTTTTGTACATTGATTTTGTATCCTGAGACTTTGCTGAAGTTGCTTATCAGCTTAAGGAGATTTTGGGCTGAGACGACGGGGTTTTATAGATATACAATCATGTCATCTGCAAACAGGGACAATTTGACTTCCTCTTTTCCTAATTGAACACCCTTTATCTCCTTCTCCTGCCTGATTGCCCTGGCCAGAACTTCCAACACTATGTTGAATAGGAGCGGTGAGAGAGGGCATCCCTGTCTTGTGCCAGTTTTCAAAGGGAATGCTTCCAGTTTTTGCCCATTCAGTATGATATTGGCTGTGGGTTTGTCATAGATAGCTCTTATTATTTTGACATACGTCCCATCAATACCTAATTTATTGAGAGTTTTTAGCATGAAGGGTTGTTGAATTTTGTCAAAGGCTTTTTCTGCATCTATTGAGATAATCATATGGTTTTTGTCTTTGGCTCTGTTTATATGCTGGATTACATTTATTGATTTGCGTATACTGAACCAGCCTTGCATCCCAGGGATGACGCCCACTTGATCATGGTGGATAAGCTTTTTGATGTGCTGCTGGATTCGGTTTGCCAGTATTTTATTGAGGATTTTTGCATCGATGTTCATCAAGGATATTGGTCTAAAATTCTCTTTTTTGGTTGTGTCTCTGCCTGGCTTTGGTATCAGAATGATGCTGGCCTCATAAAATGAGTTAGGGAGGATTCCCTCTTTTTCTATTGATTGGAATAGTTTCAGAAGGAATGGTACCAGTTCCTCCTTGTACCTCTGGGAGAATTCGGCTGTGAATCCATCTGGTCCTGGACTCTTTTTGGTTGGTAAACTATTGATTATTGCCACAATTTCAGCTCCTGTTATTGGTCTATTCAGAGACTCAACTTCTTCCTGGTTTAGTCTTGGGAGAGTGTATGTGTCGAGGAATGCATCCATTTGTTCTAGATTTTCTAGTTTATTTGCGTAGAGGTGTTTGTAGTATTCTCTGATGGTAGTTTGTATTTCTGTGGGATCAGTGGTGATATCCCCTTTATCATTTTTTATTGTGTCTATTTGATTCTTCTCTCTTTTTTTCTTTATTAGTCTTGCTAGCGGTCTATCAATTTTGTTGATCCTTTCAAAAAACCAGCTCCTGGATTCATTGATTTTTTGAAGGGTTTTTTGTGTCTCTATTTCCTTCAGTTCTGCTCTGATTTTAGTTATTTCTTGCCTTCTGCTAGCTTTTGAATGTGTTTGCTCTTGCTTTTCTAGTTCTTTTAATTGTGATGTTAGGGTGTCAATTTTAGATCTTTCCTGCTTTCTCTTGTGCGCATTTAGTGCTATAAATTTCCCTCTACACACTGCTTTGAATGCGTCCCAGAGATTCTGGTATGTTGTGTCTTTGTTCTCTTTGGTTTCAAAGAACATCTTTATTTCTGCCTTCATTTCGTTATTTACCCAGTAGTCATTCAGGAGCAGGTTGTTCAGTTTCCATGTAGTTGAGCGGCTTTGAGTGAGATTCTTAATCCTGAGTTCTAGTTTGATTGCACTGTGGTCTGAGAGATAGTTTGTTATAATTTCTGCTCTTTTACATTTGCTGAGGAGAGCTTTACTTCCCAGTATGTGGTCAATTTTGGAATAGGTGTGGTGTGGTGCTGAAAAAAATGTATATTCTGTTGATTTGGGGTGGAGTGTTCTGTAGATGTCTATTAGGTCCGCTTGGTGCAGAGCTGAGTTCAGTTCCTGGGTATCCTTGTTGACTTTCTGTCTCGTTGATCTGTCTAATGTTGACAGTGGGGTGTTAAAGTCTCCCATTATTAATGTGTGGGAGTCTATGTCTCTTTGTAGGTCACTCAGGACTTGCTTTATGAATCTGGGTGCTCCTGTATTGGGTGCATATATATTTAGGATAGTTAGCTCCTCTTGTTGAATTGATCCCTTTACCATTATGTAATGGCCTTCTTTGTCTCTTTTGATCTTTGTTGGTTTAAAGTCTGTTTTATCAGAGACTAGGATTGCAACCCCTGCCTTTTTTTGTTTTCCATTTGCTTGGTAGATCTTCCTCCATCCTTTTATTTTGAGCCTATGTGTGTCTCTGCACGTGAGATGGGTTTCCTGAATACAGCACACTGATGGGTCTTGACTCTTTATCCAACTTGCCAGTCTGTGTCTTTTAATTGGAGAATTTAGTCCATTTACATTTAAAGTTAATATTGTTATGTGTGAATTTGATCCTGTCATTATGATGTTAGCTCGTTATTTTGCTCATTAGTTGATGCACTTTCTTCCTAGTCTCGATGGTCTTTACATTTTGGCATGATTTTGCAGCAGCTGGTACCGGTTGTTCCTTTCCATGTTTAGCGCTTCCTTCAGGAGCTCTTTTAGGGCAGGCCTGGTGGTGACAAAATCGGTCAGCATTTGCTTGTCTGTAAAGTATTTTATTTCTCCTTCACTTATGAAGCTTAGTTTGGCTGGATATGAAATTCTGGGTTGAAAATTCTTTTCTTTAAGAATGTTGAATATTGGCCCCCACTCTCTTCTGGCTTGTAGGGTTTCTGCCGAGAGATCTGCTGTTAGTCTGATGGGCTTCCCTTTGAGGGTAACCCGACCTTTCTCTCTGGCTGCCCTTAACATTTTTTCCTTCATTTCAACTTTGGTGAATCTGACAATTATGTGTCTTGGAGTTGCTCTTCTCGAGGAGTATCTTTGTGGCGTTCTCTGTATTTCCTGAATCTGAACGTTGGCCTGCCTTGCTAGATTGGGGAAGTTCTCCTGGATAATATCCTGCAGAGTGTTTTCCAACTTGGTTCCATTCTCCACATCACTTTCAGGTACACCAATCAGACGTAGATTTGGTCTTTTCACATAGTCCCATATTTCTTGGAGGCTTTGCTCATTTCTTTTTATTCTTTTTTCTCTAAACTTCCCTTCTCGCTTCATTTCATTCATTTCATCTTCCATTGCTGATACCCTTTCTTCCAGTTGATCGCATCGGCTCCCGAGGCTTCTGCATTCTTCACGTAGTTCTCGAGCCTTGGTTTTCAGCTCCATCAGCTCCTTTAAGCACTTCTCTGTATTGGTTATTCTAGTTATACATTCTTCTAAATTTTTTTTAAAGTTTTCAACTTCTTTGCCTTTGGTTTGAATGTCCTCCCGTAGCTCAGAGTAATTTGATCGTCTGAAGCCTTCTTCTCTCAGCTCGTCAAAATCATTCTCCATCCAGCTTTGTTCCATTGCTGGTGAGGAACTGCGTTCCTTTGGAGGAGGAGAGGCGCTCTGCGTTTTAGAGTTTCCAGTTTTTCTGTTCTGTTTTTTCCCCATCTTTGTGGTTTTATCTACTTTTGGTCTTTGATGATGGTGATGTACAGATGGGTTTTTGGTGTGGATGTCCTTTCTGTTTGTTAGTTTTCCTTCTAACAGACAGGACCCTCAGCTGCAGGTCTGTTGGAATACCCTGCCGTGTGAGGTGTCAGTGTGCCCCTGCTGGGGGGTGCCTCCCAGTTAGGCTGCTCGGGGGTCAGGGGTCAGGGACCCACTTGAGGAGGCAGTCTGCCCGTTCTCAGATCTCCAGCTGTGTGCTGGGAGAACCACTGCTCTCTTCAAGGCTGTCAGACAGGGACATTTAAGTCTGCAGAGGTTACTGCTATCTTTTTGTTTGTCTGTGCCCTGCCCCCAAAGGTGGAGCCTACAGAGGCAGGCAGGCCTCCTTGAGCTGTGGTGGGCTCCACCCAGTTCGAGCTTCCCCGCTGCTTTGTTTACCTAAGCAAGCCTGGGCAATGGCGGGCGCCCCTCCCCCAGCCTCGCTGCCGCCTTGCAGTTTGATCTCAGACTGCTGTGCTAGCAATCAGCGAGATTCCGTGGGCGTAGGACCCTCCGAGCCAGGTGTGGGATATAGTCTCGTGGTGCGCCGTTTTTTAAGCCGGTCTGAAAAGCGCAATATTCGGGTGGGAGTGACCCGATTTTCCAGGTGCGTCCGTCACCCCTTTCTTTGACTCGGAAAGGGAACTCCCTGACCCCTTGCGCTTCCCAGGTGAGGCAATGCCTCGCCCTGCTTCAGCTCGCGCACGGTGCGCGCACCCACTGGCCTGCGCCCACTCTCTGGCACTCCCTAGTGAGATGAACCCGGTACCTCAGATGGAAATGCAGAAATCACCCGTCTTCTGCGTCGCTCACGCTGGGAGCTGTAGACCGGAGCTGTTCCTATTCGGCCATCTTGGCTCCTCCCCCCGTGACTGTCTTATTCCATTAAACTTTTAGAAAAGTATGTCTATCTCATTCAAAGAGGGTAATGTGCCTAACCTCTAAAGCCTCCTTCCAAGTTGTTCGTTAGTAAACACAATTTTACCTGTAACAGTATCTGAAGACCACTAAAGAATTCACTTATATTATCTAGTATGATTTACATTATCTATAAGATTATTTCACACTTTAGCAGCTATAGTATTTAGCAGTCGATTTAGCAAAGATACTATCTTTTTTGGTACATAAAAATATATAGTTCCTATGGATTGCATAGCTGGTGCCACGTTATTGACTTTTAATGAAAGTTCATGTGTTTTTCAAATGCTTTATCAGCACTTCCAAGGAAGGGACTTTTTTTTTTATTCCATGTACAGTTACTTCCTTTGAGAACTAGAGGGCTGGTGGCTATGATTCAGTCCTCATACTAAAACAAGATTTAATGACAATTTAGATTAAGAAATGAGGCACCAGTATCAGAGTTTGACATGCTTTATTTCTTTTATTCTTTTCTACTCTCCATTCCTTCTCTGGCAAACTTACCATCTTTAGTGTGTGTTCATTATACAGACTGCCCAGTGTAGGTCAATTGATATTATTGTGAAAATAAGATAAAGAAATTCTTACCAACTTTTAATGCATCCTATGATAAAAACACAATAATAGACTATTTTGAGATAAGCAGAATTCTTTCTGAAACACTGATCTGACCAGATCATTTCCCAATTTTTACAATGCCAGTGGCCCCTACAGCAATATTTTGAAAACTTTTAGCACATGAAGACCTCTAAATGGTTAACTGACACAAGTGTGGACTGTGAATTTAAAAATATTCATCATATTTTTAGAATAAGAAAAACAATATATTTTAAAATGTATAACAATGATGATGATGACAGCCATTGCTACTATTTTAGGTTTCATCAGTGAAAAGGTTTAACTTGTTCACACACTTTCATCAAGATATCTATAGCTGACTTGATGACAAACAGCTTAAGTCATTGGTCATATTCCACATCTAGCTGGTTTCTTTTCTTAGCATTTTTAAAACTTAATAGAAAGAAAATAAATTTTTAAAAATTAACTGTCAAGAATGGCAACAGAAATGATCTACCCATTAACTAATGATGCACAAAGTAACAAAATGCAAAAGGCTTTTCAAAAAAACAATGCATTAAGAGCTAAGCTTCTGGCATGTAAATATGCTGCCAAGGAAGGCAGAGAAAAATTAAACAATGAGCCTACACATCAGGTTGGGGTACTTAGGTGAGTCTAGATTTTTGTCTCTATAAGAAAAAAAAAAGTAAAACTTATCTCAAATTTTGAAGGCATAGTGAATGTTATATATAAAATAACTTAATGTTCTAACAAAAATTATTCAAGTTAAAGTACAATTAGATCTCAACTTGAATGATAGAACAAAAAGCCCCCAAAAGGCTAATTTGCATTGCCTGAGTCCAGGAAAAACATACAGTAAACCAGTCAGAGAAAAAAGTCAACATTGAAACAGCTTTCCCGTTAGGGTTATACTCGGATCTAAAGACTTAACAACAGGTCTCTAGAAACACACTGCTTGAATGAGGAGGCATATAAATGAATGTATTTAACTCAGTTCTCATTATGGAAATCACTGTCTAATTTTTTTTTCTAAAAATCACATGATGCTTTAAACTGGAAAACCCCTTAAAATACAAGAAAAAAAAAATCTGTTGAGAATAATGTTTATTTAAATCCCTAACCAATATGCCATTAGAAATTTACCTAGGGGGCTGAACAGTAACTGATTAAGTGAACTAGTTAAACACTAACAAAAACACAAGAGGAAAAAGAATAGGAAGAAATCTCATGCACAGACCCTGAAGTACTGCTTTAGTAATATCACAGCTGCATTAGGGCTCACTAATTGGCAACAACCTAAAGAAATAAATAAGCATTCAAAGAAATGGGGCAGGGCTATTGGTATATATCACAGGACTTGAAAATAGTCCCTTTAAAAAATGTATTTCAGTTTTACAGCGATATATTGTATTTTTGCAAGGCTGGAACCAAATGTACAAAAAATTCAACATTATGCCTAACACACATCAGCAGATATTCATCCTGTGGTCATTTAAACTTTACTTGCATTCAACAGCAAATACTAAGAGCCTATTATATGCCACTTCTTACTTCCATACCCGCATCCTGCTTCCCTTCTTGTACTGGTTCATCCATTCTAGATCTGCCAATAAGTCACATAAACTCTTTCACATCCCATTTCACCTATTTGTCTGATAGTACATTACAGCGGAAGCCCTGATAATTAATCAACATTTGTAGGAACTTTCTATCTAGCAACTTGTGCCTTCATTTTGCTTCTATTTTGTTTTCCCACTCAATTAAGTCCAGTGGCCAAGAAGCAAATGTAGTTGGAGTAGCCCTCCCATCTAAGAAACTATCCAGGAGAGTCCTGGATAGTATCTATCCAGGAGAGTCCTGGATAGTATCTATCCAGGAGAGTCCTGGATAGTATCTATCCAGGAGAGTCCTGGATAGTATCTATCCAGGAGAGTCCTGGATAGTATCTATCCAGGAGAGTCCTGGATAGTATCTATCCAGGAGAGTCCTGGATAGTATCTATCCAGGAGAGTCCTGGATAGTATCTATCCAGGAGAGTCCTGGATAGTATCTATCCAGGAGAGTCCTGGATAGTATCTATCCAGGAGAGTCCTGGATAGTATCTATCCAGGAGAGTCCTGGATAGTATCTATCCAGGACCACATTATGCTTTAGTGTACTCTTAGTTTGACCCCTGGGACACTTATTCAGGGCAGCTATTCTGTTGATATGCATCTGTATGCCATACCAGTTTGCTAAATACTGAAATACTTCAGTAGCTACAGATAAATAACCACTTTTTCCTCAGGACTCTCCTCCCCCACCTCACCCTACCCTAGAAACTCCTGAACTTACCCATGATCCAGCGGCTGGAATACCAGGAGGCTCCAGGACACTGCCCCAGTGCTATGTCTGACAGCCAATATCACTGGGCAGTGCCTGCATTGTTTTGAATCTCATCCCTGCACTCATTTCATTTAGTGATCCACTGCTTTGGTTCCTGTTCACAGCAGGTTAAAACTTGAAGGTGTCTAACACGCAGGAAGGACAACAAAGAAGAAACTCTATCCCGACTCTGCTGAGAGCTAGACAATAAAAGGGGTGGTGAAGGATGTGGGAAATGGAACTGCAAGAACTCCAACAAATCTATGATATTGAAATGAAGTTTGAGAGTTATGAGAAAAAAACAGGAAGGTTGGGCATGGCAGAAAGGCATAGGGAAAGCTGTGGAGACAAGCATGAATTCAGATTCTAACACCTCCTTCTGACTCTTTACTCCCAGTGGATACAGCTCCATCTTTACTGGGTTGTGGCTATTTTCTTGGGGTGTATCTCTTGTAGTCCTCTTATTCCCAGCATCTGCTCAAATCTGGAAGTTCCTGACTCAACTCACTTTCATGACCAGTGGAACCAGGGTGCTAACTGACAGAGTTATCAAAGTAACCAAAACAGCATGAGGACTTTGGCTTGGTATCTGCAGGCTCCCACTGGACTAAGATGCCACAGAAAGCAATGTGGCAATGAAGTAAAGGGGCTAGATTTGACAAAGTTGCTGAGAGGGCTCCCCACAAAAAGTAAACAGCGCCCCACTCCCTTACTTGTTCTTCATTCCTTCCTTCTCAATTGTACACATTTATGGGACTGACAAGAGAATGGGGAATGTGATGGGTAGGGAGACACTGCCCTAAAATGCATATTACATACCACAGTGTTGGGAAATCCTTTGGGTAGCACGATCCTGCCTAATAACTTCTAATTGTTGTTTTAGAAGCAGCAATTCTCCAGTTCTTCTGTCCTAAGTCTACATTGGTTTCTATTAATTTCCAGAAGGAAACTGGGCACACAAGACTAGCAATTATTCTTTAGTGGGGGGAAAATTTCAAGACAGAAAATACCAATTGTGAGATTCTCCTTGGATTCATAGGAATTGTGTGATGTCATGGACAGAAAAATAAGTTTCAAAAAAGCATATATATATATATCTATATATATATATCTCATGTGGGAATTACTTAAAGACACAGTTGCACCTGTGCACACCAATGTATGTGTGTTATTCATTGCAGCACTGTTTGTAGTAGCAAAAACCCAGAAACAATGAAAGTATCTAGTAATAGGGAAATAGTGCAAGCAAAGAAGTAGACTGATGTGTACTGAAATAGAAATGTATCCCAGACATATTATATGAAAAAAGCAAGTCACAAAATAAGCAGAATATGTCTTTTTTTAAATGTGTGTCTGTATATGTGACTGGATAGAGAAAGAACTGGAAGGATCATACTGAATTCTTTTTGGTGGTTGTCTCTGGAGTGGGAAGAACAAGGGAGACTTTCACATTTTAAAAACCTGTGTATTGTTTGAATCTTTTATAGTGAGACATATTTATGTGTTATGTAAGTGATTTTGAAAAGAAAAAATACTAGCAATGCAACTGGAAGAACAGAGACAGGACATTGCAAGGAGCAGACTTATGTTCTGGGAGGCAGATTACTGGGATACTTGTGGACAAAGTAGGTGATAGTTTCTGGTCAACACTAAGAGGGAAAGCCCTGAGAGGAAGAACGCTTATTCAGTTTTTAAATAAGAACAAAGTGTGATCAGACCTATTATCCTGCAGTGAGAAGATGTGGATTCCAATCCTAGCTCCATAACTCACTAGTTGTGTCACCTTGGGCAACTGCCTTAATCTCTGTGGGTTTACAGGTTTTCCATCTGTAACATGAAGGTGTATTAGTAAATATAATGTTAAGGTCCCTTCCAAATTCATACTGTATCATTTTAGCGATGATTTTTTGTTTGGTCACTCATATATTGGATTGAATGACTTCTGAGAGGCCCTTATCTTTGAAGAATTCCAAATGATATTTTGATTGCATAGCTAACTGAGAATGTTCTACTGGCAAGATCATAAAATGGTGCTACCAATCCTTAGAAAAGCTCATCAGTGAGGTACAGGACAATCTAGTATCTCACTGAGACCCAACATTTCTGGCATGTGGTTAACTACACAGAGCTATACTCATACGGCTACAGTATCTCTGGATTACCTGTTAGCCCCAGATCTTAGAAACATATGGCACATACCCCCTGAAGCATTACAGCAACTGCTTCCTCTACCACGTGTCATGAATTGGAACAAAGTGGAGCCGAAAGTATATTTCCTTCAAGAAAGGACCAAAGTGGTTTTATTAAATGAAAATGGGGAACCTCTGGATTCAGCTCCTGCAAGCAAAGAACTTAGAAGTTATTGCTCTCACCCTTACAAGAAAAGGTTGGATAAACCAAAAAAAATCAATGATCTTTCTTGGACTCATTGGAGAACTGAGGTTGCAGAGGAAACTGCCACCCCAAAATCTGAAGAGAGAAGCTTATTCAAAGAGACACAGCTGAGATCTGCTTACCTGGAGTAGAAATGGCTGGAGCTGGTAGAAACACAAATGGCAACTTGAACAAGCTGCTGAAGGCTGAGTGTGGACTGGCGTGAGTACAAGAAACTCTTGGGGACCACGGTCTTAGGGGAGCTCCCACACCAAAGCTCTACATCCAGGAACCCCACCAAGTTCTCACAGTGAAGATCTAAGAATCCCTCCTGGCTCTGACAAGGGGAGGGAAAGAGAAATCATTGTGAAACTTGCCAGATATTTCTCCATAACAAAGGCCTCAGGGGAAAATACTTTGCCTGAGCCTTATCCCAGTTGGGAGAAGGACATTCCTCCCACTCCCATCCCATCTAGCCTTCTTATCTCACCTAAAGCAGGGGAACATACTCAACAAGGTGCAGGGCTTCAAGTAAACACATTGGGAATGCTGCAGTCAAAGAAGAGAGTAGAGGGCAGGGAGGACAAAAAGTATACTACTGGAGAAAAATGTATGAAGGTCACAGCCACAAAACACAGTTCCATCAAACAGTGACATTTAATCAGAGGATTATAAAATTACCACCTCCCCCATACTTCACCACCACCTCATCAGGGCTCCAGTATAATAATAGTGGATCACAGTTGAAAGAGCTGCAAGACACAGACTCTCTAGAGGAGTTGTCCTCAGGGAAACTCACAATCAAGAGGAGAGACAAAAACAAGCACACTAGAGGAATTTGAAGCCTCTGGCACCTAGATACACCAAACATGAAATACAGCCCAAGTCCTAGCCAGTTTGCTGTAAATCCTAACACAATGGAATTGAGCTATTAATAGAAGCCAATAACAGAAAAATAGCTGGAAAATCCTCAAATACCTGGAAATTAAACAACATATTTCCAAATAACTTGTAAGTCAAAATGTCTCAAGACAAATTTTAAAATATTTTGAAATAAATGAAAATATAATATATGTGAGAAGTAACATTGAGGGATGCAGCAAAATCAGTGCTTAGAGGGAAATTTATAGGCTTAAATGTATATATTAGGAAAGAAGATCTAAAATCAATAACCTAAGCTTCCATCTTAGGGAACTAGGAGAAGAAGAGAACAATATAAGCCTAAAGCAAACCAAAGACAATAAGAAATTTAGAACAGAAATCAATAAAATTGAAAAAATAGAGAAAAATCAACAAAAGCAGGTTCTTTGGAAGGATCAACAAAATTGATAGACTACTATCCAAGCTAACCAAGAAAAAAAAGAGCGGAGACACAAATTACCATATCAGAAATGAAGAAGATGTCATGACTCCCGGTCTCTCAGACATTAAAAGGATAATAAAGAAATACTATGAACACAAATTTACTAACAGGTGAAATGGACCAACTACTTGAAAGACACAAACTACCAAAACTTACACAGGAGAAACAGAAAAATCTGAAGAGCCCCACATCTATTATTATTATTTTTTCACTGATTAACTGAATATAATTGACATTTATCAACTTCTTCATCCAACAACAGCAGAATACACAGTCTTCTCAAGTTTACACATATTTTGTAAGATACACCACATCCTGGGCCACAAAACACACTTTAAAAAGATTAAAAATCATACAAAGTTTGCTCTCTTACCAAACTGGAATTAAACTAGAGATTAATTAATTAAACAAAGAGAGCTAGAAATCCCAAAATACACAAAGCTTAAACAACCCACTTCTATTTTTCCTCCACCTCTATGAAGGTACAACTGACAAATAAGGTGTACACGTTTTTATATACGTATACACTGTAAATTATTAAATCAAACTAAATACATTCATTATCTCACATGCTTATTTTTTGTGGTGAGAACATTTAAAATACATTCACTTAGCAATTTTCAGGCATACAATACCTTATTATTAACTATCATCGTGTTGTAAAATAGACCTGCAGAACTTAAATGTATTCCCTATTATTATTATTGAATCAAAAATTAATAACCTTGCCAAAAAGAAAGCACCAGGCCCCCATGGTTTCACTGGTAAGTTCTACCAAACATTTAAGGATAAAATTATACCAATTTTCCCCAATCTCTTCCAGAAAACTGTAGCGGAGAGAACACTTCCTAAGTTACGCTATGAGGCCAACATTAAACGATATGAAAACCAAACAGAGACATTACAAGAAAGGAAAACTACAGATTAATACCTTTCATGAACATAGATGTAAAAATCCTTTTAAAATATTAGAAAATTGAATTCGACATTGCATAATATCAGTTATCTCCAACCAAGTGGAATCCCAACCAAGTGGAATTTATTCCAGGTATGCAAAGCTGGAGCAACATTTCAAAAATCAATGTAATCTAGCATAACAATAGGCTAAAGAAGAAAAGTCATATGATATCCATTGACAACAAAAAAGCATTTGACATAATTCATAATTTAATATCCATTCATGATTAACTCTCAGCAAAGTAGGAATAAAGTATAATTTCCTCAACTTAATAAAGAACATCTACCAAAAAAGGCCCTACAGCTAATATCACAGTTAATAGTGAGAAACTAGACTCTTTTCCCCTAAGAGCAGGAACAAGGCAAGGATGTCTTCTCTTACCATTCATCTATTCAACATCTTAGCTAGTAAAGTAAGACAACAAAAGGTAATAAAAAGTATACAGGTTGGAAAGAGAGAAATAAAACTGTCTTTATTTGCAGATGACATAACTGTCTATGTAGAAAATCCCAAAGAATCCTAAAAAAATCCTGAAGGGGAAAAAACCCAACCTCTTAGAACTAATAAAGACAACATAGTAAGACTCCAGGATATAAAGTCAATATACAAAAGTCAATTGCTTTCCTTATACCAGTAATGAACTAGAATTGCAAATTTTAAAAAGCAATACTATTTACAATAGTCACCCCACCCCACTCCAAATTAAATACTTAGAGGTCGAAATCTAAGAAAATATATACAAGATCTATATGCAGAAAACTACAAAATACTGATTAAAGAAACTAAAGATCTGAATAAATAGTCAATGTTCATGGGATGTAAAACTCAGTATTATTGAGATTTCAATTCTTCCCAGCTTGATCTATAGATTCAACACAATCCCAACAGAAACCCAAGCAAGTCATTTTGCAGCTACAATAAACTGATTCTAAAGCTTCTGTGGAAAAGCAAAACATCTAGAGTATCCAACACAATGTTGAAGCTGAACAGTTGGAAGGCTCACACTACCTCATTTCAAGATTTACCATAAAGCCATAGTAATCAGGACAGCATGGTATTGTCAAAAGAAAAGATGCATAGACGAAGAGAACAGAATAGAGAGCCCCAAAATAGACCCACACAAATACAGTCAATTAATCTTTAAAGAAGGCGCAAAGGCAAATCAGTGGAGAAAGGACAGTGTTTTTAACAACCAGTGCTGCAATGACTAGGCATAAGTATGTTAAAAAGATAATCTAAACAAAGACTTTCCTCCTTTTATAAAAATTTACACAAAATGTACCATTGACCTAAATGTAAAATGCAAAACTATAAAACTTCTGGAAGATATCATAGGAGAAAATCTACATGATTTTGGATTCAGTGATGACTTTTTATATACAATACAAATAGCATGATCCAGGAAAGAAAAAAAATTAATAAGTTAGACTTCACTAAAATTAAAAATTTCTGGTTTGCAAAAACTACTGTAAAGAGTATAAAAAGACAAGCCACGGCCAGGCGCAGTGGCTCACGCCTGTAATCCCCGCACTTTGGGAGGCCGAGGTGGGCGGATCACGAGGTCAGGAGATGGAGACCATCCTGGCTAACATGGTGAAACCTCGTCTCTACTAAAATACAAAAAATTAGCCAGGCGTGGTGGCAGGCACCTGTAGTCCCAGCTACTCAGGAGGCTGAGGCAGGAGAATGGCGTGAACCCAGGAGGCGGAGCTTGCAGTGAGCCAAGCGAGATGGAACCACTGCACTCCAGCCTAGTCAACAGAGCGAGACTCCATCTCAAAAAAAAAAAAAAAAAAAAGCCAAGAAGACAAGCCACAGACTAGGATAAGACATTTACAAAATATATATCTGATAAAGGACTGGTATCCAAAATACAAAGAACTAAAACTCAACAATAAAAAAAATCCCAATTTAAAAATGGGCAAAAAACCTGAACCTCACCAAAGAAAGATGTACATATGGCAAATAGCACGTGAAAAGATGTTCAACATCATTTGTCATTAGAGAAATGCAAATTAAAACAATGAGATACCACTACATACCTATTAGAATGGCTAAAATCCAAAACACTGACAATACCAAGGATGCAAACTAACAGGAACTCTCATTCATAGCTGGTAGGAATGCAAAATGGTATAGCCACTTTGGCACTTTGGCAGACAGTTTGGTGGCACTTTTTTTTATGAAACAAAACAAAACAAAACATAGTGTTACCATATGATCCAACAATCGCACCCCTAAATACTTACTTACTTGATTTGAAAATTTATATCCACATAAAAACCTGCACACAGGTGTTTGTAGCAACTTCATTCATAATTGCCCCCAACAGTAAGCAACCAAGATGTCCTTCAGTAGATGAATGGATAAACAAACAGTAGTATATACAGACAATGGAATACTATTCAGCAATAAGAAGGAATGAGCAATAAATCCACACAAAGACATGGATGAATCTTAAATGCATATTGGTAAGTGAAAGAAGCTAATCTAAAAAGGTTATATTCTGTATGATTCCTTTTACATGATATTATGGTAAAGGCAAATTTATGGAGACAATAAACAGGTCAGTGGTTGCCATGGACTCAAGAGAAGAAGGGATTGAATAGGTAATGCACAGGGGACTTGTTAAGGCAGTGAAACTATTCTACATGATACTGTAATAGTGGATACACTATATATTTGTCAAAACTTATAGAACTTCACAGCACAAAGAATGAACATAATGTATGCAAATTAAAAAAATCATTTAGGAGACTGAAGATCCCAGGATAGAATGCAGCATGTGAAAAAAGAATCTAACTGCATCACAAATTTATAAAACAGCCTCAATGAAAGGGATAAAGGTGAAAAGTGCTGACCCAGGTAACTGTGAAAATGAATAAAATTTGTAAGATTAAAGCAAAAGGAATGATGCTGCACTCTTGATAAAGTTGTCTCTTATGGAGGGTATGGGTTAACAATTCTGAAACCACTATACATGTACAGTCATGCATTACTTAATGATGGGGATACATTCTGAGAAATGTGTTGTTAGGTAATTTCATCATCGTGCAAACATCATAGAGTGTACTTACATAAACCTAGATGGTCTAGCCTACTACACACCTAGACTGTATGGTATAGCCTATTGCTCTTAGGCTACAAACCTGTACAGCATGTTATTCTACTGAATACTGTAGTCAACTGTAACATAATGGTAAGTATGTGTCTAAACATAGAAAAGTACAGTAAAAATTTGGTACTATTTATACCACAAACTATTAAAACGTGGTATCATATATGCAGTCTGTAGTTGACCAAAATGTCATTATGTAGCATATGACTACATACCAGAAGTAAACAGTTAAGTAACAGATTGTGAGTGGTAGGAACCAGGTTTCTCACTGTTGGAGTAGGAGGTTATAGACAAGCAAAGGGAGGAGGCTAGAGTGATCCATGTGGTAATAGATTAGAATTAGAGACATGAGTATGATCTCATGTTTAGCTTACCGTAGATACAGGTGGTTACATATACATATATTCATAGATATATGTATATGTGTGTATATATGTATGGGTCAGAATACACATATTTCCTTACTGCATTGGCTAACAGGGCCTAGAAGCAACAAATGCCTCAGTAGAAAGGAGCATACCTAGTATCCATGTATCCATATCATGGCTTCTAATACCATTTTCCAATAAAAGGAACCAGGGTTCCTTGGAGAAATGGCTGATTCTAGCACTGGGGCAGGAAATATATAATATGAGCCTAGAGCATGTTGTAGTGCCAAAAAATAAGGATATGCTCAAAAAAGACCCCACAATGATAGGAGTTTGTCAAAGGGAAATGGAGTCAATTGAAAGAGTTCCCAGTAGCCAAAGCTGGAACAATTTGACCAACAAAATGTAGTAATGGATTATAACTCAAAGCACAAAATAAATGAGTCCATACTGATATAAATGATTTAATAGATAAATAAATGGGAAAGAAAAAGACAAATCTCCCATGTAAAACAATTCCAAATAATTTCTGTAGATATTTCACCCTCATGGAGGTGAAACCTAACTTCCTAGTCCTACGTGTGAGCTAAACCAGGGGGTCCCCATCCACGGGGCCATGGACTGATACCAGTCTGTGGCCTGTTAGGAACCAGTCCGCGTAGCAGGAGGTGAGCAGAGGGCGAGCAAGCATTACAGCCTGAGCTCCACCTCCTGTCAGATCAGTGGCGGCATTAGATTCTCAGAGGAGCACGAACCTTATTTGTGAACTGCGCATGCGAGGGATGTAGGTTGTGCACTCCTTATGAGAATCTAACTAATGCCTGATGATCTGAGGTGGAACAGTTTCATCTCAAAACCATCCTCACCCCCCACCGCCGGTTTCGTTGAAGATGAAATTGTCTTCCATGAAACTGGTCCCTGTCCCTGGTGCCAAAAATGTTGTGGACCGCTGTTCTACGCAGTGACTTCCTTCCGAAGAGTACAGTATGGAAAGAAGAAAAAATAGTTTTACAGTGGATAAACCTGGCAAACATTACACCTCAGCCAGGTGATCAAGGTCAACATCAACAGTGATAAGTCATATTGATAGTATGTGCTCCTTAATAAGACATAATGAGAAAGACACTCCACCTCTGCGGTCTTCATCTCCAAAATTCCATTGTAATCTTGAGAAAAACATCAGACAAATCCCAATTGAGAGACATTCTACAAAATACCTGACCAGTACTCTTCAAAACTGTTAAGGTCATCAAAAACAAGGAAAGTCTGAGAAACTGTCACAGCCAAGAGGAGCCCTTAGCTCCTTAGAGACATGAAGAATATGTAATATAGTATCCTGGATGAGACACTTAGGTAAAAACTAAGTAAATCTGAAGAAATTATGTACTTTAGCTAATTAAAAAAAAAGTAAGTGGGGGAAAAATTAGAGGACATCAATTCTAAAATTTGGCCGTTTTCCTAATTAAGTAACCTAAATGAACCCTTTAAAGCCTGTGGACATCATCATAGGTTTCATTTTAAAGATCCAGCATATTACATTGATGTGGTTTATAGCCCTGCAGAGCTTTCCATATGGGCCACTTTTTTTTTAAGTTCAAAAGGCAACAGTAATGTTTGCCATTCTTCCAGGCTAAGTGTTTAGGGACGTTCAAGTGTTATAAGAATGATTAATTTCAAAATACCTTTTCTTTTCGTTCCCACACAATCCACACAGTTGCTCTAGTCAGATAGCTTGAGGGAAGCCTAACTGAAGTGATAATAGTAGATTTCTCCATGAGCTGGAACCCAAGATATTTTACTTTGTTTTCAGTTTCTCTCTGGAGAAAAACTATGACATATTTTTACAGTGTGGCAAAACAAATAGAAATGTTTTGCAATTTACTTGGCAAATTTCAAGTACCCTCAGGTTTTTTATTCTATCACATTTGAGTATTAAGATTTTTTTTCTTCTCCTGGATTTTGGTAGGTTATGTTGAAACTCAGCAGGCAGTATGGGGGAACACAGCCTACCCAATAATATGCTTAGGCTTTGAAGTCATCCCTGACTCTTTTCTATTTTATTTCCCATATCTAATTGGTCCTATCAGTTCCCCCTCTGAAATTTGTCCAGAACTTATTTCTTCCTCTACATTCCTGCTGTCTTCATTCAGGCCTTTTGATCTTTTGCCTAGATTACAAAAAAACAAGTTTCACTCACTGGTCTTCTCGTCTCCAACCTACACTACTCAAGCCACCCTCCACACTGCCAAAAATTCTCTAAAACTCAAATGTGATCATATCATTCCTCTGCTTTTAGTTCATTTGATGGTGCTTTGGTTACAAATGAGGTCGAAAAGTGTACACAATCTGGACCCCACCTAGATTTCTAACTAGATCTCCTCCTACCCTAGCCCCTGCAGTCTTCCTTCTTGCTCCAACTGCCACCACCCTTCCCACCCCAGGGGGCCTCAGACCTCAAACCCACAGACTCTGTTTCTTGAATATAAAAGGCTCTCTCATGCTGCTGGACCTTTATCTGTGTTGCTCTCCCTGCCAGGAATGTCTCTTCATTCAACAGTTAGGGAGTAGCAAGGCACACTAGGTAGAAAGACAGGGAGGTGAGGAAAAAAGGGGAATCGAAGAGCATTACTAAAACAGCACAGTGCTAGGCTCATATCTGGGTGTTCCATAAGTATCAAATGAGTAAGTGAATGAATGAATGAATGAATGCACTGCTGACCATAAGGTGCAGGCTGCAGAGGCAGGCAAGTGAGAACAGATGGACTATGAGAACAGTCCTCCGTGTTTTTCTGTTACTCAAACTCTTTTTCTATTCCCTCCACCTTCTTTCACATCTCTATGTTTATGTTTCTTCTAATTTACAAACTACTATAACACTACCTCAGATGCATTTAACCATGCCATGCATAATTTATTTATTCATTCCTCATAAATCAAGCCCTCTAGCCATCTGGAAAACAAGAACCACTTTTATTGCCTTTCAAGCCCCTTCTCACTAATCTTTTTAGTACGTGCTATTGTGCCTGGTACAAAATGTAGTATTTTATGCAGTTTCACCTCTGAATATCAAGGACATTGTGACCTTTTTGTTGTCGTTGTCTTTATTAGGAAATCCCATGTGAAAACATTAAATAAAGTAAGAGCAATTAGAAAGCAAAGCAAGAAAGTTATATCACTACAGAGTGGGCTATAAGTGGGCTGATTTTCGTGTTTGTCTCATGAAAAGCAGCCTCATTATTTTATGGTTAGACCTTGTAAACTAGAAGCAGTAGTTCTCCTGTAAAGGCTAATGAAAAGTGATGAAGGACTATTCATGTGAAAACACATTCTACAATCATAGGTAATGTCAAAATCTCATTCTGCTTCAGTTTTCTAGTCTATGAAATGAGAATAATACATAGTCACTTGCCCCAATCATCTACTGAGAGCAACATGAACACACAAAGTACTTTGCAGTTATAGATGATGGATACCATTTTCTATTAGAAGTAACAATGATTAACCACTCTGGTTTAACCAGAAGACTTTAAGTAGAGGTAGCCAATGTAAGCTTATGAATCCCCCTAACTGACCACTTCACTAAAGTCAGTGATTGGTGTAACTGACTCAGTATGGTTATAACTACACATAAGCAGAAGCAATATGCTAACACAGTTCTCTTTGGTAGAAGTAGGCAGATGACCACTAACTACTATACCATGAGTACCCTTCCTTTATGAACTTTAAATTCAGGGGCCCTCTCCTACTGTCCCTTTCCTGACATATCTTCCCAAGGCAAATTCCTTGTTATTCTTTTTAACCTGTGGCTTTTATACTGGTATGTTCACCCCAAATTAGTCACCTCCTCAGAGAAACCTTCCCTGACCTTCCTAACTAAAGTATTATTCCCCAGTTATAATCTATTGTCATTCAGTTTATTTCCATCCTAGTACTTATCATGATGGGTAATTAACTAAGTAATCTTTTTACTCGTTTACTGCCCTCCCCAGCTAGCTCTAAGTTCTAGGTCAATATTTGTCTTAATCCCACCACTGTATCCCCAGTGCCTACAATAGAGCCTGGTTCACAGCAGGTGCTCTAAAACTATTTGTTGAATGAATTGATGAAGGAGTTTCATCCTTACAGTGACAATAAGGTTAATTAAAACTTATTAGCATGACATTCAAGGCCCGACTGTAAGATCCTTTGAGGTGGCCGCACAATGGTCAAGCCATTGTGACATTCCCCTGCCCTTGTGATAATGTACTTTGTGATATTCCCCATCCTTGTGAATGTACTTTGTAACATCCTCCCTGCTCTTGAGAATGTACTTTGTAACATCCATCCCCTGCCCGCAAAAAATTGCTCCTGACTCCACCGCCTATCCCAAACCTATAAGAACCAATGATAATCCCACCACCCTTCACTGACTCCTTTCTCGGACTCAGCCCACTTGCACCCAAGTGAATAAACAGCCTTGCTGCTCACACTAAGCCTGCTCAGGTGATCTCTTATACGGATGCACATAACACCAACTATCTGGACTTACATTCTGCCTTTTTATATCTCCATATATTCTGCCTGTTGATATCTCTGTAAAAGCATACTTTCTGCCTGAAGTGTTCTTCCTACCAAATAACTAATCTTTCAAGACCTCGCTCCAAAACATCTTTTCTATGAAATCTCCAGTCCTTCGCAGAAACACACCCACACATGAAATGCTTATTCTGCTAAATTCCTATAAAAGCTATAGAACTTATAATACAGGGTTGTAGCAATAATAATAATAAAATAATGATACTGAACATGTTATTGAGCACTTAACTGTATGCCAGGTATAGTTATAAGCACTATATATGTATTATCTCATTTAATCCTGAAAATAACTCTAAGGGGTAGGAACTATCATAAGTATTTATGTGGCTATTTAGCTAGCTATAATCAACTTCATGAAGGCAGGGATGGTATCTTCAAGCCTTGCTAATTCCCAGAGCTCAGCAAAGTGTCTACAATGTCTTATGTACTTAATATGAATTTGCTGCATAATGAATTTGACAGCAGTTCCTTGTCCTCTGTCTACTTTTACAATGGCAATCCCAGTTAAAGAACCAGACAGAGTTTTAAAGTAATTATACAAATGTAATCTTAAAGTGATACTGTCCTTTCTAAGTACAATAAGGAATTCAGAAGTCATAAAGGAAAGGGGCAATATACATGGCTATATAAACATTTTAAATATCTGTAAATTTAAAAAAAAGTTAAAAGAGACAAACTAGAAGTGGATAAAATACATTTAACCTACATCAGACAAAAGAGTAATAATAGTATATGAAGGGCTCTGGTAAAGAAATAAAAACAAATAATCAGCCTATTAGAAAAATAGGAACATCACATGAACAGGAAACTTTCAGAGAAAGAAACTGAAACGGTTTGTAAACATATAAAAATATGCTCAACCTCATTAATTAAATAAATGAAAATTAAAATGAGATTTATTTATCCTATCATATTGTAAAGATGAAAAAAGAATGGTAATGTCAGCACTGCTAAGATTGTGGGGAAATAGGCATTCTCATACACTTATGCGACAAAAATACTCTCATATGCCTAGAAGACATAGATGCAAGGTTGTTTGTTGCAGCATTGTTTGTAACAGCAAAAGATCAGAAAAACTGAAATGTGCATCAATAGAAGCTTGGTTAAATAAGCCATGGCACAAACATACCATGAAATTGTATGCAGCCATTGAAAAGAATATGCAGCTAGGTAACCAGATAACCAAGGAGGGGGATTTTAATTTTACGAATGCATTCCAGTTAATAAAAAATCCAATTATAGAAAGAGGAAACGATTTCAACATATACTTCATCAAACAGTATATAAGGTGGGCAGATATGCACATGAAATGCTATTCAACGTCATTAGCCATTAAGGAAATTAAATTGAGACAATGATGAGATAACACTACATACGTATTATACTAGGATGGCCAAAATACCAAGTGCTGTTAAGGGTGCAGAGCAAGTAGAACTCTCATACATAGCTAGTTCAGATGCAAAATGGTACCGGCACTCTGGTTTGTCAGTTTCTTATAAAGTTAAACACATTTACCATATGACTAAGTGATCCTACTCCTGGGTATACTACTCAGCAAGAAGAAGAAATGAACAACTTAGATATATCTCCAAGGCATTAATCTGAGTGAAAGCAGTCTCAAGGAGTGACATACTATGTGATTCCATGTACATGACATCATTGAAAAGAAAAGAAACTATAAGGACAGAGAAAAGATCACTGGTACCAGGGGTTAGGGAGGAAGGAGGTCTGACTGCAAAGGAGTGGCAAGAGGGAATTCTTTAGGGAGTTGAACTGTTCTGTATCCTGTCAGTGGTGGTAGTTACAATAATCTAGCCATTTGTTAAAAACTCACAGGACTGTGTGCTAGAAAATAAAATTAAAAAAAAATAAAATTTTATTGTACATAAATTTTAAAAAATTAAGATAAATTATCATCACCAATAATGATACCTCCTACTTCTCGGTCTAAGGGAGGAACATCATCTCTCATGGAGAAATCCATAGCGGTTGCTGGAATGTCCATCAGGTCTTCATCACTGGAGCTGTTCTGGAAGCTACTAAAACTCCCCTGCTGAAAGCCTCTGTTATCCATGGCACCTGTGCAGAAAGAAAAATAGGAGGCTTATAACAATGATCTTCAAGTCCCTTACACGTAACATTTGCCATTTGAACCATTTTGAAGTATACAATTCAGTAGCATTGAGTACACTTACTATGTGCAACTATCACGACTATCCATTTCCAGAACTATTTCATCATCCCAAACAGAAATTCTGTACCCAACAAACAGTAACTCCCCATCCCCCAGGCCCTGGTAACCTCTATTATACTTTTTGTCTCTATAGATTTGCTGATTCTGGATATTTCATATAAATGAAATCACACAATATGTGACACTTTGTGTCTGGTTTCTTTCACTTAGCGTAATATTTTCAACATCCATCCATGTTACAGCATGTATCAGCACTTCATCAATTTTTATGGCTGAATATTATTTCACTGTATGGATAGACCACATTTTGTTTATCTATTCATCAGCTGATGGACATCTGGGTAATCTTCACCTTTTGGGTTGGCACTTAGTCTTATGTCTTCTTTCATGCTCTTGCATGAATATATTCATGCAAACTAAATATATTCAGTTACCCTCTAGATATAATGTACCTCTAGCATTACCATGTAGTTGATGGCAATATTTGAGAACCATTCAAATGAGTATAAAACCAAATGAGGGCATGTGTACAAACATAACAGTAGTTCACAAGTAATCAACTGAAATAAAAACTAGACATCAGTATTGAGAAATGTGCTGGCCATTTGAGAATGGGGAAAAAAAATTATCTTATTCTTCTGACTCTCCCAGACGTCTTAATACAGTGTATATGCACAGAAATACTAGATGACTGACATGGGGAAAAGAAACATAGTGTGCCATTCAATGCTGTTCTTAAGAATTTAATATTAAAGATGAAAAATGTTCTTCATCCCAAGTGTAATTTTTCAGATTGTAAATTTTACTTAAAAAATATTAGTATACTGATTTATTTAGTTTTTAAAAGCATTATGGCCAACTTTATGTAGGCCCACCCTCCCTATTTCTTAAAGAAAATCTTAGTCAAAAATCATACCCAGAAAAGTTCTACTGAATTACACAAATATTATTTGTTTTAAACTTTCCAACTCTTTAAAGAAACTTCTTTTCCTAGGTTGTCAGAACTAAGAGTGATGAATGTGGTAAAAAACAAATAGGATAAATCAAGTAAGAGGCCTAAAAAGCAGGCCTTAAATATTCAGCAAAAAGGAGAAAGAACCAACATTTACCAGGTACATGTCAATTTCTAGGCACTGGGCTATGTGCTTAAAATGAATTATTTCCTTTAATTTTTCCTACATTCCTATGCTATGGCATTATCACTCCTAGTGTAGATAAGGAAACTGAAAGCTGCAAAAGGCTAACTTGCCCAGTTAGTGTTGTTGTTGTTGTTGTTTTTAAAGTTAAGGTCCAAATCATGTGTTCAATTTCACAATACCTCATTTGTGATAAAGAGACCAGCTTGACCGAAGTGTGAGTGACATTTATGAACACCTACTATGCATGAATCATTGTGGCATAGTGGGCCAGATACAAAAATGATGCTGGATAGGCCAGATGAGATGAAGATTGATTGGCAAAGACTTGGGAGTTAACAACATCAAGGTGATGATTGAAACTAAGAGAACAGATACCCCAAGGGAAATTTCCTATATAAATGTTTGAGGTAATGGATATGCTAATTACTTTGATTTGATCATTACACAAAGTATACATGTATTGAAACATCACACTGTACCGCATAAATATGTACAATTATATGTCAATTTAAAATAAAATTTAAAAAGAAATGCAATCTCAATGTTCTTTAGCATGCACAAGTAACTTGAAATCTGTGCAAATGTGAACTAAATAATAGGTTATTCTGGAACACTACCATGCATACATGATGATATATGGTCAGGTAGGGAAGGATACAAAGTTACCCCAAGGTACTAATAACGTACAAAATTATTGACCATAAAACAACTTCCTCAGCTACAAAAGTTAACCTTGATGTGTGGATCAAATGGGTGCTGGGATACTAAGAAGCCATGTTTTATAGCCTCAGCCAAGCTCCCTTGCTGCTCACCAATCCAACCTTGCTGGACTTTTCTGCCATTCATTATCCTGCTTTCTTCAATCCCTTTCTCCGGAGAGGACTCCCTCAGTAAAGGACTCACACAAAATCCTGTCTCTGCTTCTGCTTCTAGGGAACCAGGCCTAATACAGGATTGTTAGCAGGTTTTTCCTATTACCAACAACAGACGAGAAATTGACTCTGTCTGTCTTCCCTCCTGTCATTCAGGAAGAAGTGCCTTTACTTTTTATTTAAGAAAAAAGAAAATCAGCCGGGCATGGTGGATCACACCTGTAATCCCAGCACTTTGGGAGGCCGAGGTGGGTGGATCACCTGAGGTCAGGAGTTCGAGACCAGCTTGACTAACATGGTGAAACCTCGCCTCTACTAAAAATACAAAAATTAGCCAGGCGTGGTGGTGTGTGCCTGTAATCCCAGCTACTCAGGAGGCTGAAGCAGGAGAATCGCTTGAAACCGGGAGGCGGAGGTTGCAGTGAGCCGAGATTGTGCCACTGCACTGCAGCCTGGGTGACAGAGCAAGACTCCATCTCAAAAAAAAAGAAAAAAAAAATTCATTCTGTGTTGATGTTGGTCAGATTAAGAGTGCATCCAAAGCATCTTTACTTGAGCTTTCGGGCACATGCTGGCTCATAGAAGTTTATTTTGTTTTTTAATGATGAAACTATTTTGTCTGCTTTACAAATAACTGTACCTTACAGTGAACATTGCAACACACAACATGTATAAGATCAGGAAACATTGTTGGGTAATATTTAAACATTTGGATCTCCTAAGCAAGGTTAAACAACACCACACAGAATCACATGACAAAACTGCCAATATAAGGGCCTATTTCACTTCTGAGGCTTGTTATTTCTTGGAACACCACTCAGGATCTATATAAAGTATACTATGCATATAAACGTATTACTATTTATCTTTTGTGGGTTGGTTGGTTGTTTGTTTTTGAGACAGAGTCTTGCTCTGTCACCCAGGCTGGAGTGTGGTGGTGCCACTACTGCTCATTGCAGCCTTGGCCTCCCAGGCTCAAGCAATCCTGCCACCTCAGCGTCCCAAGTAGCTGGGACTACAGGCGTGCGTCACTGTGCCCAGTTAATGTTTTTTTGTTTGTTTGTTTTGTTTTTTGTACAGATAGGGTCTCACTATTTTGGCCAGGCTGGTCTTGAACTCCTGGGCTCAAGCAATCCTCCCACCTCAGCCTCCCAAAGTGTTGGGATTACAAGCGTAAGCCACAGCACCCTGCCTACTATTGATCTCATTGGTAGAATGACTCACTGTTAGCAGCAGACAAGACCATGGACATAAACATACAACATGTAACAGCTATAATCAAGGTTAACTAATTAAATCATGACTTTCTCTCTTATAAGCCCCTGGACCTCTTCCTGGAAATGTTGACCTCAACCTTTGACTCTATGCGTCAAAGTTTTCTGTTCTTGCTTTGAATGTAACATCAGCAGATTCCTTCAAACCAGTAACATTTCTATGTTGATTGCTAATTTGCTCCCACTTTCCAAATTTCTCAACTGACTTTTGGGGAGAATCAAAATTTGGAAAAACATAAACTTCCTGAAAAGTGCTGGAAGGAATACCCATATGTAATTGCTACTTGGAACAGATCCTGTTCCGGGATTATGAGGTTCATGATCTTGACACTCTTGAAGATTACAGGCTAATTATTTTGTAGACAATATCTCAATTTTGGTTTGTTTGATGTTTCCTCACAAATAGACTCAGGTTATACATCTTTGACAATAATATCAGAGAAGTGACATTGTGTTCTTCTATTTGCATCCTGTTAGAGGGCACATACTTTTTATTTGCCCCACTAATGATGATACTTATTTGATCACTTGATAAAAGTGATATCTTCCAGGTCTTTACATTGTTAATATATCATTTGTCTCTTTGTAACAGTGATTATTTTATGATGAGGTACTTTGACACTAAGTAAAAAAACCATTTCTTATAAAAACATTTTCATTCAATCAACTGAATTCATTTCATTCAATAAAATTATATTCAATTTATATATAAATAAATCCTAATTTTTTCAATGGGTTATAATCTATTGCTATTGTTTTCATACTCAAATTTTCCAAACTTCTCCAGTGGGAACTTTTTCAAGCTGGCTTCTATGTTCTTTTGACATATCCCCATTATGCTTTGAGAATTAACTTAATTTCTGTCACAAAAGACATTCCAGACTCATCTTGTATTTTCATGCTCCATCTCCAATATCAGCCATTTCTTCCAGGAACTCTGAGTCCTTTTAGTTGGGGGTGGTATTTAAAAGACATGTTCTGGGTGCTCATTGTTATTCGGGTTGCTGCTCCCCAATGGACATAGGTAGGGAACACACACACACTTTCACATATATTTTCACATCCACCTATATATATTGACAACATGTATGTTTTACATATATCAATATTTACACATGTAAAAAACATAAGTTTTCACTTATATCTGATTCCAATCCAACATAACAAGGCTCAATTTAGTCTTTTCTCTTCCTATATATGTACCTTCCCCTTCATTAACAATGAAAAATCTTTTAATTTTTTTACTTTCTTGAACAATCCTCCTGTATATAACCAGTCTCCTATCTTTTCCTCAACTCTTCTCTGCACAGATGATCTCCTCATACCTGTCAGGTTGACTCACACAACTGAACTACTACTCCATGTAGATTCCTTCTTTACCCTGCTCAGCCTCTGACACCCACAGCAAGCCATATATCCATGTGGAAGTCCAGATGTCATCTTCAATGTGTTTAAGTTCTAGTATTCAAGCCAACCACCTGAGTGGGTGCCCTTCTCATATCACTTGGGCTCTGACTCCCTAAGCAAGGCCACCTACATGCACAGATGTCCTCTTTAAACAAACAAAATAAATACAAAGAAAAAAGAAAACAAACAGCCCCTCCACTTTGCTCTGGATCTTAGCTCCTATGTAACTCAGATAACAGATATTTCCCAGATTTAACCTGATTTATTAAGGAAACTTACTATTTCTAGCTCTCATTTCTCCCTCAAGCTACAGTCCTGAATTACCAAGAACTCCAATAGACACTTTTATTGCTACTTTAACCTTAATAGCAGGACAAGGGAAAAAACAGTGAAAATAATATTAACCTAAACACAAATAATAAAATCCAAACAAGACAAATCATCTTTCCTTTATAAATGTAGGCAGCATCAGAGTCAATATTTATGGTTAATGTTTGTCTCACTCTGAGATTTACATTTGACAAACCTACAAAAAGCACTCAACCTCGCAAGCAGGCACTCAAGGTTTCTACAAATCTTAGCTAAAAACAAGAACCATTTTAGCTGATGAGAAGAACTGAGGCTAAGAGAGTAGCACAATTCAGTAAGTTTTCTTTTAGTGTAAATTTATTAAATGTCCATGAGTCCCATATGGTGACTAGCACAGAAAGAAAAAGCAAGAAAATTTGCAAAGTAATGCAGAATTCCTTTCCCTCTCTCTCCCCTCGCTGGTTATGTTTCACTCAGGAAGTGATTTAAAATACATGGTTCCAGCAACTCTACATTAGCCAAACAAATCATGGGAAGTAAAGGTACAGGGAGTCCAAAAATAACTTATCTCTGGCTTTGGAATGTGTCCTGTAGTCATAGTTTCAGATGGGTGTACCTATTGTTCTGGGAATTCATTAAAACAAAATAATGACACTATAAGATGAAGACCCAACAAAGGAGAAGCTGGAAAACTTTTTAGTTTCCTCATTAGGCACCTTACGAACTTCTTCCTGTAACCCACTGACAGAACAATCCAGCTAAATTGAGCTGCCTCATTTCAAACATTTCCTGCAGCAGCTATCTGGTTCACTGTTTGGGTTATAAAGCGTCCTTTTAGTAAATGCATAGAAAGAAAGGGTCAACAAAAGAAAATTGGAAGAAGCAAGTAAATCAAGCAAAACAGATGTTATGAATATAATCAGTAAAAGTGAAAGTGGTACTTACCCATGGTGCAAGTGATATTGCCCATTTTGATACAGTCTTTAGAAGAATGTTCAAGAGAAAAAATTAAAGCTGCAGAGTAATGAGAAACCAATTCAATGTTCCTTAGAGTTGAGATTTGAATCCATATATAGTTGAACTCCAAGCCCAGTGCTCTTTCCATAACACACTGGGGCTTCACAACGACATGTCAGTCTAGAGAATGGCACATCTGGAAGAAATTAAACTTCTAGATGGCCACAAGCCTGAGGTCAGCCAGAATTTGGGGTAGGCCAGGAACAAATGTAATGGGATTTGATTTATTTTCCCAACTAGAGGATTACAGATAGGACTTGCCATGCAATTGAGAGCTAAGAAGGACAGCAAACAGGGGAAATTGTTGTTTGGCTGATATTTGTGTTACAAAGCTTGTATGCCCTTTGTCACTTTCTTGCTTAAAATTATAAGCTGGTTCCCCATGCGTAGAGAGTTAAGTTTAAAACTTCTTTGTATGGCATTCAGTGCCCTATCAAATCTGGATCCCATCCACACCAACAGACTTATCTCTTGCCACAAATTTGTTATACCCTACCTAGGCCACGTACTTTCAGGCCTCCATGCCTGTGCTCAGGCAAGCTGCCCTATGTGGAATCCCACCCACCCCCACCTCCATTCTTTTTTCAGTATGGTAAAACCCCATTCAACATACCTAGGGCCAGCTCAAATAGGCTTTCCTCTCAACATTCCCTTTGTTCACATATCTATGTTGACTGCATAATCTCTTCTACTTGAGTCTTGTGACTACACCATGTCCTTCTCACTTCCATTGTTCTGGCAACTCCAGTGTTGTCTCAGAGTAGGTGTTCAATAAATGCTTACTGAGGAGTATTCCAGTTGGGGAGGAAGGGTTAAGAGGTAATCAACATATTTATATGGCTGACACTCAATAAATCTTTACCTTGCCCTATGAGGGAAGGGAATTAGGGAGATAAAAAGAGTTTATTACTTCATCATTACTCTCAAGGAATTTATGATCTAGTTGGGAAGAAAACCTTCACACCATGCAATTACACAGCAGCTAGGTGTTAAATTGTTACAATTGGCATTCAGAAAATGGAATGGGAGATTGCTAGCTAGAGACTTCAGGGAGGAGAGAGGGTATTCCAGGACCAAGAAACAAAATGGCCAAAGACTTGAAGATGAGAATGAAGGTGGCATTCGTGCTTGGCTAGAAGACAAGGAAGGTGTCTATGAACAAATGGATAGAGACAGGTCATGAAGGACCTGGTAAGTCAATGGAGTCACTGAGGTTTTTGAGGAGCAACATGATAAAAACATCATTTTAGGAGGTAAGTGTGGCAGGAGTAGTCTGGAAGAGAAGAGGAGGAAAGGGCTGGTAAGGCAGTTTGCCATTTCCAATTTCAATGTAGGTGATTTAGGTTGGAGGAGAAAGAAGGAAAAGGGAAGGAAGAGTACACACTCCCAATAATTGTACTAAGATCAAGGCAAGGGCCCTTGGTGGGGGTGGACAGGATGGTGCTAGTTTGTGGTATGGCTTACTGGCATCCTGTTTTACTAGTGACATTGACATGTGTTGGTTCAAATAAATTAATACCATCTCAACTAACCCATTTGGCAAAAACAAATGTATAAAACAACAGGTGGGCTGACACACACGACCCCACAAATGAAAATACAAAGCATGTCACATATTTCACTGCTAGCAAGCACAGAGAAACAATAAACTTTTCTATTTCTTTCTTATTTTTGCTCCACAAAAGTATCTGTTGACCTATACATGGCATTCTGGGTAAGTAATATATGCCGGATACTGCAAACACAGAAAAGGGAGAATGCAAGAGGAAGAAGGGGATTAGAGATGCATTATACAATTAACGAACATACAAGTATTGTCATATCATTTAAAATAAAACATTAAGACAATCCGAAGTAAAGCAGCGAAAGCAATAGGAGCTGACACACACATAAAATCACCTTCTGTCTACCCACTATACTTTGAGCTACTCAAGGACAGAGTTACTGAAATCTGTGCTCCCAAGTGCCTGACACAAAGCGAGGGCTCAGAAAATAATCTAGCTTATACTCCATTTCCAGTTTTAGTTACTTTATTTTGAGAAATGGAAATCAAATGCAAATCTTGCATGTTAATCTCTGAGTGCCATAGAACGTGCTTATTTCAGAGGCTTGGACTAATTCTTAACCCATAGCACTTTCTCCACCTGTTAGAATTTCAGACATTTCAGGCTAGAATTCCAGGAGGAAATAGTAGTGCTTCTTCTTACAGAGTAGTCTTCATCTGGGAGTTATTCCTACAGACGAGTAGGGGTTATGAGAAAAAGGTGAGGACTCTGAACAGACAATACCAGAGCAGCAGTTCTCAAACTTTTTGCTCTCAGGATCCCTTTAGTCATCAAAATTACTGAGGACCCTTAAAGAGCTTTTATTTATATCGATAACATCTATAGATATATATTGTATTTGAAATTAAAATGTTTGAAGTCAGGTAGCGTGATGCCTCCAGCTTTGTTCTTTTGGCTTAGGATTGACTTGGCGATGTGGGTTCTTTTTTGGTTCCATATGAACTTTAAAGTAGTTTTTTCCAATTCTGTGAAGAAAGTCATTGGTAGCTTGATGGGGATGGCATTGAACCTATAAATTACCTTGGGCAGTATGGCCATTTTCACAATATTGATTCTTCCTACCCATGGGCATGGAATGTTCTTCCGTTTCTTTGTATCCTCTTTTATTTCATTGAGCAGTGGTTTGTAGTTCTCCTTGAAGAGGTCCTTCATGTCCCTTGTAAGTTGGATTCCTAGGTATTTTATTCTCTTTGAAGTAATTGTGAATGGGAGTTCACTCATGATTTGGCTCTCTGTTTGTCTGTTATTGGTGTATAAGAATGATTGTGATTTTTGTACATTGATTTTGTATCTTGAGACTTTGCTGAAGTTGCTTATCAGCTTAAG
This sequence comes from Homo sapiens, assembly GCF_000001405.40. Classification (NCBI taxonomy): domain Eukaryota; kingdom Metazoa; phylum Chordata; class Mammalia; order Primates; family Hominidae; genus Homo; species Homo sapiens. The sequence goes on along the minus strand of NC_000023.11, from coordinate 50,033,291 downwards.
GAGATTTTGGGCTGAGACAATGGGGTTTTCTAGATATACAATCATGTCATCTGCAAACAGGGACAATTTGACTTCCTCTTTTCCTAATTGAATACCCTTTATTTCCTTCTCCTGCCTAACTGCCCTGGCCAGAACTTCCAACACTATGTTGAATAGGAGTGGTGAGAGAGGGCATCCCCAAAACAGCATGGTACTGGTACCAAAACAGAGATATAGATCAATGGAACAGAACAGAGCCCTCAGAAATAACGCCGCATATCTACAACTATCTGATCTTTGACAAACCTGACAAAAACAAGCAATGGGGAAAGGATTCCCTAGTTAATAAATGGTGCTGGGAAAACTGGCTAGCCATATGTAGAAAGCTGAAACTGGATCTCTTCCTTACACCTTATACAAAAATTAATTCAAGATGGATTAAAGACTTAAACGTTAGACCTAAAACCATAAAAACCCTAGAAGAAAACCTAGGCAATACCATTCAGGACATAGGCATGGGCAAGGACTTCATGTCCAAAACACCAAAAGCAATGGCAACAAAAGCCAAAATTGACAAATGGGATCTAATTAAACTCAAGAGCTTCCGCACAGCAAAAGAAACTACCATCAGAGTGAACAGGCAACCTACAAAATGGGAGAAAATTTTCGCAACCTACTCATCTGACAAAGGGCTAATATCCAGAATGTACAATGAACTCAAACAAATTTACAAGAAAAAAACAAACAACCCCATCAAAAAGTGGGCAAAGGACATGAACAGACACTTCTCAAAAGAAGACATTTATGCAGCCAAAAAACACATGAAAAAATGCTCACCAACACCGGCCATCAGAGAAATGCAAATCAAAACCACAATGAGATACCATCTCACACCAGTTAGAATGGCAATCATTAAAAAGTCAGGAAACAACAGGTGCTGGAGAGGATGTGGAGAAATAGGAACACTTTTTCACTGTTGGTGGGACTGTAAACTAGTTCAACCATTGTGGAAGTCAGTGTGGCGATTCCTCAGGAATCTAGAACGAGAAATACCATTTGACCGAGCCATCCCATTACTGGGTATATACCCAAAGGACTATAAATCATGCTGCTATAAAGACACATGCACATGTATGTTTATTGCGGCACTATTCACAATAGCAAAGACTTGGAACCAACCCAGATGTCCAACAATGATAGACTGGATTAAGAAAATGTGGCACATATACACCATGGAATACTATGCAGCCATAAAAAATGATGAGTTCATGTTCTTTGTAGGGACATGGATGAAATTGGAAATCATCATTCTCAGTAAACTATCGCAAGAACAAAAAACCAAACACCACACATTCTCACTCATAGGTGGGAATTGAACAATGAGAACACATGGACACAGCAAGGGGAACATCACACTCTGGGGACTGTTGTGGGGTGGGGGGAGGGGGGAGGGATAGCATTAGGAAATACACCTAATGCTAAATGACGAGTTAATGGGTGCAGCACACCAGCATGGCACATGTATACATATGTAACTAACCTGCACATTGTGCACATGTACCCTAAAACTTAAAGTATAATAATAATAATAATAAAGAAATTAAAATGGAAAAATGTTTAAAATATACAATGATTTATTTAAATGTCACAATACTCAAATGTCTGGGTTAATAGAGGATTACTGGATTCTGCTTAACATATTCTACTAGTTCTCAGAGGAATGACATCTTCACCCATACTACAGTCTGCAGAAAATTCCACTGTATATTCATGAGAAAATGAGTAAAAAAGGCAAATAATATCTTAATATGAAAATAGTTTTGACCTTAAAGACCCCCTAAAAGGGTCTCAATAACTCACAGACTATACTGTGAGAATGTCTGAAGTAAAGAAAGAACTCAGCATGGACAAATTGTACTTGGGCAACACCCACAGTTGATGAGAAAGAGGAAGAGGACAAACCAGTCAGAAGAGACCATGTGGACAGCTGGGAAAGTGAAGCAAATAAACTAATATTTTCTGTAAATTCGCCCAAAGGAGTAACAGCCTATAGAGAGAGATTGTTTGAATCATTAAAATTGGATTCTAATAGATGAATAGGCAAAATACATTGGTAGATAATTTGTTTTTTAATGGCTTTAAAAATTCAGGTAAATTAAAATTAAAACAATAATATGCTATGTTCCCTTAGCTAATCAGCTTTTCTTTGGTGCTATCTCAGAGATTCTTCAGATATGATAAGAAATACCCTGTTATACAGGCTTTCAAGAGTGTCATAAATGTGAAGTGTAGAGAAGCACCCTGGAGGATCAAGGACAAGGGTCTACCAGGCCTGACGAAGACAACACTAGAAATGTAAAGATCACTTTCACTTTGGAACATACATGCAAAACTCCTAAATAAAACTTTAACAAACTAAATATAGCATCACCTTGAAAGATTTGCCTGCTATATATAAGAAGGAATTATTCCAGGAATGCAAGACCGGTATCACATGGGAAACTACCAACATAAGTTATCAGATTAACAGATAAAAATTTTAAATCCATAATTATCTTATCTCAACAGATGTCAGGAATTGATTTTTAAATTTACAGTCATTCTGTATTTAAAAGTTTAAAATGTTCCATGTAGAGGATTTCTTTCTTGACATGATGTAGAATATCTAAATTAAAAAACCAAGAAGCAAATACCATTCCCCTTAATACAGGAAGGCATGATACTTCTTGTTGCCAATTATATTTAACACGGTACAAGAAAAGCTTTAAAAGGACAAAAATGAGGAATGCGTATAGAAAAGGAAGATATATGGTATTCCAGTTTGGATTACATGAATGCATACCTATACAACTACAAAAATACCAACTAAAAATAGCCAAAAGTAATATATGAACTCATAAATTAGGAGGTAAATCTACTAAAAACTGCATTCCTACATATAACCATAGAACTAGAAAATATAATGATAAAAGAATTCATATATGATGGAGACATACTGAAACACAGTATTACTTTAAAATTTATAAAAAGACAAATAAGAATGAAAAAAGGAAGATATAAATCAACAGAGATGTATTATGCTCTTGATTGGAAAGTCTAAATATAGCAAGAATGAAATAGACTCTAATTTGAATTATGTTACATCTATATATTAATCTAAAGTCCCCGTGGCATCTTTTATATAACTTGACAGACTGGTAGTGATATTCATCTAGAAGAATAAGTAGACACAGATACTAGTATATGTATTTCCTTAAATGTAAATATGGCAAATTTATCTGTAGATTTTGGTCTTCTACAAAGAAGCAATCATCAAAACCTTATGGCACTGGGGTAAGAATAGAAAGTTATTGTGAATAGTGCCGCAATAAACATATGTGTGCATGTGTCTTTATAGCAGCATGATTTATAATCCTTTGGGTATATACCCAGTAATGGGATGGCTGGGTCAAATGGTATTTCTATTTCTAGATCCCTGAGGAATCGCCACACCAACTTCCACAACGGTTGAACTACTTTACAGTCCCACCAACAGTGTAAAAGTGTTCCTATTTCTCTACATCCTCTCCAGCACCTGTTGTTTCCTGACTTTTTAATGATTGCCATTCTAACTGGTGTGAGATGGTATCTCATTGTGGTTTTGATTTGCATTTCTCTGATGGCCAGTGATGGTGAGCTTTTTTCATGTGTTTTTTGGCTGCATATAAATGTCTTCTTTTGAGAAGTGTCTGTTCATTGGAACCAACCCAAATGTCCAACAATGACAGACTGGATTAAGAAAATGTGGCACATATACACCATGGAATACTATGCAGCCATAAAAAATGATGAGTTCATGTCCTTTGTAGGGACATGGATGAAGCTGGAAACCATCATTCTCAGCAAACTATTGCAAGGACAAACAACCAAACACCGCATGTTCTCACTCATAGGTGGGAATTGAACAAAGAGAACACATGGACACAGGAAGGGGAACATCACACACCGTGGACTGTTGTGGGGTCGGGGGAGGGGGGAGAGATAGCATTAGGAGATATACCTAATGCTAAATGACAAGTTAATGGGTGCAGCACACCAACATGACACATGTATACATATGTAACAAACCTGCACGTTGTGCACATGTACCCTAAAACTTAAATAAAAAAAAAGAATAGAAAGTTTAGCAATGGATCCAAACTATTTGAACTTAATAGTTGCTAAATCAGAAGCAACACAAATATAAGGAAATACTCACTTTTTAGTAAATAGTTGAGGAATCGCTTGGTATCGAAATGGGGAATATAGAATTACAACATGTACCACAGTGCAAACATTCCAGATGGGTTTTTTAAAAGTTGATTTTTTAAAAAACATAGAATAGTATATTTGTCCCAGATGTGAACAGACAAAATTAGTTCTGATCCAGAAAGACAAAAAATTGATTAATTCATATATACTAAAATAAAGAAATAACTTCTTGCATCAGGGAATGTATGCAATAAAATGAAGTGAAAGGAACAGAAAAAGGACATATCTGCATCATCACTGATAAAGGCTAAGGAAAAGGTGGATGCAAATATCCAAGTAAAAATCAAAGTATGACTTCCAGTTTCAAGTCCACTGTAAAAGAAGCTTGGAAGTCATCACTCCCATCCCCACAATACAAACTGGAAATCAACAACTCTTCTCAGCTCCATCAGAGAACTGAGATCACAGGGCAAACTGCTTCCCCCAAAATTAGAGAAAGAGACAGATGGATACAGACTCATAGCTTACATGAACAGAAACCTCCATAGGAACACAAACAGAAACTTACAGTTTAGGTTCTCTGGGGTAGGAAAACCTAACTATAACTGAGGAGGCTGAGTGTGGATAAGCTCAAAAGCTTAAAAACTCCAGGGAGCCCAGTCTTAGGGGGACCTCACACTTTGAAGAGTTTTACCTCCAGGAGTCCTAAAACATTCTTGTTCTTACAGTGAAGATCAGAGAAAAAGCTCTTTCTGCTTCCAGCAGGGGGAGGGGAAACAGTCATTTTACAATTATAACCAGAGCATTTGGTTTTTCTTATAAGGCATACCTTCATGAAAAACTATTTTACCAGGGCCTAATCAACTTGGGAAAAAGTCAGTATCTAATTCTATCTCCCACCAGCCTTTCTATCTTACCTAAGTGGGGAAAAAACAAAACGAAAGGGAGAAGCACTTTTCAAAGTCATAACTGAGGGCACAGGCTCACTAAAAAACTGAAACCTAATCATATGACTACAGAATGCTTCCATTCTCTCAACATTTTATCATTACTTCTATAGAGATCCTGTATAATAACAGGGGAATATGACTGAAAGAACTGTACCTTTTAAATTTAGTTAAGAAGTCTCTAGGGAAATGGAAACCCAAATACACAACAGTCAAAAACAGACACTAGTGGAAATCTTAGCCTCTGACACATTTAGTTACAACAAATGTAAACACAGCCTAACTCCTATCCAGATAAACATAAACCTTATACTAAAGGTCTATTTACCTCAGTCACTTTTACCTAGTATATCATGTCTAGCTTTCAACAAAAAAATACAAGGTATACTAAAGGACAAAAAAAAAAAAAAACACTGCATGAAGATAAAGAGTCAGACATGGAAGGAATGTTGGAATTATTATAACAGCAATTTAAAATACGTTTAATATGCTAAAGGCCCTAATGGAAAAAGTGGACAACACGCAAGAGCAGATGAGTAATGTAAGCAGAGAGATGGAAATCTTAAGAAAGAATCAAAAGGAAATGCTAGAAATCAAAAACACCATAACAGAAATAAAGAATGCCTTTGATTGATTCATCAATAAATTGGACACAGCAGAGAAAGAATGAGCAAGCTGGAAGAAATAGCAACAGAAACTTCTGAAACTGAAATTCAAAGAGAAAGAAAATGGAAAAGGAACAGAATGTCCAAGGACTGTGGAACAATTACAAAAGACATATAACTGGAATACCAGAAGGAGAAGAAAGAAATACAAGAAGCCAGGCGTGGTTGGTTGCTCACCCCTGTAATCCTAGCACTTTGGGAGGCCTAGGTGGGCGGATCACGAGGTCAGGAGTTCAAAACCAGCCTGGCCAACATGGTGAAATCCCATCTCTCCTAAAGATACAAAAAATTAGCCAGGCATGGTGGTGCGCACCTGTACTCCCAGCTACTCAGGAGGCTGAGGCAGGAGAATCACTTGAACCCAGGAGGCAGAGGTTGCAGTGAGCCGAGATTAAGCCATTGTACTCCAGCCTGGGCAACAGGCCAAGACTTCGTCTCAAAAAAAAAAAAAAAGAAAGAAAGAAAGAAAGAAATAGAAGAAATACATAAAGTAATAATGACTAAGAATTGTTCCAAATTAATGACAGATACCAAACCACAGGTCCAGGCAGGAAGCTCACAGAACACTAAGGAGGATGAATACAAAAAAATCTATACCTACGCATATCATATCCAAACTGCAGAAAATCAAAGGAAAAAAATCTTCAAAGTTGCCGGGGTAAAACAAATACCTTACCTTTTACCTATGGAGGAGCAAGGACAGAATTACAGCAGACATCTTCAGAAATCTCTTCAAGAATACAGAGATAGACATAACATGCTACTACTAGTCAAAACAAATGTGGAGTAGGTATATTAATTTCAGACAGAGCAGACTTCACAGCAGGGAAAATTATCAGCGATAAAGAGGGGTACTGCATAATGATAAAGGGGTCAATACTCTAAAAACACATAATAATCTCTAATAAATAAGCACCTAACAACAGCGTCAACATATGAGGCAAAAACTGATAGAGATACAAGGAGAAATAGATGAATGTACTATTATAGTTGGAGACTTCACCACCCCTCTATTAGTAATTGACAGATACAGCAGACAGAAGATCAGTAAAGACACAGGTAAACCGAACAGCATCATCCATCAACTAGATCAAGTTGATGTCTATAAAACACTTCATTTAACAACAGCAGAATACATATTCTTCTCAAGCTCACACAGAACATTCACTAAGACAGAAAACATTTGAGCCATAAAACATACTTTAACAAATTTAAAAGAACAGAAATCATGCAAAGTATGCTCTCAGAGGACAATGGAATTAGACTAGAAATCATTAAGACAAAGCTTGAAAACTCAAATACTTGGAGATTAAACACTCTTCTAAATATCACATGGGTTAAAGAAGTCTAAAGAAAAATTAAAAAACATTTTGAACTAAATGAAAATGAAGAAACCACTTATCAAAATTTGTGGGATGCAGTGAAACCAGTGCTTAGAGGGATATTTATAGTATTGAATGCATATATTAATAAAGAAGAAAGATCTATAATCAATAATCTAAGCCTCCACCTTAGGTAACTAAAAAAATTAAAAGAATTGAATCCAAAGTAAGCAGAAGAGAAGAAGTAATAAAACTTAGAGCAGAAATCAATGAAACTGAAAACAGGACATCAACAGAGAAAGTCAACAAAACCAAAAGCTGGCTCGTTGAAAAGATCAATAAAATTGATAAACCTCTAGCCCGGTTAAGTAAGCATGAAAGGCCTGCCGGTGGTGGGAGCCAGAGAACTCAGGAGGGGAAAAGGAAACGGGATGACAGAGAGAGAGAGAGAAACAGAGTGCAAATGAGAGAGAGATAAATAGATGGAAAGAGTAAGTAAGAGAGAAACTGGAAGAGACAGAAATCAAAGAAAGACACAGAAGGTGAAACTACGAAAACGAAGAGTGTAAAAGGAAGGCAGAAAGTTAAGGCATGTTGAAGATTGTGAAAGTTGTAAGAAAAGTTATGAAAAGGGGCTAATGTAGGGGGAGGAGCCAAGATGGCCGAATAGGAACAGCTCCGGTCTACAGCTCCCAGCGTGAGCGACGCAGAAGACGGGTGATTTCTGCATTTCCATCTGAGGTACCGGGTTCATCTCACTAGGGAGTGCCAGACAGTGGGCGCAGGCCAGTGTGTGCGCGCACCGTGCGCGAGCCGAAGCAGGGCGAGGCATTGCCTCACCTGGGAAGCGCAAGGGGTCAGGGAGTTCCCTTTCCGAGTCAAAGAAAGGGGTGACGGACGCACCTGGAAAATCGGGTCACTCCCACCCGAATATTGCGCTTTTCAGACCGGCTTAAGAAACGGCGCACCACGAGACTATATCCCACACCTGGCTCAGAGGGTCCTACGCCCACGGAATCTCGCTGATTGCTAGCACAGCAGTCTGAGATCAAACTGCAAGGCGGCAACGAGGCTGGGGGAGGGGCGCCCGCCATTGCCCAGGCTTGCTTAGGTAAACAAAGCAGCCAGGAAGCTCGAACTGGGTGGAGCCCACCACAGCTCAAGGAGGCCTGCCTGCCTCTGTAGGCTCCACCTCTGGGGGCAGGGCACAGACAAACAAAAAGACAGCAGTAACCTCTGCAGACTTAAGTGTCCCTGTCTGACAGCTTTGAAGAGCGCAGTGGTTCTCCCAGCACGCAGCTGGAGATCTGAGAACGGGCAGACTGCCTCCTCAAGTGGGTCCCTGACCCCTGACCCCCGAGCAGCCTAACTGGGAGGCACCCCCCAGCAGGGGCACACTGACACCTCACACGGCAGGGTATTCCAACAGACCTGCAGCTGAGGGTCCTGTCTGTTAGAAGGAAAACTAACAACCAGAAAGGACATCTACACCGAAAACCCATCTGTACATCACCATCATCAAAGACCAAAAGTAGATAAAACCACAAAGATGGGGAAAAAACAGAACAGAAAAACTGGAAACTCTGAAACGCAGAGCGCCTCTCCTCCTCCAAAGGAACGCAGTTCCTCACCAGCAATGGAACAAAGCTGGATGGAGAATGATTTTGACGAGCTGAGAGAAGAAGGCTTCAGACGATCAAATTACTCTGAGCTACGGGAGGACATTCAAACCAAAGGCAAAGAAGTTGAAAACTTTAAAAAAAATTTAGAAGAATGTATAACTAGAATAACCAATACAGAGAAGTGCTTAAAGGAGCTGATGGAGCTGAAAACCAAGGCTCGAGAACTACGTGAAGAATGCAGAAGCCTCGGGAGCCGATGCGATCAACTGGAAGAAAGGGTATCAGCAATGGAAGATGAAATGAATGAAATGAAGCGAGAAGGGAAGTTTAGAGAAAAAAGAATAAAAAGAAATGAGCAAAGCCTCCAAGAAATATGGGACTATGTGAAAAGACCAAATCTACGTCTGATTGGTGTACCTGAAAGTGATGTGGAGAATGGAACCAAGTTGGAAAACACTCTGCAGGATATTATCCAGGAGAACTTCCCCAATCTAGCAAGGCAGGCCAACGTTCAGATTCAGGAAATACAGAGAACGCCACAAAGACACTCCTCGAGAAGAGCAACTCCAAGACACATAATTGTCAGATTCACCAAAGTTGAAATGAAGGAAAAAATGTTAAGGGCAGCCAGAGAGAAAGGTCGGGTTACCCTCAAAGGAAAGCCCATCAGACTAACAGCGGATCTCTCGGCAGAAACCCTACAAGCCAGAAGAGAGTGGGGGCCAATATTCAACATTCTTAAAGAAAAGAATTTTCAACCCAGAATTTCATATCCAGCCAAACTAAGCTTCATAAGTGAAGGAGAAATAAAATACTTTATAGACAAGCAAATGCTGAGAGATTTTGTCACCACCAGGCCTGCCCTAAAAGAGCTCCTGAAGGAAGCGCTAAACATGGAAAGGAACAACCGGTACCAGCCGCTGCAAAATCATGCCAAAATGTAAAGACCATCGAGACTAGGAAGAAACTGCATCAACTAATGAGCAAAATAACCAACTAACATCATAATGACAGGATCAAATTCACACATAACAATATTAACTTTAAATATAAATGGACTAAATTCTGCAATTAAAAGACACAGACTGGCAAGTTGGATAAAGAGTCAAGACCCATCAGTGTGCTGTATTCAGGAAACCCATCTCACGTGCAGAGACACACATAGGCTCAAAATAAAAGGATGGAGGAAGATCTACCAAGCCAATGGAAAACAAAAAAAGGCAGGGGTTGCAATCCTAGTCTCTGATAAAACAGACTTTAAACCAACAAAGATCAAAAGAGACAAAGAAGGCCATTACATAATGGTAAAGGGATCAATTCAACAAGAGGAGCTAACTATCCTAAATATTTATGCACCCAATACAGGAGCACCCAGATTCATAAAGCAAGTCCTGAGTGACCTACAAAGAGACTTAAGACTCCCACACATTAATAATGGGAGACTTTAACACCCCACTGTCAACATTAGACAGATCAACGAAACAGAAAGTCAACAAGGATACCCAGGAATTGAACTCAGCTCTGCACCAAGCAGACCTAATAGACATCTACAGAACTCTCCACCCCAAATCAACAGAATATACATTTTTTTCAGCACCACACCACACCTATTCCAAAATTGACCACACAGTTGGAAGTAAAGCTCTCCTCAGCAAATGTAAAAGAACAGAAATTATAACAAACTATCTCTCAGACCACAGTGCAATCAAACTAGAACTCAGGATTAAGAATCTCACTCAAAGCCGCTCAACTACATGGAAACTGAACAACCTGCTCCTGAATGACTACTGGGTACATAACGAAATGAAGGCAGAAATAAAGATGTTCTTTGAAACCAAAGAGAACAAAGACACCACATACCAGAATCTCTGGGACGCATTCAAAGCAGTGTGTAGAGGGAAATTTATAGCACTAAATGCCTATAAGAGAAAGCAGGAAAGATCCAAAATTGACACCCTAACATCACAATTAAAAGAACTAGAAAAGCAAGAGCAAACACATTCAAAAGCTAGCAGAAGGCAAGAAATAACTAAAATCAGAGCAGAACTGAAGGAAATAGAGACACAAAAAACCCTTCAAAAAATCAATGAATCCAGGAGCTGGTTTTTTGAAAGGATCAACAAAATTGATAGACCGCTAGCAAGACTAATAAAGAAAAAAAGAGAGAAGAATCAAATAGACACAATAAAAAATGATAAAGGGGATATCACCACCGATCCCCCAGAAATACAAACTACCATCAGAGAATACTACAAACACCTCTACGCAAATAAACTAGAAAATCTAGAAGAAATGGATACATTCCTCGACACATACACTCTCCCAAGACTAAACCAGGAAGAAGTTGAATCTCTGAATAGACCAATAACAGGCTCTGAAATTGTGGCAATAATCAATAGTTTACCAACCAAAAAGAGTCCAGGACCAGATGGATTCACAGCCGAATTCTACCAGAGGTACAAGGAGGAACTGGTACCATTCCTTCTGAAACTATTCCAATCAATAGAAAAAGAGGGAATCCTCCCTAACTCATTTTATGAGGCCAGCATCATTCTGATACCAAAGCCGGGCAGAGACACAACCAAAAAAGAGAATTTTAGACCAATATCCTTGATGAACATCGATGCAAAAATCCTCAATAAAATACTGGCAAACCGAATCCAGCAGCACATCAAAAAGCTTATCCACCATGATCAAGTGGGCTTCATCCCTGGGATGCAAGGCTGGTTCAATATACGCAAATCAATAAATGTAATCCAGCATATAAACAGAACCAAAGACAAAAACCACATGATTATCTCAATAGATGCAGAAAAAGCCTTTGACAAAATTCAACAACCCTTCATGCTAAAAACTCTCAATAAATTAGGTATTGATGGGACGTATTTCAAAATAATAAGAGCTATCTATGACAAACCCACAGCCAATATCATACTGAATGGGCAAAAACTGGAAGCATTCCCTTTGAAAACTGGCACAAGACAGGGATGCCCTCTCTCACCGCTCCTATTCAACATAGTGTTGGAAGTTCTGGCCAGGGCAATCAGGCAGGAGAAGGAAATAAAGGGTATTCAATTAGGAAAAGAGGAAGTCAAATTGTCCCTGTTTGCAGACGACATGATTGTTTATCTAGAAAACCCCATTGTCTCAGCCCAAAATCTCCTTAAGCTGATAAGCAACTTCAGCAAAGTCTCAGGATACAAAATCAATGTACAAAAATCACAAGCATTCTTATACACCAACAACAGACAAACAGAGAGCCAAATCATGGGTGAACTCCCATTCACAATTGCTTCAAAGAGAATAAAATAGGAATCCAACTTACAAGGGATGTGAAGGACCTCTTCAAGGAGAACTACAAACCACTGCTCAAGGAAAGAAAAGAGGATACAAACAAATGGAAGAACATTCCATGCTCATGGGTAGGAAGAATCAATATCGTGAAAATGGCCATACTGCCCAAGGTAATTTACAGATTCAATGCCATCCCCATCAAGCTACCAATGACTTTCTTCACAGAATTGGAAAAAACTACTTTAAAGTTCATATGGAACCAAAAAAGAGCCTGCATTGCCAAGTCAATCCTAAGCCAAAAGAACAAAGCTGGAGGCATCACACTACCTGACTTCAAACTATACTACAAGGCTACAGTAACCAAAACAGCATGGTACTGGTACCAAAACAGAGATATAGATCAATGGAACAGAACAGAGCCCTCAGAAATAATGCCACATATCTACAACTATCTGATCTTTGACAAACCTGAGAAAAACAAGCAATGGGGAAAGGATTCCCTATTTAATAAATGGTGCTGGGAAAACTGGCTAGCCATATGTAGAAAGCTGAAACTGGATCCCTTCCTTACACCTTATACAAAAATCAATTCAAGATGGATTAAAGATTTAAACGTTAAACCTAAAACCATAAAAACCCTAGAAGAAAACCTAGGCATTACCATTCAGGACATAGGCGTGGGCAAGGACTTCATGTCCAAAACACCAAAAGCAATGGCAACAAAAGACAAAATTGACAAATGGGATCTAATTAAACTAAAGAGCTTCTGCACAGCAAAAGAAACTACCATCAGAGTGAACAGGCAACCTACAACATGGGAGAAAATTTTCGCAACCTACTCATCTGACAAAGGGCTAATAGCCAGAATCTACAATGAACTCAAACAAATTTACAAGAAAAAAACAAACAACCCCATCAAAAAGTGGGTGAAGGACATGAACAGACACTTCTCAAAAGAAGACATTTATGCAGCCAAAAAACACATGAAGAAATGCTCATCATCACTGGCCATCAGAGAAATGCAAATCAAAACCACTATGAGATATCATCTCACACCAGTTAGAATGGCAATCATTAAAAAGTCAGGAAACAACAGGTGCTGGAGAGGATGCGGAGAAATAGGAACACTTTTACACTGTTGGTGGGACTGTAAACTAGTTCAACCATTGTGGAAGTCAGTGTGGCGATTCCTCAGGGATCTAGAACTAGAAATACCATTTGACCCAGCCATCCCATTACTGGGTATATACCCAAAGGACTATAAATCATGCTGCTATAAAGACACATGCACACGTATGTTTATTGCGGCACTATTCACAATAGCAAAGACTTGGAACCAACCCAAATGTCCAACAATGATAGACTGGATTAAGAAAATGTGGCACATATACACCATGGAATACTATGCAGCCATAAAAAATGATGAGTTCATATCCTTTGTAGGGACATGGATGAAATTGGAAACCATCATTCTCAGTAAACTATCGCAAGAACAAAAAACCAAACACCGCATATTCTCACTCATAGGTGGGAATTGAACAATGAGATCACATGGACACAGGAAGGGGAATATCACACTCTGGGGACTGTGGTGGGGTCGGGGGAGGGGGGAGGGATAGCATTGGGAGATATACCTAATGCTAGATGACACATTAGTGGGTGCAGCGCACCAGCATGGCACATGTATACATATGTAACTAACCTGCACAATGTGCACATGTACCCTAAAACTTAGAGTATAATAAAAAAAAAAAAAAAAAAAAAGAAAAAAAAAAAGTAAGCATGAAAGACAGAAGGCACAAATTACTTTTTGTATTTTGGTATTACAAAATAATACCGTGATCTGATTGTGATACATTGTATGTATTAAAATGTCACTGTGTACCCCACAAATATGTATAATTACATGTCAATGTAAAAATAATTAAGGAAAAAATAAAATAGAGACCATCACTATCGATCATATGGTCATTAAAAAGATAATAAAGGAATATTAACAATTTGATGCCCACAAATTTGATTAATTCAGATGAAATGGATCAATTCTCCTTGAAATACACAATCTACCAAAACTCATGCAAGGAGAAACAGATCATGTGAAAAGACATGTATCTATTAAATAAACTAAACTACTAATAAATAAACTTCCAAGACAGAAAGCCCTAGACCCAGATGGATTCACTAGTGTATTCTACCAAACATTTAAAGACAAAATTGTACCAGTTTTCTATAATCTCTTTCAGAAGATAGAAGCAAAGGGAACCCTTCTTAATTCATTACCCTAATACCAAAACTGAATGGAGAGATTACAAGAAAGCTAAACTACAGACCAATATCTCCCATGAACATAGATGCAAAAATCCTGAACATATTAGCAAATTGAGCACGAGAATATATAAAAAGAATTATATGTACATCATGACCAAGTGGGATTTATCCCAGTTATGGAAGGCTAGTTCAACATTCAAAAATAAATTAGCGTAATCTAGCATATTAACAGGCTTAAGAAGAAAAATCACATGATCATATAAATCAACATAGAAAATACATTTGACAATACGCAACACCCATTCACGATAAAAACTCTAATTAAACTAGGAATAGAGGGGAACTTCTTCAACTTGATAAAGAACATCTACAAAAACCTACAGCTAACATTTAATTGTACAAGACTCAAGACTTTTCCAGCAACATTAGCAAAAAGCAAGGATATCCCTTCTCACCAACCCATTTCAACATCATACTGAAAGACCTAGCTAATGCAAAAAAGACAAGGAAGGGAAGTAAAAGATACACAGAGTGGGAGAAAGAAATAAAAACTTTTTTTTCACTGATGACATGATTGTCGATGTAGAAAATCCAAAGAGTCAACAACTCCTGAAACAAATGAGTAACTATAGCAAGGTTGCAGAATATAAGGTTAATATACAAAAATCAACTGCTTTCTCATACACTAGCAATGACAAACTGGAATTTGAAAAATCAGAACACAATGCTATTTACATTAGTTCTAAAAATCAAATAATTAAGTATAAAACTAACCAAAATATGTACAAGACCTACATGAGGAAAACTACAAAACTCAGATGAAACAAATCAAAGATCTAAATAAATAGATATTCCATGAACTTGGATAGGAAGACTCAATATTGTCAAGAAGTAAGTTTTTCCCAACTTGATCTACAGGTTCAGTGCAGTTCCAATCAAAATTCCAGCAAGTTATTTTGTGGGTATCAACAAACTGATTCTAAAGTTTAGCCAGAGAGACAAATGACCCAGAATAGCCAACACAATTTTGAAAGAGAAGAACAAACCTGGAAGACTGACACTATCCAACTTCAAGGCTTACTATAAAGCTACAATAATCAAGACAGTGTAATAATGGCATAAGAATATAGATCAATAGAACAGAACAAATCCAGAAATATACCCACAAAAATATAGTCAATGGATCTTTGACAAATGAGCAAAGGCAATACAATGACACAAATATATTCTTTTCAATAAATGGTACTGAAACAACTGGACATGAACATGCAAAAAAAAAAATGAATCTAGAGGTAGGTCTTCAACTTTCACAAAAATTAACTCAAAATAGATGACTGACCTAAATGTAAAACACAGAACTATAAAACTCCTAGAAAATAATGTAGGCTAAAATCTAAGTGATCTTAGGTTTGGTGGTGACCTTTTAGATACAACACCAAAAGCATGATCCATGAAAGAAAAAATTGATAGACTGGACTTCATTATAATTAAAAACTTCTGCTCTGCAAAAGCCACTGTTAATTGAATGTAAAAGCAAATCACACATGGGAAAAATATTTGCAAAAGACATATCTTAGAAAGGGATTGTATCTAAAATAAGTAAGAAACTCTTTAAGCTCAAGGATAAGAAAACATTCCTATTAGAATGCCTAAAATCCAAAACACTAACAAAACCAAATGTTGATGAGGATATGGAGTAACAGGAACTCTCGTTCACTGCTGATGGAAATGTAAAATGGTACAGCCACTTTGGAGGACAGTTTGGTGGTTTCTTACAAAATTAAACATAGTCTTACCATATGATCCAGCAACACTTCCTGGTATTTTACTTAAGTGAGTTGAGAACTTATGTCCATACAAGATCCTGCACACAAACGTTTATAGCAGCTTTATTCATAATTGCCAAAATGTAGAAGGAACCAAGCTGCCCTTCAGTGGGTGAGGATAAATAAACTTTGTGCCTCCAGACAATGGAATACTATGCAGTGATAAAAAGAAATAAGCTGGTTACTATATGGGATAAATGGGGAAAAAAATGAAAGAAAAGAAATGAGCTATCAAGTCATGAAAAGATATGAGGAGCCTTAAATGCATAGTGCTAAGTAAAATAAGCCATTCTGAAAAGGCTGCATAATGTATGATTCTAACTATATGACATTCTGGAAAAGGCTAAACTATGGAGACAGAAAAATGATCAGCGGTTGCCAGGGGTTTAGGGTGGGGGAGGGGGGATAAATAGGCAGAACTCAGAGGAATTTTAGGGCAGTGAAACTATTCTGTATGATACTATAATGGTCATGCATGTCATTATACACTTGTCAAAACCCATAGAGTATATAACACAAAGAGGGAACTCTAATGTAAACTATGGTTTACATTAATAATTATATTTAAACTATTATTTAATAATAGTTATAATACATTATAATTATACTATTATTTAATAATAATGTCTCAACATTAGCCCATCAATTTTAACAAGTGTACAACACTCATGCAAGATGTTAATAGCGGAAACTGGGGTGTCTCGAGAATATATAACAACTCTATACTTTCCATTCAATCTTTTTGTAAACCTAAAACTGCTCAAAAAAGTCTATGAATTTTTAAAATATGAAAAGAAACTAAAAGAGCCATTTACACATAAGGAAATTTTGATGCTAAAAATCATCCTGTGTAACACAGAAATCCCCCTAGTAATGACAGAATAGAAATTTTAAGTCATTTAAACCAATGGTTCTCAAACTTCAGTGTGCATCAGAATCACCTGGAGGGCTGTTAAAACACAGATTGCTGGGCCCCACCCCTGACTTTCTGATTACCTAGGTCTGAGGTGAGGCCTGAGAGTTTATTTCTAACAAGTTCCTGGAGGATGCTGATGCTGCTAGTCTTGGGCATCAAGAGAGGTATAAAGTCTGATAAAATAAGACTAAGGCTGAGCAGTAACCAAAATGAGATTTTAGAGTATACAAAAGATAAGGAGCACATATTAAATAACCTGAATCTTTACTGCAGGTTAGATTGGGAGAATCTGGGAGAGAAGAAGGACCAAGGATCAGAATCTATAAGTCCCAAATGTTTAAGAACTTGAGGACTGAAATGGAGTGTGTGTCTCTTTCTGTCTCTGTCACCACTATTTATAATACTGTATTGCTACGCTGACCTGAACACTATAAATTTGCAATGGGCAATGAGCAAAAATGATAAGATGGGGAGGAATGAATAGATCAGCTTAGCTAAGAAGAGAGTAACAACTGAAGAATACTGCTGAGGTCACAGTAGAAAGCACTCAGGCTCAGGCGCTAAGGATGGGAGGAGGGGAGTGAATCAGATCATGGGCACCTGTACTCCCTAGGTGAGAGAGAGAGAGAGATGGAGAGACGGACAGAGAGAGCGATAGACTGAAACAGAGACATGTATAGTCCATCTCTATTTGACTAAAGTAAGGTAATATAAAGATATAGGCTGTTCTCATTTCCATATTGTGTGGGGTGCATACAAGATCAGCAATAAGAAGGGTCCCTTGCTCTTCACCCCCTCTAATTCAAGAAGAGTCTGTAATAGACATCTAAAGGCAGCTCACAGTTCTACTCAGGATGTCCTGGAAGATAAAGGGCAGCTTATAAGCTCAAACTCCTATACATTCTGTAAGTGTAAATCTTCATGAATGTGTGCATCTCCCTGTCCTCAGAGGGGACAGAGTGGGGGGAATAGGAAGACTCTCTCTTTGGCCCCCATCATTTGTGCCCGTCTGAATTTTTCTTCTAAAGCTGCCCATCAGAGAGCACATCCAGTGATTTTGACTCTCGTTTGTCACTGCATCCTTAACACTAAAAAGAGTATCTGTCACACTCTAGAAACTCAAGATATAGGAAGGCAAGAAAAGAGACATATATGCACTCAGTCCATATATATACATATAGGTAGGCAAGGCTCCATCTCATTGAATCCTTGGCTTAATACTTGAGACAGCACTCACATCTAGGTTGGAAGGAAGTGAGGGAGCAAATCAGAAGGCTCTGGTTCCCGCCCACCACCCTGTGTGTGGACAGCAGGTGGGGAACACAGAGAAAGCTCACTGTCTCACTCTGGATACCTGCATACATGGACATTATTTAATAAGGACATTTATTCTAATACACAGACAAGCCCACCAGAGCACCTGAAGTCCCTAACTATTCTGTTCTGTGCTTCCCCAACACACACCCATCACTCAAAAACTATGACAGGGGAGGGTGGGAGGGGTGATGTCTAGGCTCTCTGTCCTTCTTGGTACAGTTGAGCTCCCCCTCTCTGAATCCTTGCCCAGGTGCATTGCATTGAGCCAGCACTAGCACCCAGATAGCAAGGATTAGAGAGGGGGAGCAGGGCAGAAGGCTTGGGCACCTGCCGTGCTCGAAGCAGAGAAGGTTCTCTGTTACACAGCTCTGTGTGAGAACAGGAATGAGAGTCTTGCATTGTGTATATGTTGGGAGAGGGTGTCAATAAGAAGTCCCATGTTGTGGCCCACACTAACTCAGCACGTGCAGGAATATTAGGTGACAAAAAGTCAAGTCTCCTACACATATTCTTTGAGGCAAGAACCAAGTCCATCTTGTGTGATACCATATGCCCACTGCCCTGGCAGCACAGCGTTAGCATGTACTAAGTGCTCAATACTTGTGAAAGGGAGGTAGAGGGGAAGGAGAGGGAGGAGGAAGTGTGACTCACAGGCACTTTGTCTGTCTATGGGCAGAAAAAGGCCCCTCTGAGAGTCCTGGAATAGGTGCTGCACTGAGACAGCATGCACATTTAGGTGGCAAGGATACAAGGGGAAGCAGAGCAGCAGGCTCAGGATGTGCACACCACATATATTTGCACAGGTACCCATGTCTGTGGGAGGGAATAAAGAAAAGCCTGATTTCTGGCACCCTGAGCCCATGTATTCACAGGAAGTTGGATGACATGAGGATGCTTATTCTCCATGAGCCTGCTAGACAGTAAGGTCGGCATCTCTGACAGGTTAGTTTACTGTGGCATTCCCAAACAGCAGGAATTCAGTAAATTTGTTAAAGGGATGAATAAATGAATGGACCAAAAACATGCACACACAAATGACTGACTGAAAGAATGAACAAAGGAAAGAGAAGGGATGGACAGGCTCTGTCCTACACATAGGCAAGGCTCACAAGCTGGTATCCTTGCACAAGCCCATTGCACTGCTAAGACAGCACTTGTGCCTAGGCTGCAAGGCTAGGAGAGGGCAAGCAAAAATCAAAGTCCAGGCACCTGCACACCAGGCATGCATCTGAGTGTGTGTGGCAAGGAAACTTGCAGGCAAGTTTAGATAATAAGGCTCCTTCCTTTCAGCTTTGTACAGAAATGTTTCTACACTTACACATGTGTGTGTGCACATGCATGCACAATGTGAGCATGTGTATTCATAAGAGAATGAGAAGGCTCAATTCCTGACACACCTGTGTCTGTTGCCTAGGCCTGGGGAAGTCTAGGCACCTAATACCTCCACTAGATAGGAAGTCCCGGAGAGAGACACTGTCCATTATTTAGCAGGGTACTCCCAGCACAGCTCATGGCACATCAAAAGTGCGCAATAAACACGGGCTACTTGGATTGTTCAGCAGAAGATTCACGATGACAAGGCTCACCCTCCTGTAATCCATGCACACAGGAGGTGTTTTGAGAATTCACAACTCCGATATGCAATGGGTATGGGAGAAGGAGCAGTTCATTCTTCTGCACATGGGAGGGGGGTGGGGGAGGAGAGAGAAAGAAAGACAGAAAGAGAGAAAGAGAGAGAGAGGAGAGAGATTGATTGATTGATTGAGAGAGAGACAGATTGAGATTAAAGTGTCAGGTGCACGCCTGGAGAAGCAGTGCCAAGTCTATTCCCTAATAAAGTACTTGTTGTGTGTTCACTTAGCCTCATGTGCTCACTGAATGTGTGGTTATGGAGGAGGTGGAGACAGTAATGAAATGATGGCTTCCCTGCCACAGTCTGCATGGACTCGGCATTGGGAACGTACATGAGCAATGCAGGAGCTCATTCTCTTCCACCCTTCACCTGACTAGCTTATCACTGCCCCTAGCTAGCACTTATACTAAATCAGTGATTCTCAAACTTAAGTGAGCATCAGAATCAGTTGAGAGCCTTGGTAAAGTACAGATTTCCATGGTTTATGGTGTAGTAGGTCAGGGATGAGCCCAAGAATTGGCATTTTGAACAAGCTCCTAGGTGATACAGATGCTGCTGGCCCAGGGACCACACTGAGAACCACTGCTCTATACATAACTTAAAGAAATGAAATAATGGGACATAGAGGGGTGATGCAAAGACTCTACACTTTTAAACATGGATGAGATTCCCTCTCTGAATTTTTGTACAAGGCAATGGACTGGAATAGCATTTGTACCCAACTACGAAGAATGAAAGAGAGGGACAACCTGAATAGAAGGCTCGAGCATCTTCAAATCCATTGTGTTTGTGTGTATGTACAAAAGAAACAGCACTCTCTGGCTCACAGGTGATTTTCCTATGACCATACAAAGGTGAAGTGTCTTTTCTTCATATGCATGTGTGAGATGACTGACAAGTAGGGCCACTTTCCTTCAAGCTCTGGTGGCATAAGCAGCAAGTAGAAAGCCTATTGCCTTGCACACCAGACATGAGTGAGAAGATGCTGCTAATGACACTCATTATCCTATGCACACTGTGGCTGCAGCTCTGTGTAAGGGGAGACACACCTTTTGTAGTTCTCTAGCTGAGCACTGTTGGGGGGTTGGAGAGGGGATGATGGGAAGACTCACTCTCTGCTACATACGTATGCATGAACAATGTGGGCAACGGAAGTTCCTTCTCTTAAACATGCTCACTAGGCATGTGAGTATGAGTTCTGTGTCTTTCTTGACCACCCTGTCTCTCCATGTCTGGTGCATGACAGGAGCGCCACCCCTGCTTGTTAAAGGTGGGAATGAATGAAGGATGGGGATTATAAACAGGTGTTCTTCGCTCTATGCAGAAAAGGCTCAGCCGTGGAATGCTTGCCTGGGTGCACCGCATTGACACAGCACTTGCATCCAGGTACCAGGATTCAAGAGGGGGAACAGGACTGAAGGCCCAAGCAGCCATACAGAGTATGTGTGTGTGCACGTGTGCGTGTGTGCACATGTGCTCACATGGGTTTACAGGGAAGGCTCACCGCATATAGTGTGTTCATCTGTGACTGTACAGAAAAGTAATGAAAGGATCTCTCCTATACAGAGCAGCAAGAAGGAAAGTAGCAGTAAGAAGACTTCCCTCATTTAATCCCCATCTATAAGGGAGTTAAGGAAGCTCACTGGCTTGCACGCTGAGAATGGGAGAGAGGAGAGCACAACAGGCTCCATCTCCTACCCTTTCAGTAGGTGGGGTTCTCTGCATGCAGGGCCATGTCTCTGAGTGTGTCTGGTGTACAAGGATTGGGGACATTTGAGAATTTCACTTGAGCAGAACCTGCACATGCTTGTGCATGCAGACTGGGTAACAAGGAACATATAGATCTACTTCATTCTTTTGAACAGTGGCCTATTCATCCACAACATTTATGTATAGTGTGTTTATGAGTCCCTACCAGAATGTAGGGTAGCAACCTGTCCATTTTGATCCCTGCTATATCCTTGGTGATGAACATAATACCTGCTGTCTAATAGACACTTGAGTATCTGTGGAAGGAAGAGGAGGGAGAGTTGATGTGCAAAAGCTCTGTCCTTTTAAGTGTAGACAAGGCTTCTTCCCTTGGAATTCTTGAAAAGGGACAGTGAGTCAAGGCAGTACTGGCACACAGGCTGAAAGAATGTGAGTGATGCACCAGGTCAGAGGGACCACTCTGTGAGGACATGTCTCTGTGGATGTAACCAAGTCAGGCCCTTTCTCTTGCACACAGCGTATTTATGTGTGATTGTACTGAGGTTTAGTAGATTCTCCAACATGTATCTGTACCCCACCCACCCTGTACCCCACCCACCCTCAGGACATGCAGATATAATGAATGAGAAGGAGTCCATTCTCCTCCCTGAACTGTACACTCCATGAAGGTAGGGAACCAGATATGGCTCATTCTCTTGTGGGCCAACTGCCCAGGACAGCACCTGCAATAGAGTAGGTAGGTACTCAACAAATAGTCATAGAAAGGATGGAAGGAGGAGGTAGAAGTGCTCTGTCCTATGCGAAGATGTCACTCCCCCTTGCAGAATCCTTGCCTGGGTGCACTGCATTCAGAAAGCACTCTCACCCAGGTAGCAAGGATTAGAGAGGGGGAACCAGGACAGGAGATTCCAGTACCTGTACACCTCACATGTGCATCTAACAAGAAGGCTTGCTGTTCTTGCCTAGTGCATTAACCTTGCATTGAACTAAAGTAGAGAGAAGTTGCTTCGACAAGTATCAGGCTGGGTGCAGTGGCTCACACCTATAATCCCAACACTTTGGGAGGCTAAGGCTGGTGGACTGCTTGAGCCTAGGAGTTTGAGACCAGCTTGGGCAACATAGTGAGACCCCATCTCTACAAAAAATAAACACAAATTAGCCAGGCATGGTGGCACAAGCCTGTGGTCCCAGCTATTTGAGAGGCTGAGGTGGGAGGATCGCTTGAGCCCAGGTGGTTGAGGCTGCAGTGAACTGTGATGGTGCCAGTGCACTCCAGCCTGAGCAACAGAGCAATACTCCATCAAAAAAGAAAGAAAAGAAAAGAGAGAAGAAAAGAAAGGAAAGGAAAGGAAGGAAAGAAAGAAAAGAAAGAGAAAGAAAAAGAAAAGAAGGAAGGAAGGAAAGAAGGAAAAAACAAGAAACAAGTATCAATGTGACAGCAGGAATGAGAAGACTCACACTTATGGGTGGGTTAAGGTGGGAAGAGGGTAGATAAGAAGTTCCTATGTGGCCCACTCACCCTCAGTATATGCAGGGGCAATGAGTGGTGACAAAGTCCATTCTCCTCTCAGGCTATAATATCCAGGAAGGCAGGGGCGAAGTCTGCCTTGTTCATTTCTCTGTGTCCAATGCCCATCATGGTGCCCAATACATATTATTTGTGGAAGGAAAGAATGAATGAGGGTCAGAGAGCAGGCAGGCAAGCAGCAAGCAGCTGAGAGGTGACATACAGATCTTCTGTTCTCCACGCAGAGGGGGCTCACCCTCTCAGAATCCTTGCCCGGGTGCATTGCATTCAGAAAGCACTCTCACCCAGGGACAAAGGATTAGAGAGGAAGAGCAGAGCAGAAGACTCAGGCACCTGCACCCTGCATGTATATCTCCATATATATTTGACTTTCATGGTCCCATTCCTGCAAAGTATCTCTGTGTGCATTTGCTAAGACAGATGCCTCTCCTCAGGGATAGCATATGTATTCATCCCCCTGCACAAGGCCACATGGACATGCCCTCTCAGACAAAACCTCAGACTAGAATGAAAGATATGAGTGGCATCTTTTTCAGATCACACTTGAGGGTCTGCAGGTGCTGGATGTATTTGGGGCCTAGCAAGGAGGTTGGGACAAACTGTATGTGGGCACACATGTACATGCACATGTTGGAAGATGGTACAGAAAATTGGGATACTTCATTCTCTTCTGTTTCTCTGGTAAACTATAAGCTCACTGAGAGCAAAGACTGGCTGTGCAAGTCTCATCACCCAATGTGTGTTTCCCCATTACAGTATCTGACACATAGTAAGCTGGGAGTAAACAGAAAGCTCATGCTCTCAAAGAGGTGTAAGCTTGTCCAGGGCAATGATGAAGTTCATTCTCCCACAGGTGCCCTCTACAGAGCCCAGGGACCTTAGCTGTCTTATTTACCGTTGTATCTCCACCACCCAGTGCAGGATCTGGCACCGCATAGCAAACACAAACATGTGAAAGAAGGGGACAGGTTGTTGGTCCTTCTACATGTAGACAAGGCTCAGCCTCTTTGAATCCTTGAATAGGTGTGTTGCACTGAAATAGCACTCACACCTAGGTTCCAAGGATTCAAGAGGGGGAGCAGACAAGAAGGCTCTGACACCTGCCCTTTTTGTGTGTTTGTATGTGTGCATGTGTAGCTATAACCAAGTCTCACTCTCATGTATATACAGTGTCATTTACTAGGGACTTTACAGAAAGGCAGAGAATCTTTTCTCCTGCAGAGTTCCATGTGAGATCAGAGAAGATTCATGCTTTTGTGTATGTTTGTGGGTGACAGTGGTAATGAGAAGTCCACTCTGTGGCCCACCCACTCTCAGGGCATGTAGGTGTAATGGATGATGAGGAATTCCATTCTTCTTCCTCAACTGTAGCTCCATGAGGGTAGGGACCAAGCATGTCTTGTTAGCAACTGTATGCTCATTACTCAACTTAGTATCATATACAGAAAAGGTGGTCAATAAATACTTGTGGAATGGATGATAGGAGGACAGAAAGACGCTCTGTCCTACACGAAGATGAAGCTCTCGCTCTCAGAATCCTTGCCCAGGTGCATTGCATTCAGACAGCACTCTCACCCAGGTAGCAAGGATTAGAGAGGGGGAGCAGAACACAAAGCCCTGTGAATGTTCAGTGAGAGGGCTCATTCTTCTTCACACAAGGTACTTACTTGTCATGATATAGAAGTAAAGAGAACAGTTCTTGAGCTTTGCATTAAAGATGTCTAGTTAAACACACATTTTGTCTGTTCTCTCAGATAGTAACAACAAAAAAGTATAAACCTATAAAGAGACTGGGAGGAGAGAGGAGTGTGAAAGGGAGGAAAGAGAGAATGAATATAACGCCAAAGCTCATGATCCCGCAAATGCTTTGTGTGACTATGCAACAAGAAGGCAGTACAGTTTAGCACAGTTGTTCTCTAACATGCACCAGAATCATCTGAAGACCTGGGTAATATACAGGTTACAGAGGTTTCTGACTTGGTGAGTCTGGGGTGAGACCCAAGAATTTGCATTTCTAACAAGTTCTCAGGTGATACTGATGCTACTGGTCCAGGGACTACACTGGGAGAATCACTAATGTAGTGGAAAAACCAGGCACTTTGGTATCTACGAACCTTGGTTCAAATGCACGCTCTACCACATATTAGCCTAGAGAATCGACCTGATTTTCCCAAGGTCAAGTTAAACACTTTTGAAGAATGAGGACAATTTAAAGCCTACCTCTTAAATGGTGTCAAGAAAATGAAATAAAGTATAGTACCTGGCACACAGCCGTCAATATTTTTACCTCTTACTCTCTATTTTTATGTATATATGTGTTTGAATGAATGTGCATTTTTAAGGGGGATGGTGAAACTCCTGCATGCAAGGGACAGGTGAGAGAGAAGAGGTCCGAGTATCTGTGAGTGTGAGTGCCTGCACAAGGGGATACACAGATTCATCCTCTTAAATTCCTCACGTGTGAGTTGATGAGGTTCTCCTTCAATCTCCCTAGGTCAACAAAGTTCACGCCCCTTCACATAAGGGATATGAAGGAAAACATCAGAAGTTCCACTCTCTCTGTGTGTGTGTGTGTGTGTGTGTGTGTGTGTGTGACAGAGAGAGAGAGAGAGAGAGAGAGAGAGAGAGAGAGAGAGAAAGAGAGAGAGAGAGAGACAGAAAATGAGTAAAGATGGGGGCATCTGGCCCTGTGAGTATAATCAAAAAGGCTCCTGTCTCTCCTGTCCCTGTATGCTCACATGTCTGCATATGCTGGGCACCCAGCCACATGTGGGCCTCCCTTGCATGCTCATTCTCCTGTATGCCTTGCTTGTGCACATGTGCATATACGAGTATTTGTGTATCTGTGATTGTGAGAGAGAACATTAACAAGGAAGTGCATCTTCATTCAACAGCTACCTAAGGGAAGAATGCCGAGACAGCTCACTGCCCTTTCTGGGAGGGCAAAGAGAGTAGAGTTAGGGCAGGAAGGAACCACCCACTGCTTACCTGATCAGTGGGACTCCGTGTATACAGGTCTACATCCCTAGATGCCTGACCATCCTGGGGGACAAGGTGGGGTGCTTGGGGGGTGGGAACTAAAGTAAATTCATTCTCCAGTATCCCCAGCATGTGTGCACACCTGCACAGTGAGTACAAATGAGCTTTATCCTCCTATATGTGCTAGCTAGGCAGTACACTCAGGGGACTGTGGCTGTACTGTTCTCTTCTGGCTCCCTACAGGAGTAAATAATACTGGCAGGCAGCAGGAGAGGTAGGCGATGTACAAGGGCTCTGTCCTTCCATCTGCAGCTAAGGCTCACCCCATCTGAATCCCTGCCAAGGTGCATTGCATGTGGAGAGCACTAGTACCAGTATCAAGGATTAAAGAGAAGGAGCAAATGAGAAGGCTCAGGCACCTGTACCCCAAGGATAGCATGGGAGTTAGGAAAGAAAAAGCTCCCCTTTTCCAGCCCCTTGAACACATGAAGGCAGGCTGAATGGGAATGATGAACTGTGTTCTCTGGCACAAGCTCACCCCACAGTAAAACCAGGGTCCCTGATGCTCTTGCCACTATTGGATCCCCAAATCCAACAGGCATTCAAAAAGCTCTCTGAAAGGAACTAGGAGAGGTGACAGGCACTCTCTGCTCTGTGCATAACATACCATCTGTGAGTCCTAGCCCAGGTGTACTGCACTGGGACAGCACTTGCATGCGGATGCTACAGATTAAAGAGGCAGTGTCAGCATATGTACCCAACTCATATGTGACAAAGAGGGAAGAGAGGGCTCAGTCTCCTACTCCTCTTTCTCTCACACTTCACATGCAATGTATCAGTAAACTCAACTGGCTGTAACTTTAAAATATAACCACTTTTTACTACCTTCACCACGATCACCCTGATGTAGGCCTCCATCCATCTCTCAACTGAATTATTTCAATGGCCTCCTAACTGGTCTCCCAGTTTCTGCACTTTCTCCTCCTATTTGCCATACAACAGTCAGAACCATACTTGTGAAGCAAAGACACAGAAAACTGTAATCCTGATTTTGAATCAGAAGTATAATGGAATCATGATGTATTTATCTAGAAACAAGAAAACACAAAAACAAAACATTTTTCTGTTCTGATCATTGTAGAAGCCTAAATACAATGACCAATCCAGAGGCAAATATGGTCTTTAAATATCATGTCTGATTAAAAGAAACCAGGGCTTCTTGAAGACATGGCAGATTCCAGGCCTGGGGAAGGTATCTGCGATGAGCTTTGTACATTTTTTTCATCTCTGAAAGCGGAGAAGCTATCAGATAACTACGGAGGCATGTCAAAAGGACTGAGGAACCAATTTGAAGAAGCTCCTACTGGCTAAAGATGGGGCACTGGAGCTTCACTGAAGGCAAGAACTGCAATGGATTAAAAGTCCAAATATATTTAAATCTATGAGTTTATTATAATAGTTTTTTTAAAAAATCCTCTTTAGAGTAAGCTAGTGAACCAACTCATTATTCTGAGTACTGATAAATAAAGAGAACCAAACATTTATCCTATCTTGCCTATAAAGACGGCAACACTGGGTGATCAAATAGCAGATGAAGGGAAGTTTTTCTTTATAGAAGTATTCCAGCTAATAAATCAAGAGAATAATGGGATTAGAATATCATCATTTTGCAACCCCTAATGAAATAACGGCTCTAAGAATTGAGCATCGGTGGCAACTAACATCACAGAAAGATGATCATCAGTTATTTTGTGCCTCTTAATGGAAGTAGTTCTGCTCCCCCTTCCTCAAAATTAAGCCTGAATTTGATCAGGCTTCCAGATGCAACTATCAGTTTACAGGAAATACAAACAAGGAGAAGGAACATGTAAACTACATCACAGGGATGTGATCACAAAAATCCAGACTATGCAAAACTGTATAGGATGAATGGCCCACTTTCTTCCAACAAATAAATTATAAGGAAAGAAAAAATATAGATGGAAGGGAAAGATATAATTCAAAGGGACTTAAGATACATATCAACCAAATGCAATGCATGGACCTTATCTGGATCCTAATTTATGATATTTCTGAGACAAGTGGAAATGGGAACAACAGATATGTGATGATATTAAAAAATTGTTGGCAATTTTTTTTCTTTTTGAGATGAAGCCTCGCTCTTGTCACCCAGGCTGGAGCGCAGTGGCACGATCTTGGCTCACTGCAACCTCCGCCTCCCGGGTTCAAGCGATTCTCCTGCCTCAGCCTCCCGAGTAGCTGGGATTACAGGCACCTGCCACCAGGCCTGACTAATTTTTGTATTTTTAGTAGAGACGGGGTTTCACCATGTTGGCCAGGCTGGTCTTGAATTCCTAACCTCAGGTGATCTGCCTACCTTAGCCTCCCACAAAGTGCTGAGATTACAGGCATGAGCCCCTGTGCCTGGATGGTAATTATTTTTAAGTGTGATAATGGTATGATTTTTTTTTTAAAAGCGGCCTTAGATTTTAGAGATACATAGTAATTATCAGCTTTCCCTTTTTCCATTGTAACTTACTACTTCCCAGCCCTATGCTTCTGCCACAATGGCTCTTTGTTGTTCCTAGAACACAGTAGGCCTTTCCTGACTACCCTATTTGATATCGAAACTTCTCCACCACCATCTATGCTGTAACTACCCCCACCCACTCCTTGTCCCCTTTTCCTGCCTTATTATTCTCCAGAGCACTTATCAACAATTGGCACACTATCTATTACTTACTTATTTTGTTCACTACCTGCCTCCCCTCACTAGGGCAGGGATTCTTGTCTTTTGGTCACTGGTGTATCCCTGGTGCATAGGGGAGTACCCAACACACAGTAGCTGCTCGATAAATATTTGCTGAATGAATGAGTGGCTCACCAAATGAATCGGCTGCAAATCCTGGGTCTGGGGAGATAACAGAGAAAACTCACAATCTGACTCATATCTACATGAGTGTCTAAGAAGACAGATCTTCACACACCCTCTTGAGCAAACAAGTGTGCATATGGAAAGGCATGGCACAGTGAGTGGATTCTACTTTCTGAACCCAAAATGTGTGTGCATATTACATCTTTGCATATGGTTATGATATAGACACAATTTTCCTCACAAACTGGGTTTGTGAGAATTAGCTAGAAGACTCCCTTTTCATCATGCCCCATGTACAGGAGTCCTGAGAAGGTTCTCTCTCCTCCTCTAGGTGCCGCTAAGACAGAACCAGGTCAAAAGACCCCCCTTCCTTCTCTAGGCTGTGCCTATCCCTGAGTATGAGGGGCTGCACCATGTGCAAGAGAAAGCTAAGAGAAGTCTCCCTCTCCTGCAGGATCCATGTAAGACTGAGATGGGAGAAAGGACATGGCTGAGAGTCATTCTCCTTCCCACCACATGGGTGTGTGTTTTTCTTTTGGTGAAGGAGTGCGTATGTGTATATACACATGCACAAGAGAGCAAGGAAAGCTGAGGCTCGCCATCCTGCAAACCCTGCATGTGGGAGGGGTTTTCAGAAAGCTCACCCTCCACCATGCAAGGGATGTGAGAGAGGGAGCAGGGAAGGGCTTGCTCTCTTGGCACGACATATGGGTATGCTCTAGGAGGCAAGAGGCACTGGCCTGGGGGGTGCAAGTGGGCAGCAAGATAGCCACAGGAGTGCTGATGGGTAAACTAGGAGCAGTGGCCATGGAAGCAGGACAGTCATCCAGATGGGATGGCTGCTAACAGTGTACCCCACATACAGAGCACGTAAGAGAGGGTCTACCTCCCTTTGGTGTACCTGTCCATGTGCTCATGCCTATGCACTGGAGAGGGAAGAGAAGGCTCGCTCTTCTGCAAGCCTTGGGTGTGGGAGGGTAATTAAGATGCCAACGGTCCTACACTCAAGGCATGGAGGAGAGAAAGCAAGTCGGGAGGTCTGCTCTCCTGTATACTGTGTGCATGCGTATCCCAGATGCCTTGGACTTCTATGACTGTGCCCCAGACATGCTGTAATGAGAAGGTGTGCTTGTGTACATTCACATATGTACCTTCAGAAATGTTCACTATCTACAACATATTTGTTTTCCTTCCTTCTTTCTTTTCCTTTATTTTTATTCCTAACACCAGTATAGTATTTACATTTGCAGAGCACTGTTTTAAGTGCTTTTCACACATAGCTCATTTATTCTCATAAAATATCCATGAGGTGATCATTATCCCTATTTTACAGATGAAATAACACACATACGAGAACAGATGGTAAGAAAGCTTAGAATCTGGCATGCAGGTCATTAGAAAGAGGACTCAAAAAAGGAGGCTCAAGCTCTCAGCCACCAACCACTTTGTGTCCACACACACACCACACACACACACACACACACACACACACACACACAGAGAGAGAGAGAGAGAGACAGAGACAGAGACAGAGACAGAGAGACAGACAGACAGACAGACGCAAGAGAACTTGCACTTGTCAGCCCAGGGAAAAGCTGGATTAGTGTGGAAATAATAGAGGAAGTGAGAAGTATGAGAAGTGGCTGTGTGGTCAGATTAGACATGTATTTTGAAAGTAGAGCCAACAAGATTTGACAGCAGTTTGTATTTGGAGAATGGAGGGGAAAAAGTGTCAAAGATGAATCCAAAACCTTTAGCTTATTAAAATTCTCCATATCCTTGGCATATGCAATTGGGAAATGCTGTTTGCTGAGTTGGAGAACACAGAGGGAGGAGTAGGGCTTTTTGAGAGGGGGAGGAAAACCAGGACCTCAGCTTTGGATGTGTTAAAGTTTTGAGATACTTATTAGACATTCGGGGCAGATGTCCAGTACATAGTTGGACATAGGCATCTGGAATTCAGGAGAGAAGTCCAGGCTGGAAATACAAACACAGAAATCATCCACATAAAATGGTACTTAGAGTTGCAAGACAAGATGAGAACAGCTGAGGACTAATGAGAAGTTAAAAAAAAAAAAAGAAGTCTGAAGACTAAGCCCTATATCTCTTTAATACTTAGAATTCAGGAAGAGGAGGAGAAACCATCAAGAGACTGAGAAAGAGAGGCTTGTGAGGTAAGAAGACAACCTCATGAGTGTGGAATCCTGGAAAGCAGGTAGAGTCTCAAGGCAGAGGGAGTGATCAACTGTGTGTTGATCTGTCAAGTAAGATGACAACATTGCCCAGTAAATTGGGAAATGTGAAGGACACTGGGGACCTTGACCAGGGTCATTTAAGTGCTGCAGGTTACAGTTTTACATGGAGGGTTTTCAAGAGTAAATGGGACTAACATTTAAGTCTTTAATCCATCTTGAATTAATTTTTGTATAAGGTGTAAGGAAGGGATCCAAGGACAGAAAACCAAACACCACATGTTCTCACTCATAGGTGGGAATTGAACAATGAGAACACTTGGACACAGGAAGGGGAACATCACACATCGGGGCCTGTCATGGGGTGGGGGGAGGGGGGAGGGATAGCATTAGGAGATATACCTAATGTAAATGACAAGTTAACGGGTGCAGCACACCAACATGGCACATGTATGCATATGTAACAAACCTGCATGTTGTGCACATGTACCCTAGAACTTAAAGTATACATTTAAAAAAAAGAGTAAATGGGAGAAATAGAAGTAGAGATGGAGTACAATCAGCTCCTTCAAAAAAATTTTTTTTTTTTCTGTAAAGAGGAACAGAGAAATGAGTAGAAACTGGAGGAGCTTTTTGGGTAGAGAAGGTAGTGCTTTTTAATTTTTAAAATTATTTTTAGACAGGATATGTGGCAGCACATCTAGATATTGGTACAAACACTCCAGTATACAAAGAACAGTTGATGATGCAGTAAGGAGAGGGGGATCAATTGCAGGAGCACTGTCACTGAATAGGTGACAGGGGTTGAAATCTAGTATACAAGTGGAGGAACTGGTCCTGGCTACATGTGCCAGTAATTCATCTACCATAATGGGGAGGAGCTGACACTTAGGGACATGTGCAGGTAATGGAGGAGAGGTCAGAGGAACTTCAGAGGGTCCCTTCTGATGGCTTCCATTTTCTCAAGGAAGAAGAAAGCAAAGTCAGCAGCTGAGAGTGAGGAGGAAGGAAGGGAGGTGACACTGCAGATTTGAGGAAAGGAAAGAATTATGAAACAGTCATCCAAGGCAGTACTTCCCAAACATTTTCAAATAATGGGACCAAGCAGCTTAGGTGTGAGTTTTCTTCTATGGAGAATCAGTTGCTCCAGGCAAAGCATATGGATTAAGGAAGTTTATTACATGTTAATCCCAATACATGCGTCGCCTCCTTCAGTGCTTATTACAAACCTATATGGTTGGCACAATTAGTTATCTCATTTTCATGTTGTGGAAATTGAGACACAAGATAAGTCACTTGTCTAGGATCACAAAGCTCATTACAGATCACGCCAGGATTCTACCACAGGTAATCTGACTACCAAGACAGTGGGCCTAACCACTGAACCCTAAAGCTGTGTGTACCCACATGTGTATGAGAACTGAAAATGATAAGGACCCACTTTCTGGCACATCCTTGGCACACACATGTGAGATGAGGGAGGAAAAGGAAGAGAGAAAGAGCAAGGATGGAGAATAAGGAGGCTCAAGCTCCTATCATAAATGTGTGTGGGGGCATGCACAGAAAAGGGGTAATAAGGTGGCTGACACAGTGGTTCACACGCCACTGTGGCCCAGCCAGTGTGTGCATTGGGAGGTTGTAATAACCTCCCAATTGGGAGGTCAGTTTTATTTTAGGTTAAGCCATGCGTGGGGTAGGAGAGTGGCAGCAATAGAAGGCTCACAGTCCTGCGATGCTGGATGCAATGGGGCAACTCAGGTGTCTCCCTTACATGCATATCATGAGTGTATGCACATGAGAGAAAGAAAGAGAAAAGCAGGATTAGAGAGAGAGGCTGCAAGCAGGAGGCGGATGGGGAAACCCACAGTCCAACAGGTTTGGGGAAGCATATTTAAAATAAAAAGCTCACTGTAGTTCTGTGTGGTCAAGGTGGGATGGGATAGCTTGAGAGGCTTGCACCCCTGCATGGGGCAGGAGAGCTGGGGGAGTGGAGAGCAGAGACAGGGCAGATATAGGAAGAATGCTCACTGATGAATCCTAGCAAATTTTTAAAATATCATAAATTTCATACTATTTTTACAATGTAAATAACTGTCATTCAAACAATGCTCCACAACCTTTAAAACAAGTAAAAAAAGGGGCTTTTAATGTACAGACTAAGAAAGCAAATGTATTCGTTGTAGCACAATTCTCATATTCTATTCCGCAGGTATCAGCTGCTTGACAACACCAACTATAGTGAAAAGAGCCAAATATGTGTTCACACTGACACTTTTTCTTTAGTCTTTAAACTTGCTGGCCAACAGAGTATAGCTTAGAAACTGCCCACCATCCTTAATGGATCAACTGCCATTTCTGAACTTATTTTTCCCCTCAGCTAAAAGGGGCAGATTATTTTTTTTATTCCTCAACACATCTACCATACAAAGCAAACACTAACAGGCCGAAGGATTCATCTCCCTCGTGGTGTACATGTGTGTACACATGTGAAGGCACATGTGCCTGTGCCAGAGCCAGTTTTTTTAGGCCCACTATCCTTCAAATACTTCAACTCAGCAAGTTAAAAAAAAAAAAAAAAAGCAAAGTCCACTCTCCAATAATGCATGCTTGTGGGAAGAGCACTAAGAAGGCATGCTGGGTTTAAGAGGCAGGGCACAGCTCAGAAAGCTTGCACATCTGTAAACCTCATGTGTGGGAGGGAACTGAGACAGCTCACACCCCAATGTGTGAGGCATGTGAGACAAACAGGTAAGGAGTCACCTCCTCTCTCCCTCACAGACAGAGGATGTACACAGACGTAGGTCTAAGGAGGCGTGGGGTGATCAGGAGCCTCATCATCTTGTACTCCTGTGTGCATCATCTGTGTCGGGGGTGGGGAGGGTGTCCCATAATAATGCTCACTCTTGCCAACAAGGCCTGTAAGAAGGGCACTAAACAATCTCGACTCTGGATGCTGGGTGAAAAAAAGCAAGGGGGCACATAGCCTATGGCGGGGGGGTGGCACTAGAAAATTCACTCTCCTGTAAGTTGTGTATATAAGAGTGGAATTAAAAAACACACACACTACCATTCAAGGCAAATGGGAGGGTGAACACATCAGATGTCTCAGACTGTGTGTGTGTGTGTAGAAGACTCAAGCCAGCAAACCCTTTGCAGTGTCATGCATGGGTGAAGGAGAGAAATAACAAGAAGGCAAGATGGCTTGCTCTCCCACAGACTCCACAAATAGGAATGGGATCAGGAAAGCTCTCTCTCCTACAGTCAAGACATATAGACGAGTGGTGGAGTCAGCAGGTTCTTCTTTCTGGCACTCTGAGTGTGAGAGGGAAGGAGGGAGGGAGGGAAGTAGAGAAGGCACATTAAGGTTCATTTGCCTGCAAACTTAAAATGTGGGAGGGGGATTGTGAAAATCCACACTCTGACACTTTGGGCCCGAAACGTACCAAGCAGGTCAGAAAGCAGGCGTGCTGCAGGCCTGAGGTAGAAGGCTTGTTTATCTGCACATTTTGTGTGGATCTGCTCAAAAGGAGGCTCACTTTGCAGCACTACGTCTATGTGGGTGCCCACAAAATGGCAGGAGCAGAGGGGGTGGTGAGAGAGTAAGTGAGAAGGGTCCAGTGACCGTACCCCATTAAGTATATATTCCTGTGCATGT
The DNA here is from genome assembly GCF_000001405.40 of Homo sapiens. Classification (NCBI taxonomy): domain Eukaryota; kingdom Metazoa; phylum Chordata; class Mammalia; order Primates; family Hominidae; genus Homo; species Homo sapiens. Next base: position 49,998,333 of record NC_000023.11, on the reverse strand, counting down.
ATGAGCAGGAATATGCAAACAGGAAATGGGGCTCAGGCTGCCATACACCTTCTACACCTGTGTCGTTTGAGCAGTACAGTATAGTCTCAGCTTTGGAATGCCTGGTTCTGCCATTAACAGCTGTGCCTAATCTCCCTATGCCTGCATTTCATCATCTGTAAAATGGGGAGGGCGGGAGTCCCTGATTCTTAGGGTTGTTGCAAGGATTAACCAGGACACTATGACCAGTGCTGAGCTCAGTGTCTGGACACTGCCAGTGCCAAATGTTAACTATCTTTGTTAGCATCAGCAACAGGAAAATGGGCCTCTCTAGGGAAATATCACTCAAAGATCCTCATGAATGCCCCTGACCCCAACTGTTTAGCTTCTCCCTTGTCTGAGGCCAGAAAGGAACTGCTAAAGAGTAGTGAGTTCCAGACTTTATGTTCAACAACTTGGGGCTAAGGGTAAAAGAAAGAGAGAACTAGGGAGATAGACACAGATGGGATCTTCAACAAAAAAATGTTTATTATTGGCCAGGCATGGTGGCTCATGCCTGTAATCCCAGCACTTTGGGAGGCTGAGGCAAGATGATCACTTGAGCCAGGAGTTTGAGCCCAGTCTGGGTAACATAGTGAGACCCCATCTCTACAAAAAAAAAAAAGGCCGGGCATAGTAGCACACATCTGTAGTGTCAGCTACTCAGGAGGCTGAGGTAGGAGGATTGCCTGGGCCCAGGAGATCAAGACTGCAGTGAGCTATGACTGCACCACTGCACTCCAGCCTGGGCAATGGAGTGAGACCCTGTCTCAAAAAACAAGAGTTTATTATTATTTGGAAGTAAAGAAGAAGGTAACAAAATGGATTGAAAACTAGGAAGACTGAATGTATGAGGTCAGGAGGTGAGGAGGTATTGAGGTAAGGTGTGAAGGGTGGGAACTTACAACAGGGACAAGTGGGGGGCAAGATAATAAAGGTATGACTTTGACATCTCTGGTGGAAACACTGCTGATCAGCAGAATGAGCTAGATAAATAACTCCTGAAAAATCCTGAAATAATGGTGTATTCAATGACTTCTGGAGTAAGAAAAACCCTAAAAGAGAGACACACATTTGGGGCTTGATAGGAATAATGTGATTGCTGTCCTCAAGGAGCTTCAAGGGTCTACATCAAGTAAGAGTCCTATGAAAAGTTCTCTGAGATACATCTTAACTCTGACACTGTATGATACAATGAGGACAGAATTAAGCCAGATAAAATGAAAATGCTGAACTACTGATACAAGGCAGTGATGCAAAATGCAAGAATTTAGAGAGGGGGAGGCACTGCTATAGATAAGATGAGTTGGAGTGAAGAGTGACCAAAGGGGATGGAAAAGACAAACACAGATCAGGAGGAGGAGGAGGTAGAGAAAGGTATTTCAGAAGCTAAGGAGAATATATAAAGTTACTACCTAAGGAGGCCACAAAGAAACCAGTTTGGCTGGAGTGGAGAGTTCTGACAGAGAGAAGAGGGTGAATAAGGTCAAGGCCATGCTGTGGTCCTTAAATGCTGCAATAATAATAATGAGGTGGACTATCAGTGTGGTGAGCAACCTCTTAGGAGAGGGAATTTTAGGTGGCCCACCAATGTTGTTCCTCTTACTTAATGTGTCCATTTGACTGTAAAGAGGAATACATTAAAACTAACCCTGACTCATGTTTGCATGGAGTTTATTGCTTGCAGTGAGGCTACATGTTTTAAAATACATGTTTTAATATTTAAAATGAGCTGATTTAAAAGAAGATAACAAGTCCAGATGGACATGAAGACTGTGAAGACAGTAACGCATATCATGGGGTTCGATGCTGCAAAACAGAGCTACAGGCAATGGGCAGTTACCAAAGTTTTATAAGTTGGAGAGTAAAATGCTTCTTCAGGAAGTTTAGTCTAGCAGCAAGTGGAAATATGGATTTGCACCAGGGAAATCAATTTAAAAGCTCAGCTCTCACAACTGACAGATGAGAGAGTTCAGGAGGGCCTGAACTAGGCTGAGTAGAGGTGAGAACAGAAAGGAAGTAATGGGGTGTGGAGTGAGGAGTGATTCAATAGATTTCAAGAGCAGAAACTGGTAATTCATCCTATGTGGTGTTTTATGAAGATGAATCTTACACAGTCTTCGGCACAAGGGTTGAATGAGTATGACAGCTGAGCTGATAGATGAGATAAGCACAAGGGACACTTTGAACAATCTACAGAACTTGGGTAATCAAGCTTGGGCATGATTATGTCAGAAAATGCCAAGGATTCCAGCACTAACACAGAGATAGATAATGGCTTAGGCCAAGACTTAGGTATCTGGAGTCTTAGCACCCTTCACTGAAATGGCCACACTGTATTGCAAAGCACTAAACAACAGAATGCCATATGCCACGTGGATAACAAGGCATTTATTTTGCTACTCTTCATCCTGGGCAAGCTACCTATCCTGTGCTGGTGCTCCTAATATGAAACTCTCATATTTCCCAACCCCTCCAGCTCTAAAGCCAGTACATAACACATGATAAAACTGGCAGCTGAATGAATTTTACTTTATTGCTCAAGGGAAATTTAAACAAAAATGACAACTTGGAAGGACTTTACTCATGAGCTCAAGTCCCCTGTAAAAATAGACACAGTTACACTATTCATTTGCTACATAAACTTATTACGTCTTACCATTTGGTAGATTGGCAGAATGAATAGGTTCATTATCTCTTCATTGATGCTTTTCTTAGGAGCTGTCAAGCCTTTACACTCTACATTTCCTCCAAGAACCCACTCTAAGAATGTCTCTGCTATGACTCGCTCACATAGCACTTAGACACATCCTGCCTTGCATTCCAGTTACTTGCACTGTGCTTTATCTCTCCCAGAGGGAAGGGACTGACTTTACCCTTGCTCGGAAGCCTCAGCTACAAGGTAGAAACTCCGTAACTATTTTCGAAAGAATTCTGTTTGCTTGGTTTAGTACAGCTACTCCCATTCTGTTTGAAGTATTGCCATTTCACGGGCCCAAAAATGTCTTATCAGCAGCTATCCAAATTACTTCCCCTTCGCCATTATTGTGCAAGAATATATGGATAAAGTGACTTACTAATTCAGGAAGATTTCAGGGCGTGTCGGGTTTAGGGACACACACTCCATCCTTCAGTCACTGTTCTGCCCAACCACCCACCTAAGGTGTGGTGACTACTAGAATGACAAATGCCGCCTACACCTTACTCTGTAATTCTAAAATGTAAGCTTAGGAATACGTCTTGATCTGAATTTAGGTCCAGGAGGCAAGATATATTGAGTTGAAGGTTAATCTTTATTTTCTCAATGGGTTAGAGAAGAAAAAAACAAATTAGACAATCTGGGGAACCGGATTATAGTTCCAACCCCATTTCACTGACTTGAGTTGAGCCTCAAGAGCGAGAGGCTAATGTTTCTGCATCTTAGTTGCATCATACCAAAGTTGATATGAATATTTGTTTGGAGGGGTAAAAAGCCTGCTGAAACTTGGTGGAAGAATTCACCCAATCGTGTTTAACTGCTGTGACCTGCTGTATATCTGTTAAGAGAATATGCATAAACTTCTATCTTATGCTGTCCCTAGGGTTTATGCAGCAGAAGAGTCATGGATAAGATGCTTCCAGGAATATCTATCCTCTTGGAATAGAGCACAAAACTGAATAGGAGTGTATCAAATTCTGTACTATTGCAGGTTGTGTTATAATGAGATTCTAACTTTGCATGGCAAATGGGCTTAATATATACTAGACTTTAATACAGCTAAAAGGATTTTTAACTTCCTACTCTCCTCAATTTCTTCTTTTGGCATCTGACATAAGATGACTCCCTAATTCCTGAAATGCCCTTTTTAGCTTATATTATATGGTACAGTATTCTGGTTCTCCTACTACCTCTCTGATCCTTCCTTCAATATTTGTTGCCACTTCTTCCTTCCTCAAGGTTCCTATTGTGGCTAGCCCCCCACCACCACTCCACCTTGCCCCACCATACATCTGTCTAATCACCTTTCTCTGAATTCTATTATGGGTTACAGACATCATTATTCTCAAATAACTTCCAAATTCTAAAAATCTATTCCTGCTCTCCCATTCAAGCCACAGCATATTTTAAATTACCACCAAATAAAAAGTTTGACACTTGAAAAACATACCTAAACACATTACTGCTCCCCAAAGCAGATTTCTTTCTCCCCAAATTCTCTGCTATCACAATTGCTATTTTGATGTCACCTACTTAGAATGTCGATTCTCTTTTGCTCCCTCCTCTTTTAACCCCGGTATTTAATTTGGTACCAAGTCCAAACTTTCTTGTTTGCAGTATTTTGTATTTATTCCTTTACTTTCTATCCCTATTTTTCTCACTGATGTCCTGGCCTTTTCCTTAGGTTATTACTCTCCAAGGCCATTCCCTGTGGTTGGCCACATTCCATCTCTAACTCCCCTGCCCTGCTTCCCAGCTGCCCCACAGATCTCTTCTCAAGTCAAGCCAATTTCCTCATGGTCAGCCCCCACACCCACCTCTAACCAGACTTGTGTTACTGGGCCAGACTGGCCCAAATATTAACTGTCTTTAAAGGCTAGCTCAAGTCTCACTTCTTTCATGATATTTTCCCTTTCCTAAACTCCCTTAGGACAATGCCACTCACTACTTTATTGTGTTCTCATTGAATAATAAGCACAACAGAACCAGGATTCAGGCAAATTTACTCAGACCCTCCTTCACAATGCTAGATACACAATAGTTGCTCAAGAAATGCTTTTGGATTATATGATGATTACCATTCAAACTATATTATTTACTGTAAAACCTCTGCTCTTATTTCTCTCCCTAGTGATTACACATTGAATCTGGAAGAGCCAACGAAAGGACACTCTGGACCCCCTCCCTACTCCTGTCCTGGCTTTGGAATTTAGCACATGAAAAACACATATCACAGGATACTAAAAGTCCACAATTTTAGAACTTTAGTAACAAAAGAGCACAAAATCCAGCTAGATACTTCCCTTATATGTGGAAAAACTGCTTTTTCCCCCTTGAATTCAGGTTTAAACAAAGCCCTTAAATTAAAAAGCAAGGACAACCGGAAACCCTTCCTCTCCAGGTCTCTTAGGAGATGCTGCTCTGAGGTTGACCTTGGTGGTGGAGAAGGTGGGTGTGGGGAGGAAACCTTAAATGCCTAGAATCCACAGCTCAAGCCAAGGAAGGAAGAGACCCAAATCCACTGGGGCCAGCACATCTCCCTCTAATGCCAGAAGTTCACAGGAGTCTCACTTCCTAACTTGTCCTGCTGGATTCTTAAATCTGCTTAAACTATTGTATTGCTTAACCCATCACCCAGCCACCAAATAACAAGTTCTCCCTAGTTAGCTCAAGGAAATGACAGCACACCAGTTACACACCCTACTGTACTCTGCCTAACAGTAACTGCAACAGTTAGATTTTTATGGGTCAGCAGAACTTTATAAACTACTTTATAAACCAAGGAAAAATTATAGCTCTACATATATGCAAACCTTTATAATGGCAGTATATCCCTTAATTAATCATATGGGTAAGTAAATTACTTGCATTAAAAGCATCCTAAAAAAGTTCTTGGCTTGCCTCAAGGTTAATGGAACACTGAGTTAAGAAATTATTGCTAGGGGGAAAAAATAAAGAAAACAACATGCCGAACACTCAGCATATTGTCCTAGCGAAGTGTTAGTTAAGCTGCAATAGACTTTAGCAGTGTAAGCATTTTTCTCCTCAACACAAACTGTAAGTACAATATTTAAGTATTTCTTCTCTTCTTCCTTTTTATTCCTAAACTTTGGTTTGGAGATTCTGCCAGTGATGCACCTGGACAGTCACTGGGAATTTTAACAGGGGTAATGATTAAAATGTCAGCCCTACAAACCACATAGGGCTTTTAAGGAGAAAACAGGCAGATTTTCTAGCCATGGGTACTTTATGAGAGTTGTGTATAATCCTAGGGTAGGACATGAAACTGCATGTCAGAATTCATCCCTTGAAAGCTGAAAGAAAGCAGTAATGGTGGGAAAATGGGGAGCTGAGAACATTTTTGTTATTTTTCCAAGCTGAAATTTGGAAGGCAAAAAAAAAAAAAAAAGAAAAAAAGAGAGGGAGAGACCCCAAGAGAGAGACCCCGGGACCGTTTTGCAGATTCTATGGCACAACTCAAGAAGATGTAGCCAGCCAGCTCATAAATTTACCACTAACCACAACTAAATATAATTCAAAACACCTGGAAAGCTTTTTAAAAAAATAAATGAACTGAAAGACCCTATAGATTTGGGCTGTTGTCAGAATTTGTGCTGCCAGACAGATGGCGTCAATGCTCTCAGGACAATGAGACAAGTCAAAGGCTTAATTCATTCAACTGAGCAGCACCTCTGCACATGGATTACTATTTACACTTCATAACATACACACCCACTAACGCCATATGTTTAAGAAGACATCGCTGGGGCTGTGAAAGAAAGGAAAGAAAGTTCCCAGTGAAATTCTCACCACCCTTGGATACACGGGTGTCTTCACTTTCTGGTAAATCATGGAGCTGTAACTGGATTTGCACACTGTTTTGTAGGTGTGTTATATGTTAACAGGAAAGTTTTAAAACCCCTTGACATCCTTTGGCTAAACTTGTAGCATTATTAAACACCTTGCCAGAAAAACTCTTCTAGACATTGGCTTAGGCAAAGAGTTCATGACCAAGAACCCAAAAGCAAATGCAAGAAGAACAAAGATAAATAGATGGGACTTAATTAAACTAAAAAGCTTCTGCACAGCAAAAGAAATAATCAGCAGAGTAAACAGACAACCCACAGAATGGGAGAAAATTTTCACTAACTATGCATCTGACAAAGAACTAATATACAAAATCTGCACAGAACTCGAACAAATCAAGAAAAAATAATAATCCCCTCAAAAAGTGGGCTAAGGACATGAATAGACAATTCTCAAAAGAAGATATACAAATGGCCAACAAACATATGAAAAAATGCTCACCACTAATTATCAGGAAAATGCAAATCAAAACCACAATGTGATACATCTTACCTCAGCAAGAATGGCCATAATTAAAAAATCAAAAAATAATAGATGTTGGCGTGGATATGGTGACAAGGGAACACTTCTACACTGCTGGTGGGAATGTAGACTAGTACAACCACTATGGAAAACAGTATGGAGATTCCTTAAAGAACTAAAAGTAGATCTACCATTTGATCCAGCAATCCCACTACTGAGTATCTACCCAGAGGAAAAGAAGTCATTATATGAAAAAGACACTTGCACACGCATGTTATAGCAGTACAATTTGCAATTGCAAAAATATGGAACCAGCCCAAATGCCCATCCATCAACAAGTGGATAAAGAAAATGTGGCATATACATATATGCCATGGAATATTACTCAGCCATAAAAAGGAACGAAATAATGGCATTTGCAGCAACTTGGATGGAGTTGGAGACCATTATTCTAAGTAAAGTTACTAGGAATGGAAAGCCAAACATCATATAGTCTCACTTATAAATGAGAGCTAAGCAATGAGGATGCAAAGGCATAAGAATGATATAATGGCTGGGTGTGGTGGCTCATGCCTGTAATCCCAGCATTTTGAGAGGCCGAGGCAGGCAGAACACTTAAGGTAAGGAGTTTGAGACCAGCCTGGCCAAAATGGTGAAATCTCATGTCTACTAAAAATACAAAAATTAGCTGTGTGTGGTGGCGGGTGCCTGTAAGCCCAGCTACTTGGGAGGCCAAGCCAGGAGAATTGCTTGAACCTGGGAGGTGGAGGTTGCAGTGAGCCAAGAATGCATCACTGCACTCTGGCCTGGGTGACAGAGCCAAGACGAAGACTAAGATGAAGAAGAAGGATACAATGGACTTTGGTGACTTGTGGGGAAGGGTGGGAGGGGAGTGAGGGATAAAAGACTACACATTGGGTACAGTGTACACTGCTCAGGTGATGGGTATACCAAAATCTCAGAAATCACCATTAAAGAACTTATCAAGCCCAGCTACTTGGGAGGCTAAACCAGGAGAATTGCTTGGACCCGGGAGGCAGAGGTTGCAGTGAGCCAAGATCGTGCCACTGCACTCCAGCCTGGGCGACAGAGCGAGACTCTGTTAAAAAAAAAAAATTATCCACATTACCAAATGCCACCTGTTCCCCCAAAACTATTGAAAAACAATTATAAATAAATAAATAAATGAAAGGGGAAAATACCCACCTTGCCATACAAATGCTTATTCCAGGAATTTGGAATAAACTCACTGGTTGAGATGGAAATGCCACTGCTTATTAATTACCGACCCTGAAACTAAGTACATAACGGAGAAATGATTCATTGATCAAGGAGTGTGCAGACTGAACCACTTAACCTGAAACAGGTTAATTCAGCAATTTCCAAATTTTGGGCAACTGTAATACTCTCTTAAAGGTTCCTCTAACCTCTAAAGAGAAAAAAACATTGCATGGCATGTGAATATGAATGTTAATGGAAATTGGGGTAAACAGAAAACAATTTTTAAAGTTTCACATTCTCAACATGTGACACTCCATGGAACCATAAAATCAGATCCGGCAATAACTGGTCTGAATAAGCAGAAAAATGACTATGAAAGGCACTAAACCAAAACCTGTGCCATAGTCAGCACCATACAGTAGCCAAAAGGTTATGTCACAGGGCAATGTTGGAAAGTAGGTGCTCTGTATGTTCCCAGACTATAACCAATCAACTTAATATACTTTTTAAATAAATGTTTTAATGAAGTGCCTACTATGTATTATAGAAGACACATCTTTTGGAGGAGAGAAACATATTTTTATTTGGATAGAAGATTCATTTATTCATTTAACGAATATGTATCAAGGGACTTAAAAGGCTAGGTGCTAGGATATAATACGTTTTTTGTGGGAAGGACACACACTTTATACCCTTTAGTATCTCAGGCTACTTGCAAAGGCATTGAGTGGGTAGGACTAACAGAGATGGAACAATTATAGAAAAATAAAAATATGAGCCTGGGCAACATAGGGAGGCCCCGTCCCTACGAACATGTTTTTAAAAAAATTAGCCACATGTGGTGGTGCACACCTGTGGTCCCAGCTTCTCAGGAGGCCAAGGCAGGAGGACTGCTTGAGCCCAGGAGTTCCAGGCTGCAGTGAGCCACGATCATGCCACTGCACTCCAGCCTGGGCGACAGAGAGAGAACCTGTCTCCAAAAAAAAAAAAAAAGAGGTATGATATTAAGTGTAAGTAGAGCAGCAGGAGTTCAAGGAAGGGGTCTATTAAGTATAGCCTTGTATAGTTGCAGCGTGAACCCACCTGGGGCTCTCTAGCATGGGCAGGTGAGGTTGCTGAAAAAGACAGGGCATTCCAAGCTAGGACAGGGAGAGTCCAAGCAAAAGGCAAGGCAGTGTGAACGAACAGGCGGCAAAGCTGTGCTACTCCTAGTATGGCACAAGGACAGGTGCCAGCCCCCACACTCCATATTATCAGTGTTTACAGAGATAAGAAAGGAAACTAATAAGCATTTAGGGACTTTTATACCAATTTGACAGAGTAATTTTATGTTCATTAATCTAATAAAAATGAAGCTTATATTTTATATGGCTTTATAATTTTCTTCTTCTAATGATTTTTATTGTACTTTGCAAAAGTATCTGTCTATGACAGTTTACAAGTTAAAAAAAATTAAAAGAGCAGGTCTTTCAGCACAGCTGCCTTGAGAAAGAGTGGTGGTACTGTCATTCGAGGGGCTAGGGTGTGTATAGAGAGCCGGGGGAGGTAAGGACGGATAAATGAGGTGAGGCAAGATTACCAAGGACTTGAAATCCAAGCACACAGAAGAATTTATACTGGAGCCAATAAGCACTGGAAAGTCACCCTAGGTTCATAAATAAGGAAGTCACATAAAGAATGCAGTTATTTTATAGGGCAGAGTCTGGCAGCAGTTTCTTGCGTTTGATTGGAAGGGAGAACAATCTCTCAGGAACTAAAGGGATTAGAGTAACTTGGAAATAGTGGTGAGGAGGCTGAACCGGAATCACCCCTGGCCTGGGTGATGGACAATATAGCACTGGAGAACAAGGGGCAAAGCTTAGATACGCTAACTTTCTGGGGGTAAAAAAGGAAAAACAGGACTCTGAGGTTTCTTGCTGGAGGCCAGACATAAAAAGGCCTTGCTTCTCTAAAAGAGAAACTTAAGCCTTGACAGAGAATGACAAGAAAAGACAGACTACTGAGGAATGCAGGGGACTCAAAACACTGAATTATTTGGAGGATGGAGGAGTTTTTCGGCAGTGTCAGGGGGCCTAGGGGTATAACCATAGAAAGCAGGAAAGGGTGTAAAAGCATCACTTTAAATGCCAAAACTCAAGTCTGTATAATCTGCAAATGAATCTATCACATTTCTACCCTGGGATTCCTTTGCACTGTAGTGAGCATATTAAAATAGCCGCTTGCACAGGACCATGGTTGAGGGGAGGGCCATTCTGTAAAGGTCTAAACAGCAATGCTTCCCTGGGCTTCCCTTTCACAGGCACAGGCAACAGAAATGTTACCCAAGATTTAATAGAGCCTAATTAAGATGCCCCCTCTGTTTAGGGGACTTCCAGGAAGAATGTTTTATTATGCCTTGAAAACACCATCATATAAAGTTGACAATTACAACACCAGTGGTCTGTGAACATTCAGTTTGTGGCACATAAGTACTTCCAAGGGTATCTTATAGGAAGGAATATGGTTTTTCCCCCTTGCCATACTTGTACCTGTCAGAGGTTGATTCTTAGGGATTTAATAAGCAGTATTTAATAGACTTTTTATACAAGTGTGTTGCTATTAGTAATTTTCTAAAAGAACATACAGATAAACTTCTCCCCAAATCTGATTGAGAGATGGTCTTACTGGATAAGATACCATCCACCTTCTATGAGAAATGTACTGCTTACTCTCCAAAGGGGTTATCTTGACCTAAAGGTGGGGGGACTACCAACAACTTTGGACAAGTTTAGAAGATAGCAAAAAACTATGTGGCTGCAGTCTCCTAAAAAGAGGTCATACTTCTAGAAATTTCAATAAACAGGTGATGTCAATGGACTTTGGCCAATGAAATATTTTAGGAATATAAGGTGGGATGGGAGTACCTATGAGAATAAGAATATGTCATTTCAAAAAATGTGTTGGGCAATATAAGCTAATTCCCTCATCAGCATTCTGATGCTTTGGGCTTTTGGCTTATTCTACACCTGCGTTAACTGTTCCTGAACATGCCATGCATTTTTCCTTATTACATAATCTTCTGTTTTTGAAGATTATCAAGTTCAGCAGCCTCTTCTAAATAAAAGCAAGTATATATACCTTACACCAGCATTTTCTAAACTGTGAATTATGTAACACTTGGTTCTATAAGAGGTTTCTATGTGTTCCTTAAAAAATGAAGTATGATTGTCCCATGATCAAGAAAAAATTGGGGAAACATACAAATGGATTAAAAGCCATGAGAAGTCCCACAGTAAAGAAACATTAATTTTTTCATTTAACTCATCATTTTGGAAATAATCTACTAGTGGAAAGAGGAAGGTAGATTCCTAAGAATTTTCTTCAATAACTGACATTTTTTGTATATTAAAAATGAGAAATGATGGAAAATTAAGCCATACATACAAAGGAAACTCTTAATCATCTGAAAGTTATACAACTTATGAATGTGCTAAATATCATATCTGCTAACATAAAGATTGAAAGACCCAAAAGATTTTAGAAACTTAGACAAATAAATCTTTATATACGTTCAGCTAAGGAAAAAACAATTTATTTTCATGTCACTGAAAGAAAATTTCATGTAGGCGTTTTTAAAACATGTTAATTGTTACTAAATAAAGAAAATGACTTAAAAAAGTAGTACAAGAAGCCAGACATCTGGGCAGATGGCGCCTTTGAAATTAAATACACCATTTTTTAAAATCTGGAAGAATAACAAGGATTATTAATAAAAAATAATCACGATAGGACTCAATTACTGTAATTGTTTAAGAAGTAAGCCAGGTCCAATTTTAAAAGCTTTACAATACTAGAAGTAGATAAGCAAAGTCACCATGATAGGGTGAAGAGAGCATCAATTAAGATAACATAGGAAAGACCACAAGAAAAACAAATAGAATAAGATGGACGGCCTAACAACTACCTAAGAAAGACTACAGTTCTATGGCAAATAACCAATACATTATTACAAATAAAAGAAAGTGTTGCACACAGCACTAAAAGGAATCAAAGCCACAAGATAAATTAAGAAATTAAGGTTATCTTTTCATATCATTAAATCATCCCTCAAATTTACTAGAGTATGAATTTAAAAAGAAAAGTTCACTGCTAAGTTAAAAATGTAAGATAATTATAATGCTAAATTTTATGTATTAAATATTAATTAGAAATTGGATTAATAAAATCTGACTCTAGTTATAAAAATACATGTTTAAAATGGTTACTCTCTCTTTGAACTCTAGGTATTTGAAAAGTAAACAAATTAATTAATTAAATGGTTACTCCCTTTAAGTTTGTTAATGCAAATAAAAAGAGCAAGATATTAGTCACAGAATCTGAAAAAAAGTACATCTTAAACCAAAGCACAAGGACACTATAAAATGATAAAGGAAACAGGAAGTGATTTTTTAAATATCCAGTAAATTTTTAAAGATCTAATGATTTTTTATAAAACAAAAAACTGATCAATTCAATACGACAGAGACAAACACAATCCTAGAGATTATTCCATTAGCTGAATGAGGAATCAAATTAGCAACAAAAACAACAATGAAAGAATTCAGTATATCTAAACCAGACAATACAATATAATCATCAGGTTTATATGATTTGATTCATGTAAAAATATTTGGGAAAATGTTCTTTCTCACAATAATTTGTCATATAGTCAAACACAAAGACATTCTCAATATGAAATGGCAGGATTTCTACACAGCACAAGACAGTAAGATAGGAAATGGGATATAAGAACACAATCCAACCACATAGAAATCATAAAAATATCTTTCTTAAATGGCAACTGAATAAAGAACTAATTAAAATACAATCAAGGAATCAAAATGTATCCATAGCTCTACACGCCTGTATTAAGAAGTTTGAAAAAACGAATAAAATTGATAAACTGCCAGTACAATTAAATAAAGGAGAAAAGTAGACAAATTATTCACCTTAAAGATATATTTTAGTTATACTTACTAAAAAACTATTTAAATCATTAGGGAATTCCATATGTAAATATGCCACAAATCACAAAAAGGAGTAAGTTTCTCAAACAACAACAGCAAAAAAAAAACAGCCCAAGTACTCAAAATGAGAGAAAGAATCTAAATATACCAAAGAAATAAGCAATATTGCCAGGCACGGTGGCTCACCCCTCTAATCCCAGCACTTTGGGAAGTCAAGGTGTGAGGATATTCGAGCCCAAGAGTTTGAAACCAGCCTGGGCAACATAGTGAGATCCCGTCTCTACAAAAAAAAATTTTTTAAATAGTTGAGTGTGGTGGTGCATGCCTATTGTCCTAGCTGCTCAGGAGGCTGAGGTAGGAGGATCACTTGAGCCCCAACGTTTGAGACTACAGCGAGTTATGATTATGTCACTGCCCACCACACTCCACTCTGGGCAACAGAGTGAGACCCTGTAGAAATAAAAGAAAAAAACAAAAAAGAAAAGAAGAGAAGGAACGAAAGAGAAAGAGAGAGAAAGAAAGAAAGAAAAGAAATAAGCAATATTATCAACAAACTTCAAAAGAAACAAAAAAGACACAAGCAGTTCAAATATTAAATAAATAATAATCTTACAGTACAAATGGTTCCTAAAATTGTTCTATCAAACTTATTTTCATGAAACTAAGGTCAGCTTGATTACTAAACCTGATCTATGGCTAAAATCTCACAAGGAAAATTATAGATTGTTCCTATTTCTGGACATTGATGCAAAATTCTAAATACAATATTAGCAAGCTATACATCAACACTTTAAAAGAATTGTTTGTCATGATCAGTTGGATTTTAGTCTGAGGTTGCATGGCTGATTTTAAATAAAGACAATTCATAAGAAAAACAGTAAAAACACAATTAAGTGAATAAATAGGGTAAAAAATCTAAAAATTCAACATTTGTTTCTAATTTTAAAAGTAGGATTTTTTATTATCACAAATATGATATGTCTGAAAGAAGTCAATGTTATTAAGAGAGACACATTAGAAGTAGTCATCTAAAATAAAGAAGAAAAACCCCAAAAAGATATCCAATCATCATTCCTAATTAACTGTGTTAGAAAATGTTGACCATTGTAAGCAAGTAGGAAAAATAAATGAGTAATGTAAGAAGATAAAATAAAAACAACACCATTTGCACAATATATAAGTAATTACATAACCTAAAAGGCCAAGATGTTTGATAAACAAAGTTAAAAATAATGAGTTCAACAAAGGCGCAAATTATAAAACCACAAAAATCTATTGCATTCCCACTCCAACAATAAATATCTACTGAATACAATTAGAAGGGCAGAAATCCCTTTTACCACAGCAGCAACCACCAAAGTTTTATATTTTTAATATATATTATATTATGTATATTAATATATTTTATATTATTTTATAATACATTATGTATATTAATATATTTTAATATATCTCATATATATTTTACCCTGTATACATATACACTGTGGAGACTAAGCATGGCAAAGAGGACAACAGGTTAGGCCTTCCTTTCCACCTGGACACTTGCTGAATCCTGTCAATGTTACCTCTGTAGTATGACAATATGACACACAAAAAGCTTCCCATCTAAATACAAAGTTAATGCCAGTTCCTCAGAACAAGAGGTTAGAAGCAGATGGTTTGTATAAAAGGAATGAATAAAATGAAGCACAAGTAAATGAGTATGAAGTACCATATTCACTCATCGTGTTAGTAAAAAAATAAAGAGAAAACCAAATAACTGTGGGGCTATGTGGATAATGAAGATACTCAAACTGTTTATACTACAGCATATACCAACTGTATTGTTCTGAGCTAATACTCCCAGTTCAGAGAACAGTTGTCCCCCCAAATAGACCTCTCATCTTCCATCTTGTACAAAAGATGTTCCTCACAGCTGTATTCATGATTTATTTTTAAAATCCCAGAGATGTGATTGAACCAACTCTGATGTAGCATTTATTCTCCTCACTCACTGATCATTTGTTTTGAGTGATATGCACGTGAACAAAACATGCAGTCTCTGCACCAAATTGTAATGTTAATTACGTGCAGTCTTTTGTATACCAGTTATACCACAATAATGCTGGGGGAAAAACATCCAGTCTCTGATCTCAAGGAATCTATGTGATATTATTTAATTTAGCTATTAAAATAAGTATTTGTAGCACACTAATACATGGAAATGAATGTACAAAATAACATTAGTTGGAAAAGTCTATAATAACAAAAAACCGTATCCCAGTGATAAAAGCAATGTGAAAATATTTTCTCTCTACACACACACAAACAGAAACAAAGGAGAAAGACAAGAATTTGTAAGAGATGGACAATAATATATATAGTTGCCATTTTAAACGTGTAAAATAGTTTTCCATACACGCACACAAGCTTGCACTGCATCTTTTAGAATGCTTTCAATAGCAACGTTTGGCATTATTTAGTTGCTTCTATTCTAGAGCCGTACCTCTTAAGAGGGGGCTAGCCTTTATGTGTATGTAACTCAGTATACTCCTCTTTTTTCTCTCTCCTGTGTTTCTCTTTTAATTGCCAATAACATAAAACTGAAGTACTTCTTGTAAATTACTTGCTGCATTTACTGAAAAGGGGGGTTTATGTTCTCTTTTCCTAATTTTAAAACCAGATGAATTGAACAAGTTCTATTTCTTTACTTTGTAACAGTTGCTTTTTTCCCCCTCAGCAACCTTAATTGAATTTTTTTCAGCGGGTCAGTGGCCCTTGATTGAATTAAAAAAAAAAAGAGTTCTTCAGTCTGGTTTTATATGATGCTATTTGTTGGAATATAAAAAGAAATCCTGAAAGAAGACATTACAAGTCTCCCATCAGGGGCAGAAGGCTCCTCTACATTTATGCTACCCTGGGCCCTTCAAGTCATTCAAAGGGATTTTATAATGTTTATTCTTAAAACTTCCAACTGTTTTTTTTTTCCCCTAAATGCCACCTGCATTAAAAGCAATGTTTTGTCTCTGTTGCTGCTTTGCAAAACAGCATAAAATTAGCAGGGCAAAACAGAGGACGAAATGAGCAGGGTTGATAATGGCAGTAAAAGGGAAAAGAGTAACTGCCACTAAAGCCAGGATAATCGCCCCCAGATCCCCTCCAATACAGACTGACTGGCTCTAGTCAGAAGCATTACAAAGTCCTAAGACTCAGAGGCAAAAGTACACTGGGTGTGAAGACTTAAACTGATTTCCTTAATGATGCCACTAAGAGTCTGATGAATTGAATCTTGAGAACCTTTATTATATTGGTTTCAGCTTCATATTTAGCTTATACACAATTAATTGTAGTCCAAATACATTATTCTCTGAGTTCTTTTGCTTTTCACTCTCAAAAAAAAAAAAAAAGGTTCAATGGCTGCTGAGTCTGGCTGCTAGTAGTAGAAAGGAATAAATTTAGTAATATTTAGATTTAAAGGCTGAATCTTGAAAGACTTGACTTTAATACTTTAAAACTTCACTTAAAAATAAGTAAATAAATATAATTAAAAACCTGCTAAGACTGAGATGCTAAAGCTGAGGCATGGAAAAATGAAAGAAAATATCCATAGTATTTTCTGATGCAATTTCAACATGTAGTTTTGTTTGTTTGATCATCATTTTGTGGTTGGGGTGTAGCATAAGGGTTGGATTTCCAGATTAAAAAGTAAAGAAAGACATGTGTAAGGCTCAGAGACAGGGGAATGCATTAACCATGAAATCAGAAATTAGAATAAGATTCAAGCAACTTCAGCTGTGTGGGAGAATGGACACTGGAAAAAGAATTCACATAACCTTTTTGGATTATAGTGTAGAGAAATAACGGCTCATTGGGGAAAAAAACTTTTAATAAATGTTATTGGGGAAACAATTAAAATTCATTCCAGATGAGTCAAGGATTCAAGCTTTTTTTAATTATGAAGAACTGTAAGAAAATGCAATGTTGCATTTACACTCAATGTGTGAGAGAAATTCATTAATACCAAAGCAAAAAATGAAATGGTCACCTATGCGTGATGAATATGACTACATAAAGTACATTTTGCAATTATAGAGGCAGTACAATAAAAGTACATTTAAAAATTAAAAAGTTTAAAAGGAAAGCAATATAGATAGAAGTAGCCATGATTTTGATGGAGAAATAACTTAATATAGAAAATAATAAAGTTCTGATACACCCTTATGGTTAATACTACTTTCCCCTAGATAAGTGGTTAAAGATATAAAAACATTACACCAACAAGAAAGGAACACTAGAAAATGTTCAGCCTTATCAGCAATGAAAACCCTGTACACCTATTAGCTTCCTAATAAAACTAAATGGTATGTCATATTTTATTTTCCTGAAAAGCAATACCAGTTATTAAGGATACAGTACTCTATTGGCTCTAGATGAATTGGTCAAAGAAACAAATACTGGAGAGAAAACTCCGTATTTTCAGTCATTGGCATTTTATATACTGGTCATTTCCATGCACCACTAGGACTGCTTTGTAACTTTCAATGCATATTTTCAGCAGTTCAGTTTCTTTCAGATTTTTTTAAAATTTCAGATTCATTTTTAGTCATTTATGCCTAATCTATTTGTTAGGCAACCTTTCATACATTTTTCTCCATTTTATTTCAGCCATTAAGTGAAACTGCTTTTGGAAATTTGGCTGATATTAATGTTTCCAATCACAAGTCCATTTATCCATAAATAGTTTTTGTATACTTCCTTGTTATTTTACAGTATTTAAAATATACTTTTAAAAAAGCATTTTGGGCTGTTTTAAATTATTTTGCTTCACTAAAGCCAATATAGGCTTTAGTGAGAAACAGAGCTTTCAACAGAGTTGAGGGAATGGCTGAATTTTTTGTTAGGTATTCCTAAAAGTAGGATTAGATTTAGATACTATTTTAACACTGTAGTGTAAAATTAAGGGAGACATATATAGACATATAATTCAGCATTCCAATAATCATAGGTATATTTATATCTTTAACCCTAAATACATTAGACAGTACTAGATTTTTAATATGATTAGTTAGTATTTATAAAAGTAAAGTTGCTTCAATATGCAGGAATTATAGAAAAAATAAAGCAGAGAAAGCAGAGCTTAAGGTAAAGCCAGCAAGGCAGCAGAATTTTTTTTTTAAATCATGTTGGTCAAAGGATACAAAATTTCAGTTAGATAGGGGAAACAGGTTCAAGAATCTATTGTACAATAATGGTGAATGTTCTCATCACAAAAAAGCATATGTGAAGTGATACATATGTTAGTTAGCTTGATTTAGCCATTCCATAATGTACACCTTTCAAAGCATCATGTAATACATGTGAAGTGATACATATGTTAGTTAGCTTGATTTAGCCATTCCATAATGTATACCTTTCAAAGCATCATGTAATACATGATAAATATATATAATTTTTATTTCTCATTTAAAATGAATCACCTGAAAGTTTACCTAATATTGGAGGAAAATTTTAAATTCCAGGAAGACACTGACAAACAAATTGAGTTGGCTGTCAGAAAATGAATTATATTTTGTTAAGTAGGAAGAATGGACAGAAATTATTCAAAGCAGGTAAAAAGCTTCAGAACTACCCTGTGATACACAGAAATGAGCAATATACGAGACTTATAGACAAGTTCATTCTTTCAAACAAATCATCTTTTTCTCAAATGTTTTCTCATTGATCAGTGATCAAATAAACTCTGGTGTATTTGTGAAGGACTAAACTCTAGCCATCAAAAGTGAAAAATGATCAATGTGTGTCATATGGTGGGGAGTGTGGGAGAGGTGGGCTATAAGCAAGACTTTACTAAAATAAAGGGAGAAAAGAAACATCTTTTTTGGTAAAAACAACAAGGATACAAAGAGATTACAGAGTTGTATAAATAGTAGGTACTTTGTAGGGAAGGTATTCCCTTCTTTCTTTTAAGGTATTTCAGCATACAATTAAAAAATCATGGTATCTTCAAGCTATTTTTGCTTATTTCAGAGGATGACATTCCCTTTATCCTCTCCAAAGTTGGCCCCCATCCTGTGTTTTGATTATCTTCTTCCTCACCTTTGTGGAGGTTGTGCTTCAACTGTCCCCACCAGACCTCTACATCTCCAGTGATGTATTTAAAACAAGACCACAACACCCCTTTAATCATGCTATCCCCTCCGGCAATCCCCCACCCTTCCACACATACTTTGTTCCTAACTTTATCTTCCACATTGGTTTTTAAAAAGTCCACCCTCTTGGGAGAGTCTACAGGCCAAACCTACCCTCTCTCAACATTACATTCACTAAATAAAAGGCACACTTAAAATAGGTTAGAGGTTAAAATCATTCTGTAAGAATTTTCAAAAAGAGATTTTAAGACTAGCAGGCAGCAGCTACAAGAGAGACAATTAACATGGACATGTTTTTTAAAAAAATCAAAACTGTATAAGAAAGGAAATGAAGCCTTACATTATGTTTTCCAAAGTGTTTTCCTATTGGTTAGGGTCAAGGAAATCTTGTAAGTACATTGTATTTGTAGAAGAAATCTTAGACATGCTCTAATATAACACTTTTATTTTTATAGATGAAGACACTGATGCCCAGGGCTGTGTTAATGCTGGCTACTGAGCCCATGCTCTGTGCCAAGCAAGTGCTTTACATGCATCCTCTCATATAAGTCTCAGGACAATCGCCATTCAATGGTTGAGGAAACTGACTCAGAGCAGTTAAGTAATTTCCCAAAGGCAGTATGGGACAAGCTACATAATCTGTGGGGCCCAGTGCAAAATGAAACTGTAAGGTCCCTTACTCAAAAACTATTAAGAATTTCAAGACAGCGAGAGCAGAGGATTAAACCCTGCACACACAGGCCCTTCCAAGTGCCCAGCCCTGTGAGACTGCACAGGTTGCATGCCCATGAAGTCCACCCTGGGTATATCATTAGTAAATGTGGTAGAGCTGGAGCTTAAACCTACTTCCCTCAGATCTCAGCGTCCTTACCTGTACTCACTACTTTATTCTGCCTCCTGGGGAATTTAAGGGATCCGCTTACCCAAGGTCATACCGTTGGTTTGCAACAGAGATAAAATCTGAACGCAGGCAGCTTGACTCCAGTTTGCCTGTGGCCACAAAAGACCCTTTTGCGCCCTGTCTCTCTCCCAGGTGATTGAGATCAGCTAGTTATGGGCAGCTGGGTAGGAGCAGCTGTCACCATCACAGCTGAATCGGCTTGCTGCTGCTGGCTAGCCCAGCCCTGCCCACCACCTGCTCTACAACTCTAAAATCGGCCTGTGTACAGCCTGGGCTTCTGGAGGGGGGAAAGAAAAGACACTAGGAGATGAGAGGGTGAGTGCTCTTTTATTCTTTTTCTCACTCCAGAGGTCCTCTATGGGAGGAGTCTGAACACAGATATTTCGAAAAAGTCCCCTTATGGTCCTCATATACAACCTTGGGTAATGACTACATATTAGTCTGATAAGAGAAATGAAGGAGTCTCAGATACCTCTAAGAATGTGACAACATATGGCAACTGTGTCACTGTGGAAATTACACTAGATTTGGAGGGAAACATACCAGGGTTTAGAATTCCCCTCCAGACACTTATTTGATGTCAGACTTTGGCCACATTGTTTCACTTCTTTGAGCCTCAATTTCCTCATTTATAAATTGCATATACACCATCGATTTCCCTGGGCTGTGAAGTGTGCACTGTGCTTGACACATATATATTCACAAATTTTGAAAAGACTGAGAAAAAGTCCCCTATGCACAATAACTTTTTTAAAGGGTATATTCAATGTTAGGGAGCACTGCCCTAATATATTCATTTTATAAGGGAAACAAATCCCTAACCTCAGCGCCTGTTTCAATTCCCCCTCCCTCAAAATAGATACACTCTAAAATCCCTCCCTGCTCTTCAACTCCACTCAATAAACAGCTTCTTTAGCAAATAATCCAACCCAAAGGAACAATCCAAATAAAATCTGGGAACCACAGGGTGGCTCTGAGATACCACTTTGGATATCTACTATTTATGATGCAAGCTTATTCCGCTAAAAGAGACCTTTTCTTCCACATTGTCTTATCTGTGTCCTTGCTTCCTTAATGAGGCTTAAGAAACATTTCTGTACCGGAGGGGTTTTTATTGCTTTCTTCTCAAGTAACCAAAATTAGCCTAAGTGCATCTGCCTTGCTTTTCCTAGAAATTCCACCAAACAACCCTCCCCTCAAGCAGAACAAACTTACAATGGGATCAAGTTTATCTTTGCTGCCATGTCAAAATGCTGTCTCCTGCTGTCGTAACCTTTGAAAACGCCTTGGTATTTATTGTGACAGCAGAACACTCCACTGTAAAAATAGTTATGTACATAGACAAAGCCTGGAAGAAAACACAAAAATAATGAGAGCTGCTGTTTTAGAGGGATGATAGTCCTGGCATGCTATTCCCACATGCCTGACATTAAATAGAAATTTTAAAAGCAGTTCTTTTGCATAGATGAGTACAAATTAAAAGCTTTCAGCACCCCCTCCTTGCACAAACCCATCACTTTGTAACAACATCATCCTTACCTCCTTCCATTTCAGGAGTCTTAACTATTAGTGGCAGTCTCCCCCATCTTTGCCTGTTCTCATATCTAGCAGTATTTGATACCAATGATCCCTTCACCCTGGAAACCATCACCTCCTGTGGATTTTTTCTGACATTATCCCTCAACCATTTCTGTGCTGGCTCCTCTCAGAGTTCTGGTGCTGGCCTTGTTACCAACCAGATTTTTCACTTTAGGAGCAGTTCTCAAACTTTAACCTGCATCATAATCCCCTGGAGGGTTTGTTAAAATAAAGTGTTGGGCCCCATTCCCAGAGTTTCTCCTTCAGGGATTTGGGGGTAGGACCCTAGAATTTTCCTAACAATTCCCAGGTAATGCTGCCACGGCTGGGGGCCACACTTTGAGAATAACTGCTTTAGGTAAGAGAGAGCTAAGCAAGATTAGGCCAGGATTTCTAGGACCTCGACACTACTAACTTTGTTGTGGGGGGCTGTCCTGTGCACTGTAGGATGGTTAGTGTCATCCTTGGGCCTCCACCCACTAGATGCCAGTAGATACCCTAGCCAATTTTGACAATGAACAACATCTCCAGACATTATCAAGGGTTCTTTGGAAAAGCAAAATCACCACTGGTTAAGAACCACCAAGTTAGACTAATGACCAAGCTCTCTTTCCATGAAGCGATGAAGCCTCTTCCACTTGTTCAAAGGATGCAGGTCTTTCTCATTATTTGGTCCTTTTTGTTTAATCACTCATACATCCATCTCACTATGTGTCAGGCACTGTGGGGATACTTGGATTGATGAACACGTCCCAACTCTTAGAATACTCACAATTAATAGATGAGACCGTGTGATCAAGTAGGCCCAAGAGACTATGGGGACATGGAACAGGGGGTCATGGTAAGCTTTCTGAAAAATGATAATAAAGATAGGAAGGAGTTGGCTAGACAAAAGGGATGGGAGATCAGAACTCCAGGAAGAGGGCAGGGCATATGCAAAGATGATAAGAGGATGAGAGTCAGAAAACTGCCAGCTGTTCCATGTGGCTGCAGGCAATCCTATTTTCCTCCCTTATAGGAAGAGGGTAAATGGAGGAAAAAAATATTATCAACTCTTTACTTTCCTATGAATGACTTTTAAATCTTTTTATCTCCTATATCCATCTCTGGTAATTCTATGTCCCACCTGTACTGTAAGCTATGGCTACTTTGATTTTCTTTCTACTAGCCTCAGACCCTTAAAGAATCACTTTCACTAGATGCTTCAATTAACCCATTTATGCCTAGTGTTCCATTATTGGAACGCTAAGGATGTAGGAGTTATTTATATCCTACTACTCAAGGTCATTGCCAAGGTCTGATTTTTCACCCATGCAAAAATTTAAAAAAATTGCAAACTCTGGTAATGGGTTAAATCCTCCTCCTCTCCTATCATGGCACCCATTACACTTGATTACCATTGTTTTGTCTCTCTGCCTTACTAAGACCACAGGTTCCATTAGGGTAGTGACCATGGCTATCTTGTTCTTCAGTGTATCTCCAGCATCCTGTACTGTGCCTTGTATAAAGAAGCCAATGAAATATCAGCTGAATGAATTATGTCCTCAAATTCCATTTGTCCAAAACTGAACACTCACCAACTCCTTCCTTCCCCAAACCAGGTTCTAACTTTGTATTCAGTATCTCAGTTATGGTACCTACCATCCTTCCACCTCTTGCACAACCCACTCCTACAGGCTCATCAAAATCTTGGCATCATCTTTCACTTCGTTTTCTCCCTTCACACCTCCATCTTTGATGTCTCAAGTGAGAAGCAAGGTATGTCCTCTGAACTTCAATAAGCACTTCATCTGGGAGACAGCCTATGGAAAGAGCTTTGGAATCAGATAGAGATGGGCTTATCTCACTTCTGCCTCTTAAGGGCTGGGTGACTTTGAATAAGTTAGTTACACTCTCAGAGCCTTATTTTCCTCATCTTTAAATGGGTTTCATAGCACCAACCTCATAAGGTTGTTACAGAGCTAAATGTGCACTTCAATATTAGTCAATAAATGTTTCCTTTCCCCAGAGCATCCCTGGCAGGAGTAAGAAGTGGACAGGAAAATAGGCAAAAAAAAAAAGGCCAGTAAAGAGCTAAATAGGAAGGTCAATAAAATGGAGCAGAGTGAGAGGAATAACATGGAAGGTGAAAAATTCCATCCCCTCCAAGAGCCACACTTACTTTTCTATTGTTTTTCTCTCAAAATTTAACACATGGCATTTATACTAATCTAGGAACATAGTTCTACCCAAGAGAAATGAAAGCATATGTCCACCAAAAGACTCGTACACAAATGTTCATATCAAATAATAGCAAAAGAGTGGAAACACAAATGTCCATCAACTGGTGAATGGATAAACAAAATGCTGTCTATCCATACAATGGAATATTATTAGGCAATAAAAAGGAATGAAGTACCGATACATGCTATGACATAGATGAACCATGAAGATGCTATGCTCAGTGAAAGAAGTGAGACACAAAAGAACACATGGTTTATGATTCCATTTGTATGAAATATCCAAAATAGTCAAATCTATAGAAAGAGAAAGTAAACTGATGGTTGGCAAGGCTGGGGGGTGACTACTGATGGGAAGGGAGTTTATTTTTGGTAAGATACAAATGTTCTGAAATTAGTGTGAATCAGATGCTCCTCAACTTATGATGGGGTTACATTCCCAACAAACCCATAGTAAGCTGACAATATCGTAAGTTAAAAATGCATGGCTGACTAGGAGCTGCACCTGGCTGCCACCAGCCAGCACTGCAAGAAGAGTACTGTTTCTACTGATTGCTACTGCTTTCACACCATCATAAAGTCAAAAAAAAAAAAGTAAGTTGAGCCATCATAGGTCAGGGACCATCTGTATACTTAAGATCATTGAATTGTACACTTTAAATGGGTGGGTTGTATAATACGTGAATTATATCTCAATAAAGCTGTTAAGAAAGAAAGATACCAGGGACTGTTGTGGGGTGGGGGGAGTGGGGAGGGATAGCATTAGGAGATATGCTAAATGACGAGTTAATGGGTGCAGCACACCAACATGGCACATGTATACATATGTAACAAACCTGCACGTTGTGCACATGTACCCTAAAACTTAAAGTACAATAATAATAAAATTTTTAAAAAATACATTAAAACTAAAAAAAAGAAAGATACAGAGAATAAAAAACAGAGAAATGGCAAAAAATACTAATTATTTTCTTCCTATATTCCATTATCTTGTATATTCCACCCTGAAGACTGCTGATTTCAACCACAGAAAAATCATCTGGTATAAAGTCTCTCTGACACTAGCCATGACAAGAATTCATGAGCATTGCCAGAGAGATGGGTGAGGGGACAATCAGAGCCAGGTTTGTGCAGAAGTGAAGAGGAGGTGCTCTAGAGGAGTGCTTCGCCAACTTTAGTGCATATTCATTACCTTGGGGTCTTGTTTTCACCAGGTTATTGTGGCTCTAAAATGAAAGAATGAATTACAATGCACTGTAATCAGTAAAGCACCATATAAAGGTTGCTAAGCAGACAAGTCAAACATTTCTGAGGATGTATGGGGGTTATGATTTTGAGTGAAGGAAGAGAAATGACAGTAAGGTTTCCTTTTTCCTACTTTGCTTAAGGGAGGGTTTAAGAATGATGATCACTTAACCTCACTGAACCACGATGTCTTCAATTCTGTATGTTGGAAGCATCTGGCACAATTTTTAGAATTATATGATCTTAAATTGCCTTAAAACTCATAAAGTAGAAAAGTCACATGTAGACAGCTGAGAGCTTACTCAGCAAGGTAATTTGGTATGGAAAGAGTACAGACTCTGGGGTCAAAAATCCTGGGGTTGAGGCCCATATCCAACACTTGTTAATCAAAGCTTTATATCTTTAGTAAATTCCTTAGTGTTTCTTCATATGTGATATGAGTAGGGAAAATAACTCTTGCCTGTGTCATGAGGTGATGGCAGGATCAGCTGAGCTGATACAGCGAAAGCATTTTGTCAACCTCTGGACCGGTTGCTTCATAACTTTTTATCGCACATGTCTGTCAGTAGAAAAACATTTCAACATTTACTCCCATGTATGTACCATTGTACTAATATTACGTACAATATAAAACTTACACAAAAACAGAGGGAGGAAGGATAAAAATAATTTGAAGATTAGAATTTCTATGGTAGAGAAGATAATCAATGTTAAATTTACTGAAATTGATAACTGTACTATAGTTGTGTAAGAGAATGTCTCTATTCCCAATAAATACATACTCAATTATTTGGGGGTAAAGGGCCATGAGGTATGTACCTTTATCCCCAAGTGTCTCAGAAATATGTACACACACACACACACACACACACACACACACACACACACACACACACCAGAGAATGCATATGATAAAGCAAATAGGGTAAAATGCTAAAAACAGGTAAATCTGAAATCTGAGTAAAGGGTGTAAGAGTGTTCTTTGTACTTTTTTGGGCAAATTTTTTATAAGTTTGAAATTATTTCCAAATACATTCTTAAAAATTAGTCCTAATAATTGACTGAGAGTTCCAGAATGGAAGAGTAAGGAACCTGGCAGATTCTCTCCCTCGTAAAGCAACAATTTAACTGGCAAAAAATACTTGTTAAAGCAATCATTTAAAGTTTCTGGAAATTATCCTAAGGGCATACAGCAAACATACATTCAACAAAATCTGCTAAATCTTAGCACGAACAGTAGAGCAGGTGGTATCTGAGCATTGAACTACTTCCTTACCACTTTCCCCAGCTCTGGGTTACAGAGGCTCCTCCATGGGTAGCCAAGAAAATGGGAGCTCCTCCCGCTAAGTCTCCACTCCAGGTGCAGCAGGCCAAGGACACTGGGTCCTGATCACCCTCATCCCAGTTCACTCCCAGGGCAGAGGCTGCAATATCCTTTCATGATAAAATCACTCAGTAAAGTAGGAATAGAAGAGAACTTCTTCAAACTGATTAAAGACCGTCTCTGAAAAACCCAGAGCTAACATAATAATTAATGGTGAAAAATTGAATGCTTTCCACCTAAAATCAGGAACAAGACAAAGTGTACAATCTCACACCTTCTATTCAATATTGTTCCAGCCACGGTAATTGGACAGGAAAAAGAAAGAAAAGGCATCCAGATTGGAAAGTAAGTGAAACTATTTCTAAATATATATAACATGATTATATATATATATAAATATATATAAATAATATATATAAAAATATATATAAATATATATGTAAATAAATATATATTTATATATATATATATTCCTAAGGCATTCACCAAAAAACTACCAGAACTAATAAATAAGTTCAGCAAGGTTGGAGGATACAAGGTCAGTATACCAAAAAATCCATGCATTTTTATATACTAGGAATGAATAATCTAAAATTATGTTAAGAAAACAATTGCGTTTATAAATAATACCACCAAAATAGTATCATACTTAGCAATAAATTTAACAGAAGTACAAAATATGTACTGCAAAAACTCCAGAACACTGTTAAAAGAAATTAAAGACCTAAATCAATGGAAAGATATCTCATGACAGACAATAACAAGTGTTGGCAAGGACACAGAGAAACTGGAACCTTCACGCATTGCTGGTGGAAATGTAAAATGCTGCAGCTGCTTTAGAAAGCAGTTTGGCAGTTTCTCAAAATACTAAACACAGAGTTATCATATGACCCAGAAATTCCAGTCCTAGGTATATAGCCAAGAGAAATGAAAATATATGTCCACCCAAAAACATATGTGTGAATGTTCATAGTAGCATTATTTGTAATAGCCAAAAAGTGGAAGCAACCCAGATATCCATCAACTGATGAATGGATTTTCTTAAATGTAGCATATATCCACACAGAGGAATATTATTCAGCTATAAAACAAATGAAGTAATGAAGTACTGTTTGCTACCTGCTACAACATAGATGAACTTTGAAAAAAATTATGCGGAGACCACATACTGTATGATTTCATTTATAAGAAATTTCCAGAACAGGCAAATCCACAGAGATAAGAAGTAGATTAGTGGTGGTAGAGTGCTCAGGTGCGGGTAGGGGGAGTAGGGATTGACTACTAATGGGCATAGTGTTTCGAGGTGATAGAAATGTTTTTAAATTAGATTGTGGTGATGGTTGCCCAACTCTAAATATAATAAAAACCATTAAATTGTACACTTTAAATGGGTGAATTGTATGGTATGCAAATTATATCTAAATAAAGCTGCTTTGAAGTATAAATGGTGTAAAAAACCAATTAATAGCAGAAATTTGTAGACTAGATTTAGAAAACAAGAACCTACTAACTACATGTTGCCTACAAAACACCTGATTTAAATATAATGATATAAATAGGTTAAAAGTAAAAAGCTAGGAAAGGATATAGCACACTAACACCAATCAAAAGAAAGCTGAAATGTCTTTATAACATCAGAGAAAGAAGATTTTAGACCAAAGACTGTTACCATGAATAAAAAAGGTCATGTCATGATATTAGAAGGAGCAATTCATCAAAAGTACATAGTAATCCTAAACATGCATGCACCTAACAACCAAGCTTCAAATATGTGAAGCAAAAACAGAACTACAAGCAGAAATAGATAAATCCATAATCACAGACAGATTTCAACACCACTCTCTCAATAATTGATAGAAGAAAATCAGGATATAGAAGACTTTAAAAAATACTGGCAAACAATTTGACCCTACTGACATTTCTAGAACACACCACCCAACAACAGCAGAAGCCACGTTACTTTCAAGTGCACACAGAACAGTTTACTAAGATATACCATATTCTGGGCCATAAAACAAGTCTGAACGAATTTAAAAGAACCCAAACTATACATAGTCTGTTCTCAGGTGAAACTCAATGAAATTAAATAAACCAGTAACAGAAAGATAGCTGCAAAAGCCACTAAATATTTGGAAGCCATTAACATGCTTCTTAATAACCCATGAATCAAAGAAGTAATCAAAAGGAAAATTAGAAACTATTTTGCATTGAAAGAAAATGAAAACATACCATATCAAAAATAGGGATGCTACTTAAGCAGGACTTGAAGGGAAATTTACACCATTATTGAAAAGAAGAAAGGTCTCAGGCCAAGTGCAGGGGCTCATGCCTGTAATCCTAGCACTTTGGGAGGCTGAGGCAGGCAGATCACCTGCGGTCAGGAGTTCGAGACCAGCCTGGCCAACATGGCAAAACCCTGTCTCTACTAAAAGTACAAAAATTAGTTGGATGTGGTGGCATGCACCTGTAATCCCAGCTACTTGGGAGGCTGAAGCACGAGAATTGCTTGAACCTGGGAGGCGGAGGTTGCAGTGAGCTGAGATCATGCCACTGCACTCCAACCTGGGCAACAGAGCAAGACTTTGTCTCAAAAAAAAAAAGAAAGAAAGAAAGAAAGGTTTCAAATCAATGCCTCAGCTTGCACCTGAAGAAATTTAAGAGATGAAAAGCAAAATAAACCCAAAGTAAGAAAAAAAAATAAAATATTAAAGATCAGAGATATTTGTTTGAGTTCATTGTAGATTCTGGATATTAGCCCTTTGTCAGATGAGTAGGTTGCAAAAATTTTCTCCCATGTTGTAGGTTGCCTGTTCACTCTGATGGTAGTTTCTTTTGCTGTGCAGAAGCTCTTTAGTTTAATTAGATCCCATTTGTCAATTTTGTCTTTTGTTGCCATTGCTTTTGGTGTTTTGGACATGAAGTCCTTGCCCACGCCTATGTCCTGAATGGTAATGCCTAGGTTTTCTTCTAGGGTTTTTATGGTTTTAGGTTTAACGTTTAAATCTTTAATCCATCTTGAATTGATTTTTGTATAAGGTGTAAGGAAGGGATCCAGTTTCAGCTTTCTACATATGGCTAGCCAGTTTTCCCAGCACCATTTATTAAATAGGGAATCCTTTCCCCATTGCTTGTTTTTCTCAGGTTTGTCAAAGATCAGATAGTTGTAGATATGCGGCATTATTTCTGAGGGCTCTGTTCTGTTCCATTGATCTATATCTCTGTTTTGGTACCAGTACCATGCTGTTTTGGTTACTGTAGCCTTGTAGTATAGTTTGAAGTCAGGTAGTGTGATGCCTCCAGCTTTGTTCTTTTGGCTTAGGATTGACTTGGCAATGCGGGCTCTTTTTTGGTTCCATATGAACTTTAAAGTAGTTTTTTCCAATTCTGTGAAGAAAGTCATTGGTAGCTTGATGGGGATGGCATTGAATCTGTAAATTACCTTGGGCAGTATGGCCATTTTCACGATATTGATTCTTCCTACCCATGAGCATGGAATGTTCTTCCATTTGTTTGTGTCCTCTTTTATTTCCTTGAGCAGTGGTTTGTAGTTCTCCTTGAAGAGGTCCTTCACATCCCTTGTAAGTTGGATTCCTAGGTATTTTATTCTCTTTGAAGCAATTGTGAATGGGAGTTCACCCATGATTTGGCTCTCTGTTTGTCTGTTGTTGGTGTATAAGAATGCTTGTGATTTTTGTACATTGATTTTGTATCCTGAGACTTTGCTGAAGTTGCTTATCAGCTTAAGGAGATTTTGGGCTGAGACAATGGGGTTTTCTAGATAAACAATCATGTCGTCTGCAAACAGGGACAATTTGACTTCCTCTTTTCCTAATTGAATACCCTTTATTTCCTTCTCCTGCCTGATTGCCCTGGCCAGAACTTCCAACACTATGTTGAATAGGAGCGGTGAGAGAGGGCATCCCTGTCTTGTGCCAGTTTTCAAAGGGAATGCTTCCAGTTTTTGCCCATTCAGTATGATATTGGCTGTGGGTTTGTCATAGATAGCTCTTATTATTTTGAAATACGTCCCATCAATACCTAATTTATTGAGAGTTTTTAGCATGAAGGGTTGTTGAATTTTGTCAAAGGCTTTTTCTGCATCTATTGAGATAATCATGTGGTTTTTGTCTTTGGCTCTGTTTATATGCTGGATTACATTTATTGATTTGCGTATATTGAACCAGCCTTGAACTCAAACAAATTTACAAGAAAAAAACAAACAACCCCATCAAAAAGTGGGCGAAGGACATGAACAGACACTTCTCAAAAGAAGACATTTATGCAGCCAAAAAACACATGAAGAAATGCTCATCATCACTGGCCATCAGAGAAATGCAAATCAAAACCACTATGAGATATCATCTCACACCAGTTAGAATGGCAATCATTAAAAAGTCAGGAAACAACAGGTGCTGGAGAGGATGCGGAGAAATAGGAACACTTTTACACTGTTGGTGGGACTGTAAACTAGTTCAACCATTGTGGAAGTCAGTGTGGCGATTCCTCAGGGATCTAGAACTAGAAATACCATTTGACCCAGCCATCCCATTACTGGGTATATACCCAAATGAGTATAAATCATGCTGCTATAAAGACACATGCACACGTATGTTTATTGCGGCACTATTCACAATAGCAAAGACTTGGAACCAACCCAAATGTCCAACAATGATAGACTGGATTAAGAAAATGTGGCACATATACACCATGGAATACTATGCAGCCATAAAAAATGATGAGTTCATATCCTTTGTAGGGACATGGATGAAATTGGAAACCATCATTCTCAGTAAACTATCGCAAGAACAAAAAACCAAACACCGCATATTCTCACTCATAGGTGGGAATTGAACAATGAGATCACATGGACACAGGAAGGGGAATATCACACTCTGGGGACTGTGGTGGGGTCGGGGGAGGGGGGAGGGATAGCATTGGGAGATATACCTAATGCTAGATGACACATTAGTGGGTGCAGCGCACCAGCATGGCACATGTATACATATGTAACTAACCTGCACAATGTGCACATGTACCCTAAAACTTAGAGTATAATAAAAAAAATAAAAAAATAAAAAAAAAAAAAAAAAAAAAAGATCAGAGATATAAAAATCAATGAGATAGAAAACATTTAAAAAGGAAACATAAAAATGAAAGAAAAATCAAGGAAATGCTTAGCTAGTTCTTTGAGAAGATCCATAAAATTTATCAACCCCTAACCAGACAGAACAGACTGAAAAGAGAGACAACACAAGTTATCACTATCAGGAATGAGAGGGGACATCTCTACAGATTCTACAAATTTTAAACATGTAAGAAAATACCATGAAGAATTTTATCACAAATTTTAAAACATAGATGAAATGGACAAATTATGTGAAACACACAAATTACCAAAGTATACTGAAGAAGTAGATATCTTGAATATACTACATCTATTAAAAAATTGAATTTGTAGTTAAAAACATTCCCCTAAATAAAACTCCAAGTCCAGATGGCTTCACTAGAATTCTACCAAACATTGAAGGAAGAAATAATACTAGTTCTAGTGACAGAGTTGTTCTCCACCCATTCTATGAGACCAATATTATTCTGATACCAAAACCAGGCAAAGATGTCTTGAGAAAAAAAAACTGAAGTCCAATATCACTAATAAACATACATGTAAACATTTTTAACAGAATTTTAGCAAATCCAACAATATATAAAGCCGATAATCAAGACCCAGTGGGGTTCATCTCAGGAAGGCAAGGTTGATTTAACATTTGAAAACCAATGTAATTAGCCATATTAAAAGACTATTAAACCATATGATCACCACAATAGATAGAGAAAAACCATTTGAGAAAATCTAACATTTGTTTCTAATTTTAAAATACCTCTCAGTAAACTAGGAATTGAAGGGAACTTCCTCCAGCGGATAAAGGGCAACTACAAAAAAAACCTTCAGCAAATATCATTCTTGAAGATGAAAGACTGGATGCTTTCCCTCTAAAATCAGGAACAAGGCAAGGTTCTCACAACTTCTTTTCAACATTATATCGGAGGTTCTAGCCAGTGGGATTAGGCAAGACAAAGAAATAAAAGCATCCAGATTGGAAAGGAGCACCTAAATCTCGTATTAACAGGAGACATGCTCATCTATGTATTAAACCTGCAAAAACCATTACTAAAATTGATAAGTGAGTTTAGCACATTGCAAAATATAAGGTTAATGTAAAAAATGAATTCTATTTCTATATACTAGCAACAATCAAAAATTGAAATAAAAAATACCATTTTAAATAGCATCAAAACCATGAAATACTTAGGGATAAATCTCAGAGAAGATATGCAAGACCTGTATGTACACTGAAAACTACAAAATATTGCTGAGATAAATGGAATACAACCTACATAAAGATATCTTGGTATATTGTATATAATTATATCTCAATAGAGCTGAAAAAATTGATAAAAATCACATGTTCTCAAGGTGGAACAGAATCTCACAAATCATCAGACCCACCTTCAGCCCCTTTGTTACTCTGATGCTCCTGATTTTAAGCTGAGGAGGAGTAAGCTGAAGTGACACCATCTGTTCACCTTCCAAATGGAATGAGCTATACAAAACTGTTGACTGACTTATTTCAATCCTGCTGGGTGCCCTAGAGAGTACATATATTTTGTTGTACATGACACAATTTTCAGTCATTGTACATACTGATATAGTTCAAGAAAGGTTTTCCCCTGAACTTTGGAGACTTGGTCACTAACAAATTGAGGCAGAATAAAGGTATCCTATGTGCGGTCTGTAGGATTCTGCTGTTGAGGGAGCAATGGAAAAGAGAGGGCTTGTGGAACTGAACAGTGTGATGGCCGAAAGAATGAGCCTTGGAGACAAGTGCCTGGTACATAGTAAGTGCTCTAAAAAATTAGCTTAAAATAATATATAAAAAAAATAAATAGAATTCAGAATTTGTCATAATCTTGATTATAGCTGGGTAGAAAAAGATCTTTATATAGGGATAAATGAGTTTGATAAACAGATTAATAGCATAAACAAGACTTCAGAGGGCATGATAAATCCACTTAATTAACTTTATGGGCCACTCAGTAAGAACCTATTTGCAGCTTAGTATAGATCCCACAGATTGTGGAAATAGAGTCCATTCAAATCCTAACATCACAACTTAATAGCCACATAATCCTGGGCAAGACACTAAATCTCTGTGTGACTCAGTTTCTTCATCTATACAATGGGGTGAAAACAGTATCCACCTCATAAGGTGGTTGTGAGGATTTATGAGTTAATATTTGTAAGGTGCGTAGAATAAAGCCTGGCACACAGTTCATCCTATTTAAGTAAAATATAAATAATTAAATTGCTACTTGTTCATTACAGCTGTAACTGACAAAAATCTATTTCAAGCTACACTTTTCACTAACATGCAGTGACTTTACTTACAATTGGATAGAATTCATGAAGTTTCTTTACAAAAAGTAATCTCTTACCTACTGCTCCTGTGACAACTATTTCTGAAGAACATATCTTAGAAGTAGTTTACTGCTTTGATTTGAACAAAAGCAGCTCAATTTTTCTCGACATCGTTTGACATTTTCTGGCACATTGTTGGTGCTCAATAAATGGTTGCTGGACAAACATCCTTCCAGGCCAAAGCAACTGTACCATACTTAATATTGTTATTTATATAGTCAGAGTTAAAAATGCAACATGCATTACATCCAAATAGGGAATAAAGAGGTAGAGTTACCACCTAACTGGTTAACAAGCTTCAATGAATTTGCCCAAGATAAGAAAGGTGCTAGTTTACTTCAAAAACAGCAGAATTAAAGTTTTGGTTTCTGTCAAAATGATGATGCAGGCATTCCTTAGCTCTTCTTAGTGATAACAAGAAAAAAAGACAGACTTAAACCTGGTCCACAAACAGGAAGAACATATACTTACTATATCCTAAATGGCCTCACTAGAAAACAGCACAGGTCTTCAGAATAACTCTGACACGGAATTCACTGGTTGTCCCTCTTTTGCAGGGAAGGCTGATTTGTAATATTTGTCCTGAGATGGCCTTCTAAGGATGGAAATCAAATTCCCTTTTTCCAAATGTAAGGCCAGAATTAAGAAGGAGGAAATATCTTCTTGCTCTGAGTGGTCAAGGTGAGCAGAAGTTAAAAACATCTTCTCTCCAGATAACAAGTAAAGTACCTTCAAAAGAAGCTGCCTGGTTTATGTACACATATGTACACACATATGGATTGGGGTTTTTCAGCATAGAGCATGCTATAAGTTATATATGGTTACCACCCTGTCCTGGATACTGCTAGATATATCTGTTCCTCCTCTTTTCTAGACTAGACTAGTTTTCCATTACTATGATGGCCACCTGTTTTAATAGTATCTTCTGAAATCCTAATCAGCTTCTCCCTGGCCCTTAAACCACATACTTCCCAAAAAAGAGAGAACAAATGTAAAATTTCTTCCTCTTCGCCTCTCCAGTCTCAAAGGAAGGGCTCTTGTTTTAACATGACTTGTTCATTCTCGCACCCATCCTTTTACACAAGTCATCCTAATCTGCCCAGAGTCACTTGTTCTTACCTACCTCAATTCAAGCACTTCCTTAAAAATATGTTTCAAGCCAATTTATGTCTCTCACTTCTTTCACCTCTCAGCTCCTTCTGGAGTCACTGGCTGCTCATTAAGTCTGTACCCCTTTTACCACCATGTATAGGACTGACCCAGGTATGTCAATTCCCTATTATCATTCTAATACTGGATTGTTAGCTCATGCTACGGCCCCTAGGCTTAAGATGGCACCAGATCAGTCTGTTATTAGCACTATACCTGGACTGAGCCAAGAAGAGTGTGGGGGCTTTCATTTTCATGGCAGAAAAGATGGGACCGGGCCAGGCTTGAAATTAAATAGTTCAAATTTTCATTTGAGGGAAGCTCAAGGTGAGAATGACATTTAAAGCCTAATCAACTAAAGACCACCAAGGACAAGCCTGTAGTCTGATAAAGTCCGATCTGTTCACTCTTTCATAAGGACAACACTCCAGAGGATTCATGGAATGTGCTCAACAAGAAGGGGGAAAAAGCTTCTTGTGGGTTCCTGGTGAAGGATTCTGAGGAAGGCCTAAGAAATGCAGGGATCAGTTCTGGACTGGTTATGATTTATGAGGCAGGAACAGGAGAAGCAGGAATAAATTAGGGATTCGCCGCTGCTATGGGCAATTGCAGCTCAGCAATTGGGAATCTCCAGTAATACATGGGAAGAGCCAAGTGGGTCTTGAAGCATCATTGATAAGAAAGCAGTAGCCATTGAAAGAGGGTGTCTTCATGGCATTTTCCAGCTGCTGCGTGACGTTGGGAGAAGCGGTGTTTCCTGTTAACCTTGCAATTGTCTCAGCCCCATTAACAGCAGAAGCTGCCTTTTTATTTATCAGTCCCACTTGGATCCTTATGTCATGTACCTTTTTGACTCTTTCAATAAAATAGACATGGATGTTATGCATCTTTTAGTTTATTTTTATTCATGCAAATGTTTAGATCTGGGAACAAATTATATAACCAAGAGGGACCTGTACTGTATCTCTACTGACTTTGAAAGCTTAGGTAGAAAACTGAAGACTTAAAGGGCACATGGAAGCTTTTCACTGCTTCTTCCTGTTGAAGGTCATGACTTTTCACTAGGAGAGAAGATATGAGAAATGAATATCTTGCTACTTAGATGATGTCAAATAATAGGATGTAGTTTTTCTGGAGAATCACTTAAAATCTCAGAATGATGGACTTCTGGCCAGGGATGGAGAAAATTTCACAAAGAGCAGGAAGAAATGATTTCGCTGGAGATTCACTAACATGATAAATATGGACTGAAAGGGAAATGTCAAGAGAAGGAAAAAATACCACCAACTGTGACAAAGAAAAACCATATTGGAAGGGATATTCACTGCTTCTCAAGAGAAAACAAGGCAAAAAAGCCAGAAATCATACCTAGGGCTAGAGGAGTCTACATACCGATTTAGTACGACTGGTAACAAAGTTATTAGGATGCTTGAAACAGCAAAAAGCAAAAATAATCTCACAGTTATGATCATCAAGAGCTGGTGAGATGGCATCTGGCACTCGATTATAGAAGGCAATAGTGTAATAGTTAAGGAAGGTGCTTTCCAGCCAGGCTGACCAGGGTTCAACCCTCTGTGTTGCCTCTTACTTGTCATGTGATCTTGGTCAAGACATTTGCCCTCTCTGAACCTTAAGTGGCCCATGGATCAATTGGGTATTAGAATACTTACTTCACTAAGCTGTTAATGAAGATTAAAGTTTAGAATGTATTTAAATATCTATCACAGTGTATGTCACACAGTAGGTGGCCACTATCATCATCATCATCATCTCATCTGTAATAAAAAGGTAGCACTTCCTTATGGAATTTAACAAACCAGAAGGTAAAAACATTTGTCAATAATAAAAGCAGAGAAAGAAGTAATGTGTTACTGGATCACACTATGAACCACCCTGGAATAGAAGAAAGATGTAGCATCGAACTCTGTTCCTCCTGCTTCATACTTCTTTTCTCATCTAAACAGGCATGGGCAACCTGGTGTGCGTGGACACACACGTCTTCCCTCCTCTGTTTTGCGTGTCTTGGGACACATAATCCCACCTAATCTGAATCTGGAAGTCATGCTGACCTGTGAGAGGTCAGTTTTTAGTAGAGGGAAGGGTACAGAAGCCAGATTTCAAGAGCTGAAGACTGAAAGATAAGGAAGTATAGATGGCTCTTTTAACATACTTTGAAATAAAGTATGAGAAAAAGATATCCCATTAGCCTATGGGGATAGTATGATTAAAAAGAAGATTTTGGGGTAGGAAATGAAAGGGGGATTCTTGGATATGTCTGCAGGCAGAATAAAAAGCTCTTTAAGAAAAACACTGAAGATACAAGAGAGAGAAGGGAGATGATTAATGGAACAGAATATCTTAAAAGATGCATCAGGGGATAGGTAAAAAGGAAAATGAGGTTAGCCTTGGAAAAGATGATATTAAAAGAATGAAGATGAAAGTACCCATGGAAATAAATGTTTGGATGGGAAAGAGAAAGTTTGTGACCAATGGGCTCTCTCTTTTCTCCAGCTCCCCTCAGCAGGTAATCTATATAACTAGATTACCTGCTGAGGGGAAGCTGGGGATAGAGAGGACTAAGTTAGGAGGCCTGAGGGGTGTGGTAAGAAAATGGAACAGTTGCTGTGGGAATTTGGAAAATAAACCAACCAGGAATGTGTAAAAAAGGATTAGTGAACAGCCGTTGAGGATCCAGCTGTGGTTAGAAATCACAGTTTGGTCATGGATATAATCAGCATGGTGAGACAATTTTCCCTAGTACTTACTCAGCAGCCTGGGAACAGAACAGAAAAAAACAGATGCTGAAGTCCATCTAGGTCTGGAGATTGGCAGGGCAGGTGCAGTGGAACAAGAGGGACATGAGGGAATTGAGGATACTGTGGGAATTAATATCAAATGGTTGGCAGGGTCAAGTGGGGGTTAGAAATGCTTGCTGGGTGGGAAAGAACATAGAAGCAGGAGAAGGCTAGAAAACTTCCTGGGAGAAAGGGGAAGGAACTGGAAGTGATGATGATGTCAAAGAGGTTCTGTGAAAGTCAGGGAACAGGAGATGTGAAAGGCTGGAGGTTTTAGTCAAAAAGCTGAATTTCAGAGTTTAAGTATCAGAAGTAGAACAGTTCCAGATGGTGACATGATTAATAAGTGTGCCCCCCATATGAAGAGGTTGCTGAAGCAGAGTGAAAATGGAGGTCATATTATCGTAGGGCAAGGAAATATCATGCTGTGACATCTGATGATGCATCAGGGAGGCTACTGGCATGGTCTGGGATGATGCAAGGAGTCAGAGGAGCACAGAAGACTAAGCTAGGTTCCAGAGGTCTCATAGAATGAGAGCAAGTAACCTAAAGATAGGTCTGTGCCAATGAAAGGAATAGACATAATAACTGATAGCATGCACGTCAAAGAATAAGGGAAAAGGAAAGTTGTTGAACAACATTCTGGCACCAGAAGCTAGCTTAAGATTGAGGAATTATCGGCAAATGAGCAGGCTCCATTTAAGATGACTGTGGAGAAAACAGTGTCATCAAGGGAAAGAGTTCTGGAAAAAAAATGGCTGCGAATATATGGACATGCTTGATCAAGGAACAAGAGTTCTGGGAGGGCACAGGAGAACTGAGAAGGGAATGTCAGCCAGGAAATAACATGCTTATGAAAGGGGAAGGTGTGCGTTGCACTTATAAAAGGAAAATTCCATACTTTAGGATGCCGAGAAAGCAATGAGAGGAACTACAAACTTTGTAACTAAGTTTGACCAAGAAAGAAGAACTGATTGGTAAAAGTAGAAGTGAAAGAAACTTTAGGAAATATGGCCATGTCATTTTAAGTATTGTTGGGTAATAACCACAAACAAACAAACAAAAACAACAGGGAATGAAGGTATTCCCCAGATACTGAGAATGAGAATTTCTACAAGAGACCACAGTGAACCTTAAGTGGACTAATGTGTAAGAGGAATAAAATATTTGGGAGGATAGGTCTCAAAATATTATCAATCCCCCATGATCTTGAAGAAAAAAAAAGGAGAAGTGACTAAAGAACACAACATAAGCTGCACAGAAAACAAGCTTTTAGGCTACAGGAACTAATGTAGCTATAGCAGGTGCAGATTTTTCAAAGTAAGATCATCTACCCTAAGTAGAAGATATATGTGAACAGGTGACAGAGACAGAGCGAGCGAGCAAGCAAGTAGAATGACTCAGTTGCTATTTCTATTTCATCTTAAATGATAAGAATAATTTTTCAAACTGGAAACAGTAGCACAAATGTGAATAAGAGTTCATCACAGCCCAACTGATGTAGAGATAGTGAGAGTAGCAAGCAGTTTCAAATGAACTTGGACCTGTAGGCCCAGATAAAGTATATCTTATAGTATTGAGATAACCTACTGTCCTGATTGAGAGGCCACTGCTGGTAATCTCTGAAAAAAATCATAGCAGACTAGAAAAATTTGGCTGTTACTTGTAAAACTAAAAAGCTGGGGTATTTCTGAAATGGCTCTGAAAACAAAGACTGCTAATCTTGATGGGAAAAAAATCAGTTTATAATGAACTAGTAAACAGATGGTTATGAACAATGATCAGGTCATGAGAATCATAGACTGAGGTAATGGAACGAAGTGTTTTTGAGTTTCAGTAAGTCACTGAAGACATTTTTTCCCTATAGAATATGTTCATATGAGACAGGTATGTCCTGAACAAGTAGGATGATTTATGATTGATCAAATAACCTTACTCAACAAGAATGCCACTGGAACAAACTATTGCTAAATGCAACAACTGGGATGAATCTCAAATAAATTATGCTGAGTGAAAAAAAAAACTAATCTCAAAAGGATATATACTGCACAATTCCATTTATGTGACATTTGTAAAATAATATAATTATAGAGATGGAGAACAGATTAGTGTTTGCCAGGGATTAGAAATGAGGAGGAGGAAGGGATGTGGCTATATAAAGGGACAGCAAAAGGAAGTCTTGTAGTGATAGTAAAGTCTCTTGATCATAGTGGGGATGGTTACACAAAGCTGCATGTGATAAAGTTGCATGGAGCCTCTCTCATTTCTTTCTCTCTCCCTCCCTCCCCCCATTCCCTTTCTCTCTCCCTCTCCACCTCTCTATCAATAAGCCCTGCGGATTGTATCAATGTCAGTTTCTTGGTTTCAATATTGTACTATAGTTTGTAACATGCTATCACTGGAGGAATCTGGAGGAAGGGTACATGAGACTTCCCTGTACATTTGTTTGCAGTAACCATAATTATCTGAATCAATAATTGTTTTTAAAATAAAAAGAGTTTTTAAAGAATACCAATTAATGGATCAATGTCAGCCTCACAGAAGATCAACTTGAATGCTTCAGGGCTCTGTACTTGGCACTACTGAAATACCACCAAGTTAGAAAAGACAGCGGAAACATGATCATAAAATTCATGAATGATATAAAACATGGAGACACAGCCAATGTGTTTCAAATAGAGCTAGAATCCAAAAATACCAACAGGCGAGGCTAGGAACTGAAAGGTAATGGAGATAAAGGTAGAACTCACCATTGTATCCCCAGAATGCAACATAGTGCCTGGCACAAAGAAGACTCAAAAATTATCTAGTGAAAAAATAAGTGGATGCAAGTTTTAAAATGGTTAAAACAGTTTAATGGGACTTCATCTAAAAAGCTCTTCAGTCAACAGAATGATAATATTCCCTCAAACTGGCAGAATATTCCACTTCATTAACAAGGTATGTATTTTTTTTTCTTTTATAGAGACAGAGTCTCACTCTGTCGCCCAGGCTGGAGTGCAGTGGTGCAATCTTGGCTCACTGCAGCCTCCACCTCCGGGGTTCAAGCAATTCTCATACCTCAGCCTCCCGAGTAGCTGGGATTACAGGAGCATGCCACCACGCCCAGCTAATTTTTTGTATTTTTAGTAGAGATGGGGTTTCCCCATGTTAGCCAGGCTAGTCTTGAACTCCTGACCTCAAGTGATCCACCCGCCTCGGCCTCCCAAAGTGCTGGGATTACAGGCATGAGCCACCACGCCCGGCCACAAGGTATGTATTTTTTAAGAGAGGGGAGAGGTAAATATTATATTATTGTTGTGCTCTGTACTAGCTCAATTGCCTATACAGGACCAAGTCAATTCCTGAGGGCCAAATTTTAATGGAGACATGAATGAACCTGAGTATATCCCAAATAAGGCAACTAAGATGGTTAAATATCTGGAAATCATGTCATATAAAGAACGCTAGAAGGAACGCAAAGTATGCAGTTTTTAAAAGATAAGATGTGGCAGATAGAAAGGACAAGTTAGATAATAATTATAATGTAGGTTAAAATATAATGATAATATTAAATACCTTGTTGTAGGTAACACATCACTTTACAGCTTACAATGTGCTTTCATACATGTGTCCTTACCTGTCCCGTATCTGAAAGGCTAGCAAGTGGGGAAAGGGTTATACTTTCCTCTGTGCAGCCACAGTGGTTAGAGATAACAGAGACAGGTTTCAGCTGAATATAAGGAAGGATTTTCAAGCATTTCAATCTCCATGACAACGGAATAACAACAGCAAAAGCAACAACAATAGGCTAGTAGACATTAGTACTATACATTTATTAGCTGATTTAATGATCCCAACACTCCTGTGAGGCAGATACTACTATCCCCATCTTACAGATGA
This sequence comes from Homo sapiens, assembly GCF_000001405.40. Taxonomy (NCBI): domain Eukaryota; kingdom Metazoa; phylum Chordata; class Mammalia; order Primates; family Hominidae; genus Homo; species Homo sapiens. The sequence goes on along the minus strand of NC_000023.11, from coordinate 49,956,381 downwards.
TAAAACTAAGCACAGAGGAGTAAAATGTGGCTATAACCACAGCTAGTCAAGTGTCAGAGCTAGAATTCAAATCCAGGCAGACCCACTCCAGAGTCACTGCTTGTGGGGTAGCTGGAACAATCACCTGCTAAGGCCACTGCAGGGTGAGTGGCATGCCAGCCTTAGTCAGAGGCTGCACTAGATCAAAGGTAAGACAATAGGATTTTAAGAATCTTGGAAGATTAGGCCTGTTTGGATTCAAAACCCAGTGTGGAACCCTTCTGGAAGTGGCATGGCTCCAGTCTAAGGCTAATATTAGCTCTAATGTCCTAAAGCAGACTGGTCCTAAAGCAGAGTGAAGGCAAGAGAATCAGGCTCAAAGAATTAAGACAGACCTTTGGAATAGTGGTACAGTTCTATACAGATTGGGATTGGTTTTTGGCTTTCCCAGAATTTGTCAATTTGAAGATCCATTAGAAGATCAGTCTCATCATAACCAAATCACAAAAGTATCTGTGTACTCTTTACTATTCCAACCCCTGCCCCCATCAACTGATGAAACATATATTAAAATAGCAAAATTCACTACAGTTCGACAGTTTTAATTAACAAGTTCTCCCAGCTCAAACAACATAAATTGAGATTTCTACCTCTGGGGAAATAGAGCAGTAGGGCTTTCCTTCATTAAATATTAAAAAAAGAAAGAATCGTGCCATGTTGAAAGTCAGTTTAATAGTTGCTAGGTTGAACTGTCTTTGGAGTACACAGTAAGTACATCATTAAAAGTAAAGACAGAATGTAAAGATACTGAGTCAAATCTAGATGAATGTCTGAAAAATAAATTGAACAGTGGAAAGCACACGAAAGTCATTATAATAAACAAGGAGTATTCAAAAGCAGTCAAATTATCAGAGACTTTTACAGTGGCTATGCTTATGGTACCTCATGGGGGACTCATGGGCTGGGGGGTGACTAAACAGCTAATCGGAAGCTGTTAAAAAAAAAAAAACATGCCAACTCTGTAAAACACAAATACTTTGTTGGGTGTCTACAGATATGTGTATTCCCATCCTCAGGGTTCTGGTTGGAGCTTAAAGGGTACAGGTTTCAACTAAGGGCCATAGAGCTTTGACTGTTTTAGAAACAGAGGCAACAGTCAGTCCACAAGACGAGGCAAGAGGCTGAGGTCGACACTGCCTACAAGGGGCATAACCTAGAAAATGCAGCTAGTTGGGTGGAATGGTGGTGGCACAGGGATAGGTGGTGGGTAGGATTCTCTTATTTACTTAATTAGAGACTCTGAGAGGTTAAGTGACCTGTCCTGCACAACACATGAAAGGCGAGTTAGTAACAGATCCCAGAGTTAAACCCAGGTCTATCTGTCTAAAAAAAAATCAGCACTACTCTATCAGTCATAAGAAACAGCTCTGCCACTAACCAGCCCAGTGACTCTGGACCAATTACAGCCTAAGGCTCAGTTTCCCCATCTACAAAAGAAAGGGGTGGCATTTGGGGGAAAAGTTAGTTTTTTGATCTCATCTTATCCCAAAGGAAATGCCACAAAGATTCAATCTTTAACTGTAACTAAAATTATAACTATTACTATGAGAAATAGGTCCATCCCTAATATTTACAAGGCCAGGGGCAAGAATGTAAGTATAGGCTCTTAATTCTCCTTCCTTCTCTCCACTACCCCACTCCTTCCTACACAGCTAGGAGCCTTGGCCGCCTGTGTGTAGACCACTCAGTCCACACAGCCAAGCTCCATCCATACACTTCTCCCACCAAACAAGCACCCCCTTAGACCCCTTAGACCTAGAAGAGCTCACACATATGGCACAGTCTCTCCTTGAGAGGACAGATCCAGGGCAGAGGCCCTCGCAAGCCCTGGAAGCACATTGAATAGAGATTCCTCAGCTTCCAAGTACCTAGAGTATGGTCTAGAACAGGGGTGTCCAATCTTTTGGCTTCCCTGGGCCACACTGGAAGAAGAATTATCTTGGGCCAGACATAAAATACATTAGCGATAGCTGACGACCAAAAAAAAAAAAATCTTAAAATCTCATAATGTTTCAAGAAAGTTTATGAATTTGTGTTGGGCCACATTCAAAGCTGTACTGGACTGCACGTGACCCACAGGCCGCGGGTTGCACAAGCTTGGTCTAGAAGAAACAGGCAGGTAGGCACATCTCCTTGGCCCTTAGAATTCCTTGCTCTGTGGTGAGATATGTGTAAAGTACAAACCATAGAGGAAAAGGCTGATACATTTGACTGTATAAAAGTGGAAAACTCATGGACATTAAAAATAAATCTATTACAAAGCAAATATCAAAACTGAGAAGCAACCTGTGCAACATTATGAGAGTCACTATCCTTAAAAATAACTTATAAATAAATTTAAAAGTGCCCAATAAAGAACTGTCAATAATATAAGCATATGAAGAAAGTCCAACATCGTCGTAACTAAAGGAATACACTACAACAAAAAGCCCTTTTTGACTTACCAAATTGACAAGCATTTTCTGAACGAGAATACACAGGATTGGCAAGAGTTCAGTTGACTACTGGGGATAGTATACATTGATCAATCTTCACCCTCCTACCTATCCAATTCTACTTTTTAGAATTTATACTAAACAAACATTAAGTATATACAGAAAGATTTAAGTATGAGGACATTCACTGTAGCACATGTAATGATAGGGAACACTGGAAACAACTTAAATATCCAATAACAGTGGATTAATTAAATAACTCGTGGTACATCAATAAAATGGAGTAGTCAAGTGTTATTGTAGGCTGGGCACGGTGGCTCACACTTATAACCCCAATGCTTTGAGAGGCCGAGGCAGGAAGACGGCTTAAGTTCAGGAGTTCAAGACCAGCCTGGGCAACATAGTGAGAAACCATATCTACAAATAATTAAAAAATTAGCTGGCCATGGTGGCCTGCACCTATGGTCTCAGCTATTTGGGAGTCTGAGGTAAGAGGATGGCCTGAGCCCAGGTGGTCAAGATTGCAATGAGCTGTGATCGCACCACTATACTCCAGCTTGGGCGACAGAGTGAGACCTCGTCTCAAACAAAACAAAACAAAAACACAAAAAAGTTATTGTAGATGAAGAGGTGTCAATATAGAAACATATCTACAATGTAAAGATGAAAAAGATACTTTACAAAATGATGTGATCCATTTTTTATTAAAGTTACACACACACGGCCGGGCACAGTGGCTCACGCCTGTAATCCCAGTACTTTGGGAGGCCGAGGCAGGCTGATCATCTGTGATCTGGGAGTTCAAGACCAGCCTGACCAACATGGAGAAACCCTGTCTCTACTACAAATACAAAATTAGCTGGGCGTGGTGGTGCATGCCTGTAATCCCAGCTACTCGGGAGGCTGAGGCAGGAGAATCGCTTGAACCCAGGAGGCGGAGGTTGCGGTGAGCCGAGATTGTGCCATTGCACTCCAGCCTGGGCGAGAGTGAAACTCCGTCTCAAAAAAAAAAAAAAAAAGTTACACACACACGTCTAGAAGTCTATATGCATGGGTGTTAACAATGGTTCTCTCTCTTTTTAAATCTGGGATGTTAAAATTTGTTGTTTCTTATTTATGTTTTCTAATTTTTAAAACTGGTTAAATACATATTACAATAACATATTACATTTATTTTTAATTTTTTAAAGAGAAGAGCTACATTACCATTTTTAACTAAGGGATTTGGCTACTGTAACATTCTATAAGAGTATCCATTTGTAGCTTTAACATTTTAGAATTCTATAAAAGGAAAAGCCAATTAACTGTACAGGTGTCCTCTGGAGAGCAGGAAGGAGTCACTGAATCATATTCTATGTTAATGGGGCAAAACTCTATTAGCATAAAACAAACAACTGGAAAAAAAAAACCCACCTGGAAGACAAAGTCAGCCCGTCTGCAAATATAGACTGGAGAGTCCTTCCTACTTAAGGGTATAGGTTCTTTTCTTTCCAGGTTTTATCTTGAAAATAATAGTCTTTTATTTCCCTTTTTTTTTTTGTAAAGCCAAATGACCTCCATACAAAACCAAACCAATCCATTTGACAAGTAATTGGTAGCTGAAAGGAAAGGCCAGACTTGAACATAGTGGTACTGGTGGAGTGAGGAGAGTATTTTTTTCCCCCACTGTTCCCACTTCAAGGTAGAGATACTTCTGTTAGAGTAACATTCCCAGCCTCTTTCTGCCCCTTTCTTTATTCTTCCCCATGGTAGGAGCTACAATTATTTGCCCAAGAGATTAGACAAGAGAAATTCAAGTTAAATCTAAATTTCAAGATGGGGCCATTTTAACTACAGTTTAAAAACAATTTATCTGCCTGCCCATTCATCTATGCATAACTAGAAACATATGCACAGGCATATGTGTGTTTCATCACTTGCTGCCTGGCTGATCCAGGATGTCAGAAACCAAAAGACTTAGATAAGCAGTGTATTCTATGATTGGAAATTTCTATGTATATGCAAGACAGGGGTCTGATGAGGAAGGCATATCAACATAAATGGGCCCTTAAAAAACCCACATGTCAAGGTATCTGACCTCTCTCCATTTTGTGCCACACAGAGTTTCCGTTTGGTGAAGAGAAAAGCATGTCAGCTCAGTGACCTGTCACCTAGTTCTGCATGTTCCTTTGAGTATAGAGGGGACCTCTACTGAAATCCTATCCATCTTTCTCCAACCAGCTCAAATGTCACCTCCTTCCTAAACCTTCCACCCTCATGCTAGCTGCAAATAACCTCTTGTACTCTTAAGATTCTAAGCCCTTTGTTTCTACCACTCCATTATATATGATTTTATGTACAGTTGTGTGTGTACATGTTCTTTTACCACATTATAAGCTCCTTGATGGCAAAGTCTAAGTCACTGATTTTTATATGAGCCACAGTATCAACACAATGCCTTACACAGTTATTCAACAGATGTGTATGGGACTAAAACTCTAGAATGTACCTAAGTTTAAAAGCTTCCTTGTTCCTTACCCCTTAATAATGCAAACATTAGAGAATAGGCCTAATGTCACCTTAGAGACTTAATGGCTACAACAGCAAACTTTAATCCAATGTATTTAATTTTTTGGCTTCCTCAGCCTTTAGTCTCATGTACATGATATAAGGATGAGATATCACCCACCTCTAGAGCAGTGCTGTCTAACAGAAATATAAAAATGTGAGCCACATATGTAATTTGAAATTTTCTGGATGCCACCTTAAGAAAAGCACAAAGAAATGGGTCAAATTAACTTTAACGCTCTAATTTATTTGACCCAATATATCCAAAATATTACTTCAATGGACATAGATAGTAAAAGGGTGGTTACCAGAGAATGGGAAGGGTAGTGGGGGACTATGGGAAAGGTAGGGATGGTTAATAGGTACCAAAAATAACTAGAATGAATAAGGCCTACTATTTGATAGCACAACAGGGTGACTATAAGTCAATAATAATTTAACTATACATTTTTAAAGAACTAAAAGAGTATAATTGGATTGTTTGTAACACAAAGGATAAATGCTTGAAGGGACAGATACCCCATTCTCCATGATGTGATTACTATGCATTACATGCCTGTATCAAAATATTTCATGTACCAAAATATTTCATGTATCAAAATATTTCAAGTGTATATAAATATATACACTATGTACCCACAAAAACTAAGAATTAAAAAAAGCAAAATATTATCATTTTAACATGTAATCAATACAGAACATTGTTGAGATATTCTACATTTTTTTATCATGCTGTCTTTGAAATCTGGTGTGTATTTTACACTTACAGTATATCTCAATTCATACCAGGAACTACTTATTAGCTGTGAAAGCTAGTTACTTAATTTCTCTTTGCCTCAGTTTCTCAACTTTAAAAGGGGGGTAATATGGTATTTACCTTATAGAACTATATTGAGGTTTAATAATATGTGGAAGGGCTTAGTACCTGATAAATTGTAAGGATTCAATAAATATTAACTACCATAATCCTCCACCATATCATCTACCTATGAAAAAACTTGAGCTTAAAAAACCAAGTGTATTTCCCAATTTCATAAAGCAAATCAAATGCTGGTTCTACTCCCTGTCTTTTACATAGTTGTCTATTAAACCATGCAGGGCAGCTGGGAGCAATGGAAAATCATATTTTTTACCCATTTAAAATTCCAAAGTGCTAGCCAGATGGAGTTTGGGAGTCAGTCCAAAGAGCAACATTCTTCAAAATGGTAGCTTAGAGAAATGCCATCCAGCTGTGTTATACTAACGGTCCTTTCACCCTACCACTTCCTTTAAGCTCTGTCCCCATTTGCTGTAATATTTCATCCATGTCACCAAGTGAAAAAGTAACATAACTTCTTGTGTTTTACTCAGCATTATTTTGGGTTATTTTGTTGCTTTTTTAAGATGACTGGTAACATTGAATATTCTTGCATAAATGTGCAAAACATCCAGCACCTAAGATCATTCAATTTTTGACATACTTGATTCTGCTCTTCAGGAGACTCAAAGCAGAAAAGATGTTATACAGAAGCCATAGCCAAATTGAAGGAATAATGGTCTGGGAATCAAGGAATCTGATTTCTGGCCTTGGGTCTATGAATAAATCACTACATTACCTAAGGCAACTCATTTACACCCCTGAGCTATATCACAGTTTAAGATACATTCACGTACAGTATTTAGGACTAAGTATTAATATGCAATAACTCAACATAAAATTTATCAAGTCTCAACATTTTTGTCTGTCGCTCTTTAAATGTTCTGGCGGTAAGTTCCCCTTGAAAAAAAATCAGCACTGAAAAAGTCTGGGGATAATTTACTTTAATAGTCAAATAACCAGAACACCTAGAAAAGAAAATAAATTGTCCATCTATCTGATATGTATGCTGTTATTAAAAGCCAAACAATTGTCATATCCTCTAGCTTTCAACTAGGTAGCAAGGTTAAGAATTACAGGACATCAGCATTAATACAAAGGGGCATCAATGGTCACCGCCATGGATCTCCTGCCCTACCCAAAATTCCCTTCATCAAGGTTCCTCAACTTCAGCATTACTGATATCTTGGGTCAGATAATTCTTCATGGTAGGGAGTTGGCCTGTGCATTGTAGGATGTTTATCAGCTTACCTGGCCTGTTCCCACTAGATGCCAGTAACACCTCCCCACAATTGTGACAAACAAAAATGTCTCCAGACATTGCTAAATGTCCCCAGGGGGTAAAATTGCCCCTAGTTGAGAACCACTACTATGGATCCTGTCCATGATTATCCTAAATTTCTTTGGAATTAAGCTTTTACAGAGACTGGCAATTTTCAGTGTGTAACTGCTTATGCAACACAGCCTCATTAATACAACATGCAATGATACACTCTCATTGGCAATCTTTCCAATTAATTTGCATTTAATACACATATAGTAGAATATACTTTTGCAAAATGACCCATTACACTGCAGAGATTATCCATGTATCTTTTTCAGAGCCAAAACAATGTTTTCACATGAACAGTGATTTTGGTAGCTAATATTTTAGATTAAGATATTTATATTTTACAACCCATGATATATTTAATGTTAGCACCCTGGCTTTAATTTACTGACCAAAGTTTTCAATATACTACCCATCTACCACCCCATTCTCCTTAAGCCCCCATACTTACTGTTACCTGCTGAATTGCTCATGTGTTCTGGTTCCCAGTGATTAAGCCCTATACTCAGCCACCCACCTTTTCATCTAAAGTACTGACAGAGGGTTATTCTATTTCCTTGGGTCTATGCATATAAGCAAATTGGGAAGGAGTACTAATGAGAGGTTATCAGCTGCAAAATAACAGAATCAACCAAACATGTAAGGAATATCTACCGTTTAATGCTATGGAGACACAAAAAGAAATAAATATAAGACATGAAAGAACCACAGAATTAAAAAAAAAACACATCAACCATATGCCCAAAGTCATTCAGCTAGCTGATTTTATATGCTGATAGTGGAGCATCCAAGTAAGGGTATCCTGATTGCAGCTATCTAGAGTTTAGAGCTACCTTTATAGATCTGGGACTCAACACCTGGAGAAAGAACACCAATCCGATAATGGTGGTTACGTCTGAGGATGAGGTTGAAGGGGCATTTTCACTTTTTACTCTAGATGCATCTATATTATTTTTTAATAGGAACATGTAATTGTGTGTTACTTCTATAATTAAAAACCAAAAAAAAAAAAAAGGTGAAGCCAGGAGTGTAGATGAAATCTCTGAGGCAGTGAGTATAAAGAGAAAAAAGGTAAAGAACTTTACACCCCTGAATATGGACATAATTAGGAGGCAGGAGGAAACAAAAGTAATGGAGAAGCAGTGACAGAGGCAGGCAGAAAGGGAACTAGAGGAGTACAACTCTGTGGCCAAGGGAGGGAAGTTTCAAAAAGGAACTGAACAGTCAACACAACCCAAAACGGGAAAAGGTAGAGAAATAAGATGGCAGAACAGAATTTAGGTCAGAAAGAGGCTTCTTAAAAATCATAACCTCCTCCCTACATCACGTCCCTCAATCTCTGAGGAAATTGAGGCCCAGAAAAATTAAGTGGCTGACTAGATAGGTACTGGTAGCTAGAAGATACAGCAAACGAAGACCAGAACATGTTTATGGACGACAGCGAATGGGTCCAGTGGAAAGGAAGAGAAGAAGAAACCAGAAGAAAAGAGGTATAATTGAATAAGTAGTATCTACAATAAACAGAGAAGGGACTGAAGCAGAAGTAGACAAAATAATACAGCTTTTCCTCTGAGGCTGGATAACTTGTTTCCTTTTTGTTTGGGTTGCTATATAAGGAGGTGAGGGAAATCCCTCAAACTGAGTACCTGGATTTCCCCCAGAATTCTACCCTTGGCACCTTTTCCCTCTCAAAGTATACTCATATCCTAGGCTTCATATATCATCTATACATGAAGGATCCCAAATCTCTACTCGAGCCCAGACCCTCTCTATACCCCAGGCCATGGGGAAATGAACATCTCTAGGTGGATATCTGATAGGCACCCAAATTCAAATCATCTCAACTTTGCTCCCACTCCAGCACTCTGTCTCAGTGGAAGGCCCCACACAATGAATGACTTCAGGCAAACTACTGAACATCATCTCTCATTTTATCTTTGTAAGTAGATGAAAAAACATTTGGTGGATGACAGTAAAGTTAGAGTCACAGCTGTTAGAGCAGCCTTACCCAAGTGAGTGTTTGTTGATGGATAACAGTAAGTTAAAAAGTCTTGGCCAGGCGCGGTGGCTCATGCCTCTAATCCCAGCATTTTGGGAGGCCAAGACGGGCAGATCACCTGAGGTCAGGAGTTCAAGACCAGCCTGACCAACACAGAGAAACCCCATCTCTACTAAAAATACAAAATCACATGGTGGCACATGACTGTAATCCCAGCTACTCGGGAGGCTGAGGCAGGAGAATCGCTTGAATCCAGGAAGCGGAGGTTGTGGTGAGCCGAGATCACGCCATTGCACTCCAGCCTGGGTAACAAGAGCGAAACTCCATCTCAAAAAATAAAAATAAAAAAAAAGAAAAAGAAAAAAAGAAAGTCTTCAATTAGCCTGATTCAGAGCTATGCCAAATATAGCAGACAGACCATAAGGTGACCCCCAATGACGCCCACCTCCTGGTATTCATGTCCTTGTTTAATCACCTTTCCCTGAGTATGAGTGGGACATGTGAGTAGGTTCTAACCAATAGAATATGGCAAGGGTAATGAGAAGCCACTCCCATGACTAGGTATATATGTGTATATTATTGATTCCTTCTTGCCATTGTGAGAGACAAACTGAGACTTTATCCCTCGCTGGCCTTGAAAAAGCAAGGTGCTGTTATATGAACTGCCTATGGAAAGACCATGTGACAGGGAATTGCAGGCAGCCCCTAGGATCTGAGGGCCTCAATCCCACAACCACAAAGAACTAAATTCTGCCAACAATCACATGAGCTTGGAAGAGAACCCCGAGCCTGAGATGAGACCACCAGCTCTGCCAACACCTTGATTGCAGCCTGTGAGACCCTGAGCAGAGGACCAAGTTGAGCCACGACCATCTCCTGACCCATGGAAACTGCAAGATAATAAATGGTTGTTGTTCCGAGCAATTAAGTTTGTGGTAATTCATTATGCAGCAACGGAAAACAAATATAGCAAACAATGTTTTATTAATTACTTGGACAAAGATATTTATGAAAAATATGTGATAATAAAGCTAAAACTAACAAGAGGAACAATAAATCAAAATTTAATTACATTGATATTTAAGTAAAGGCATAGAAGGGTTCTTGTTTAAAAAACTAGGCTGAGCACAGTGGCTCATGCCTGTAGTCCTAGCACTTTGGGAGGCCGAGGTGGGCGGATTGCTTGAGCTCAGGAGTTCAAGACCAGCCTGGGCAACACAGTGAAACCCCGTCTCTACTAAAATACAAAAAATTAGCCAGGCGTGGCAGCGTGTGCCTGTAGTCCCAGCTACTCAGGAGGCTGAGGCAGGAGAATTGCTTGAACCCAGGAGGCGGAGGTTGCAGTAAGTGGAGATCGTGCCACTGCACTCCAGCCTGGGAGACAGAGCAAGACTCTGTCTCCAAAAAAAAAATTGAAAGGGCGGCCGGGCACGGTGGCTCATGCCTGTAATGCCAGCACCTTGGGAGGCCAGGGCGGGCAGATCATGAGGTCAGGAGATCGAGACCATCCTGGCCAACATGGTGAAACCCCGTCTCTACTAAAAATACAAAAAAAAAAAAAAAAAAAAAAACTAGCTGGGCGTGGTGGCGCGAGCCCATAAATGCAGCTACTGGAGAGGCAGAAGAATCGCTTGAACCAGGGAGTCGGAGGTTGCAGCGAGCTTAGATCACGCCACTGCACTCCAGCCTGGTGACAGAGTAAGACTCCATCTTAAAAAAAAAAAATCGAAAGGGCGCTTATTTCAGCAGCACATATACTAAAATTAGAATGATACAGAGAAGATTAGCATGGTCCCTGCACAGGGATGACATGCACATTTTTGAAAAAATTAGAAGAGAAAGGGACAGACAGAAACTTGGAGGAAAAAGTGGGTTCTGGGCTCATTATGAGTTCATACTAAGAAATAATTATCCAAAACCCAATACTATTTGCGACCATATTAACAGGGTATAATGTACAAAACAAAAAGTCTTATTGTGCCACATGAACTGGTTAAATCAGATCAATAAATACTTCCTGGGTGACTCTACTTAAGGAATTAGGAGGAATAGAGGGATGTATAAACTATGTTCCTATCTCTAAAGTATCTTCCACTCTACTGGGGAGCTAACATAAACATATAAGAAAGTTAAACCATAATAAAGAAGTTAAATAACAGTTTAAGACAATGGCAGAAAAGATGTAAAGCTGGCATTACAATTTATCTAGCAACTAGTTAAAGGTAATAACAGACGCAGGAGTTCAGAAGAGGGTGATAACATATCACATGATAAATATTATGACTACTTTGCAATATGATATAAAAGTGGGTGTATTTTAGACCAATATCCCTGATGAGCATCGATGCAAAACTCCTCAATAAAATACTGGCAAACCGAATCCAGCAGCACATCAAAAAGCTTATCCACCACGATCAAGTTGGCTTCATCCCTGGGATGCAAGGCTGGTTCAACATACGCAAATCAATAAATGTAATCCAGCATATAAACAGAACCAAAGACAAAAACCACATGATTATCTCAATAGATGCAGAAAAGGCCTTTGACAAAATTCAACAACCTTCATGCTAAAAACTCTCAATAAATTCGGTATTGATGGGACGTATCTCAAAATAATAAGAGCTATTTATGAGAAACCCACAGCCAATATCATACTGAATGGGCAAAAACTGGAAGCATTCCCTTTGAAAACTGGCACAAGACAGGGATGACCTCTCTCACCACTCCTATTCAACATAGTGTTGGAAGTTCTGGCCAGGGCAATCAGGGAGGAGAAGGAAATAAAGGGTATTCAATTAGGAAAAGAGGAAGTCAAATTGTCCCTGTTTGCAGATGATATGATTGTATATCTAGAAAACCCCATCATCTCAGCCCAAAATCTCCTTAAGCTGATAGGCAACTTCAGCAAAGTCTCAGGATACAAAATCAATGTGCAAAAATCACAAGCATTCTTATACACCAATAACAGACCAACAGAGAGCCAAATCATGAGTGAATTTCCATTCACAATTGCTACAAAGAGAATAAAATACCTAGTAATCCAACTTACAAGGGATGTGAAGGACCTCTTCAAGGAGAACTACAAACTAATGCTCAACGAAATAAAAGAGGATACAAACAAATGGAAGAACATTCCATGCTCATGGATAGGAAGAATCAATAATGTGAAAATGGCCATACTGCCCAAGGTTAATTTATAGATTCAATGCCATCCCCATCCAGCTACCAATGACTTTCTTCACAGAATTGGAAAAAACTACTTTAAAGTTCATATGGAACCAAAAAAGAGCCCGCATTGCCAAGTCAATCCTAAGCCAAAAGAACAAAGCTGGAGACATCACGCTACCTGACTTCAAACTATACTACAAGGCTACAGTAACCAAAACAGTATGGTACTGGTACCAAAACAGAGATATAGACCAATGGAACAGAACAGAGCACTCAGAAATAATGCCACATATCTACAACCATCTGATCTTTGACAAACCTGACAAAAACAAGCAATGGGGAAAGGATTCCCTAGTTAATAAATGGTGCTGGGAAAACTGGCTAGCCATATGTAGAAAGCTGAAACTGGATCCCTTCCTTACACCTTATACAAAAATTAATTCAAGATGGATTAAAGACTTACATGTTAGACCTAAAACCATAAAAACCCTAGAAGAAAACCTAGGCAATACCATTCAGGACATAGGCATGGGCAAGGACTTCATGTCTAAAACACCAAAAGCAATGGCAACAAAAGCCAAAATTGACAAATGGGATCTAATTAAACTAAAGAGCTTCTGCACAGCAAAAGAAACCCCCATCAGAGTGAACAGGCAACCTACAGAATGGGAGAAAATTTTTGCAACCTACTCATCTGACAAAGGGCTAATATCCAGAATCTACAATGAACTCAAACAAATTTACAAGAAAACAAGCAACCCCATCAAAAAGTGACCGAAGGATATGAACAGACACTTCTCAAAAGAAAACATTTATGCAGCCAAGAAACACATGAAAAAATGCTCATCATCACTGGCCATCAGAGAAATGCAAATCAAAACCACAATGAGATACCATCTCACACCAGTTAGAATGGCAATCATTAAAAAGTCAGGAAACAACAGGTGCTGGAGAGGATGTGGAGAAATAGGAACACTTTTACACTGTTGGTGGGACTGTAAACTAGTTCAACCATTGTGGAAGTCAGTGTGGCGATTCCTCAGGGATCTAGAACTAGAAATACCATTTGACCCAGCCATCCCATTACTGGGTATATACCCAAAGGATTATAAATCATGCTGCTATAAAGACACATGTACACGTATGTTTATTGCGGCACTATTCACAATAGCAAAGACTTGGAACCAACCCAAGTGTCCAGCAATGATAGACCGGATTAAGAAAATGTGACACATATGCACGATGGGATACTATGCAGCCATAAAAAAGGATGAGTTCATGTCCTTTGTAGGGACATGGATGAAGCTGGAAACCATCATTCTCAGCAAACTATCGCAAGGACAAAAAAACAAACACCGCAAGTTCTCACTCATAGGTGGGAATTGAACAATGAGAACACTTGGACGCAGGAAGGGGAACATCACACACCGGGGCCTGTCGTGGGGTAGGGGGGAGGGGGGAGGGATACCATTAGGAGGTATACCTAATGTAAATGATGAGTTAATAGGTGCAGCACACCAACATGGCACATGTATACATATGTAACAAACCTGCACATTGTGCACATGTACCCTAAAACTTAAAGTATAATAATAATTTTTAAAAATTTGCCTAGATAAGACCATCAAAGGAAAACATACTCAGAAAGTCAAGACAAGCCTTTATTAGCTGGAAGAGTTCACAGTATTAAGTGGATATCAATTGATGTGGGGAAGATTCTATACTCATTGCCCTACATTATCCATCAAAATTTCTTTGCTTTACTTCCTGGAGTACTAGATATGAATTTGAAAGGACATTTTAATTCAAACAAGTATTTCAGATTAATTCAACAAGAATGCCACTCGAATTCATTCTAATTTAACATTAATCAAGATTAAAAAAAAGAATAAATGGTGTTCAATTTATTGAGTTCAAAACTGGGGTGGGGGATACAGAGGCAGAGAGACTCCAGAAATGCCCTGACTACTGTGCCACCTTGAGTGCCCAGAGAAGTGCAGGTGGCAGTGGTTGTGAATGTGTGTATTGGGTGGGGCAGGGAAACACACAGCCCCATTCTCCTGCAAAAAAAAAAAAAAAAAAAAAAAGATACTGATTGAGAAAGATATATCATTGGGCAGGTAAAAAAAAGATATTGATTGAGAAAGACATAATAGGGCAGGTGGTAGAGACTGGAGTAATGGGAACAATTGTGAGAAAGGAAAAGGCTATGTAATTTCAGGCTGTAGAAAGACTGGAATCGGGTAGAAAGACTGGAATCATAAATAATGCAACTTTTGAGATATTTTTTCTGGTTGTGGGAACCAGAATATGAGGAGCTGCCTGGAGTTTGGTTTGCAGTTGAACCTGGACCTGGAGGTTATGTCTAGAGAACGAGGCAGAAAGATTCTTATCTTTGCTGGTGATCACAGAAGCTGTTAGAACTGGCCTCAGCTTGGACTGGGCATGAAGGAGGGAAGAATTGGGAGAAGAAACCAGACATCCTAGAAAGACAGAGAAGATGCTGAGCTCTGATTGGGCTGGACTTTGTATGTGATCAAAGCCTGTACTTGACTGCCCTGCACGGAGGATGTTGCTTACATTTCTCATTCCATAATAAAGTATTCTGAGTTGACTGAGGTCAAGAAAGAGAAAAGAACCAATAATAATAGCTATCATTTATGAGTACTCACCATGTGCTTTTTTTTGAGACAGAGTCTTGCTCTGTCACCTAGGCTGGAGTGCAGTGGCATGATCTGGGCTACTGCAACTTCTGCCTCCTGGGTTCAAGCAATTCTCATGCCTCAGCTTCCCAAGCAGCTGGGACTACAGGCATGCACCACCACGCCTGGCTAGTTTTTGTATTTTTATAGAGATGGAGTTTCACCATGTTGGCCAGGCTGGTCTCAAACTGGTCTCAAGTGATCACCCGCCTTGACCTCCCAAAGTGCCGGGATTACAGGTGTGAGCCACCACACCCAGCCTACCATGTGCTTTTAAAAGTGCTTTACATGGATTATCTCATTTAATCTTTCCAGTAATGGTATAGCAGATAGGAACTGAGGCATAAAGTGGTTGGGTAGTATTCTGAAATTGTAACTGGTAGAGCCTGAGTCTGAGGCAGTCTGGCTCTAGAACCTGTGCTTTTAGTTATTCTGTATTTCTAGGACCATAGCTCCCAGAATCCCTTCTTCACTGCCACCCCCAATCAATCAAGGTAATGGCCAGCTGTGAAAGAAATTTCCTATTAGAGTACTCTTGCTGTGGCCCTAACGAGCAAGTGAAATCATTTCAAGGGAGTGAGAAAGCAGAGGCTTGAATAAAGCCCGTGGGTAAGTGAAATACAATCCTGTAGCCAAAATGCTATATTCTTTCTAAATTTAAATAAGTGATTTTGTATCTTCTGTGTGGAAGACACTATTAGGTATTATGGGTGGGACTAAGAAGATTCAGAAGCAGATACCGTCCTTCCAAAAGCTAGTCTCTGAGGAAGTTAAAACATGTGCACTAATAACCATAACCCAAACTTATGTTAGAGACATGGTTAGAGAGTTGTGGACTACCACAGAAGTTAGACGAAGGTGAGGAGGTAGCATCTGAGGAAGACCATGCAGTATGGGTAGGTTCTTCTGTAGCTGGAGATGTCAGAGATATGATTTCAGTCAGCAAAGTACCAGGTACATTTGAGGGAACATGAAAGTGTCATGCCAGGCCTGTTATATTTATATACATTGTCTCATTAACTCTTCGTAACAACCCTTTATTGACCAAATGATTTAATTGTCAAAACCAGGACACTTTGGAGAGTGGAGTATGAATCAGATGGAATAGGAATAAACAGGGGCCCAGGAAAACCAGGACCTATGAGGCAGTTGTTATTATTCCCATTTAACACGTTACAAAATGAGGCCTCACATCACATAGCTAGGAGTTGGTGGAGCTAGGATTTGAATCCAATTCTGGCTTCAAAACTAAAAGATTCATACTTCATTCCATATACAGTGGGATGCAATTGAAGGGCTTTGGGCAGAGAGCTGTCATGGTCAGAACTATGCAGGACAGATGGAAAAAAGAGACTGGAATTGGGGTGATGAGTTAAGAGATTGCTGAATAAGATTCATGTAGAACATTCTAAGTACCTGTATATAAGATGCTAACTTTGGAATTTAAAGGAAGTGATAAATGTAAGAGATACCACAAAGCACAAAGGAATAAATGACAAAGTTAGACTACCGGGCAACTTTTTTTTTAAGTTTTAGGGTACATGTGCACAATGTGCAGGTTTGTTACATATGTATACATGTGCCATGTTGGTGTGTTGCACCCATTAACTCATCATTTACATTAGGTATACCTCCTAATGCTATCCCTCCCCTCTACCCCCTACCCCACGACAGGCCCCGGTGTGTGATGTTCCCCTTCCTGCGTCCAAGTGTTCTCATTGTTCAATTCTCACCTATGAGTGAGAACATGCAGTGTTTGGTTTTTTGTCCTTGCGATAGTTTGCTGAGAATGATGGTTTCCAGCTTCATCCATGTCCCTACAAAGGACATGAACTCATCCTTTTTTATGGCTGCATAGTATCCCATCGTGTATATGTGTCACATTTTCTTAATCCGGTCTATCATTGCTGGACACTTGGGTTGGTTCCAAGTCTTTGCTATTGTGAATAGTGCCGCAATAAACATACGTGTACATGTGTCTTTATAGCAGCATGATTTATAATCCTTTGGGTATATACCCAGTAATGGGATGGCTGGGTCAAATGGTATTTCTAGTTCTAGATCCCTGAGGAATCGCCACACTGACTTCCACAAGGGTTGAACTAGTTTACAGTCCCACCAACAGTGTAAAAGTGTTCCTATTTCTCCACATCCTTTCCAGCACCTGTTGTTTCCTGACTTTTTAATGATTGCCATTCTAACTGGTGTGAGGTGGTATCTCATTGTGGTTTTGATTTGCATTTCTCTGATGGCCAGTGATGATGAGCATTTTTTCATGTGTTTCTTGGCTGCATAAATGTTTTCTTTTGAGAAGTGTCTGTTCATATCCTTCGGTCACTTTTTGATGGGGTTGCTTGTTTTCTTGTAAATTTGTTTGAGTTCATTGTAGATTCTGGATAT
This sequence comes from Homo sapiens, assembly GCF_000001405.40. NCBI lineage: Eukaryota > Metazoa > Chordata > Mammalia > Primates > Hominidae > Homo > Homo sapiens. Next base: position 49,938,905 of record NC_000023.11, on the reverse strand, counting down.
TAGCCCTTTGTCAGATGAGTAGGTTGCAAAAATTTTCTCCCATTCTGTAGGTTGCCTGTTCACTCTGATGGGGGTTTCTTTTGCTGTGCAGAAGCTCTTTAGTTTAATTAGATCCCATTTGTCAATTTTGGCTTTTGTTGCCATTGCTTTTGGTGTTTTAGACATGAAGTCCTTGCCCATGCCTATGTCCTGAATGGTATTGCCTAGGTTTTCTTCTAGGGTTTTTATGGTTTTTAGGTCTAACATGTAAGTCTTTAATCCATCTTGAATTAATTTTTGTATAAGGTGTAAGGAAGGGATCCAGTTTCAGCTTTCTACATATGGCTAGCCAGTTTTCCCAGCACCATTTATTAACTAGGGAATCCTTTCCCCATTGCTTGTTTTCGTCAGGTTTGTCAAAGATCAGATGGTTGTAGATATGCGGCATTATTTCTGAGGGCTCTGTTCTGTTCCATTGGTCTATATCTCTGTTTTGGTACCAGTACCATACTGTTTTGGTTACTGTAGCCTTGTAGTATAGTTTGAAGTCAGGTAGCGTGATGTCTCCAGCTTTGTTCTTTTGGCTTAGGAATGACTTGGCAATGTGGGCTCTTTTTTGGTTCCATATGAACTTTAAAGTAGTTTTTTCCAATTCTGTGAAGAAAGTCATTGGTAGCTTGATGGGGATGGCATTGAATCTATAAATTACCTTGGGCAGTATGGCCATTTTCACAATAATCAATATCTTAAAGTAAAACCTGTCTTGTGTTCTACCACCTATCTCCTGGCTAAAACCCCAAATATTAGAGAAGCAGGGTCACTTAACACAGGATAGTGACTCTTGTCTCTGAACATCCACAACTGGGTGAAGGAACTCTCTTCATTATGCCAAACCAAGAGGACATTCTGACAGACAACCCTTTGACTTCTTGTATCTCAGACAAAAACCCTCTTTTTGGGGGAGACTGAGCTAGAAGGGGCCTTAAGAATTTGAAGATTTAACTTAATCCAAACATTATCAGGTAAATATTAGGTAATTTATATCTTCTCTACTTCAAGCATAAGATTATACTTGCATTTTTCCTCAGGTCCTTAAGTAAAAAGCTCAAGAAATTGTAGCTTAGCATTCACTTGCAACATTTAAACAAATCAAACAAGAAAAACAGCTATTATTCTACACATTGAAACATTTAATTTTTAAATTGTAGTCTGGAATACAATTACTATGCTGTTTAGTTATTAATATACCCAGAGATCAAAACTAATGATATGATTACAACTGTTTCATCAAAAAACTAATAAAGTAATTTTTACCCAATTTAATCTTACTTGTTTTCTTAGCATTACGCTTTAACAAAGCAACATCTCTCCTAAGTCCTCTGGCCACAGAGGTAGCTTTTAGAGGCCCTTGGTTTTATCAGAGTCAGCCTCCTTTGCTTCAGACCTGATCTCTCACCTCAACCACTAATATTCCTTTTATTTCTTAGTATAAATTGTCGAGGAAATAATCTAGTGAGGTAAAGTTTTTATTTAAATTTTAGTATTTAAAGGTTTTACAGGTTGTTGTAAACAAGTCGAGCAGTGTACAGAAAGGTGTCAAGTGAAAACTAAAATCCCTAGCCTTGCCACCTCTAATCTCCAAGGTAACTGACAACTGTTTCTTGTGCGTCATCCTAGAAATTTTCTAAGCATATGCAAGAACACATATACACGAATTCTTAAATAATACCTCCCTTCTTTGTGTTGAACAAGTGGGATCCTATAATATATACCATTCTGCACCCCTTTTTTCACTTAAAAATTTATCTTGGACACCATTCCCTGTCACTATATGTACATCTACTTTACTGTCTTACTCTATCACCCAGGCTGGAGTGCAGTGGCACAATCACTGCAGCCTCAAACTCCTGATCCCAAGTGATCTTTCCACCTAAGCCTCCTAAATTGCTGGGATTACAGGCGTGAACCACCACGTCCAGGCTACTTTACTCTTTTAAATGAAATGAACAGCATTCCATAGTATGTAAATATCATAATTAACATGACTGGTCTCTCATGCTGTACATTAATAAGACTGTTGATAGTAAAAAGATGGCAACTAGAAGGCAACCAAGATCCTTGTAACAAGTGACCTTCATGCAGTTCCTTTTGAGAAGATTCATTGGGACAAAAGTTGTACAAGTTACATTTTGAAAAAGTCTTTCAAAGTGCGCTCTAATGGATTCTACCAACTTATATGCCTACCAACAGTGCACGGAGCTGGACTTTTCAGTCAATCATCTGAAGTTCTTGCAGTTTAAATAGGGAACAGATATTTAACATAAAAATAGCAAAACACTGATCATTTTGTTATGTCTTTTAACAGTCTAGAAAACCAAGTGCCATAATTGGTACCAACCACATCCTGATATGATTAGCCTTGCCCCATCCAAACGCAAATTCAAAGAATGCTATTCCTCAGTATTAACCCAGCTCCTAAATAATGAATTATTATAGGTTGAGAGATTTAGAAGTAGATTTAGCATAGAAGAGAAAGCTATACTGCTCCTGGCACCACTACCCATAATTATCTCTAACACCAGGAGTGCCACAAAATGGTGTGATATAAGGGAGTTTCCACTCACCCATAATTAGTTAAAGGCATTGATCAAAGAGACACATTGAATATGTAAGAACACAGTACATCAGCATGTTCATGGCATGGGATGAACTAATTGAAAGATTTTGCTAGTTTAACAGAGAATGGGGTTGGGGGGATGTGGTTCCTAGTGACAGTGAAGACCTATAAGCATCACTACATAGAATCTAGTGAATTATTTTGCAAAGCACCTTAGCATACTTTATCTCATTTAATCTCCATGGCAATCCTGATAGGAAGGCAAGGCAGTTATTACTCATTAAAGAAAGATTCAATGAGCACATACTATGTGCTGGGCACTCTCTGCCAGGTATTTGGTATGAGAAGATGAATGAGACACTCCCCATTCATTCACTGGTCACTCTGCCATATCCAATCTATCTCCAAGGCCTTCATGTTACCAAGTTAGGGTACTTGGTAACATGGCCTATAAAACCCTGTGTGGCCTGTCCCCTGCCCACCTTTCCAATTTTATCATGTGTCCCTTTATGCCTCATTCACTATGGTCCTGCTGCAATGGACCATGCTGGGAAAGGACCCAGGGATTCTTCCCACCTCAGGGATTTCCACCTTGTCTCCTCTGCCTGGGATGCTGTTCCCCCAACTCTTTGCGTGGATAACTCCTCCTCATCTTTCAGGTCTCAGATGAACTTGTCACTTCCTCCCATTCCCTTCTTCTCTCTATAAATTCAGTCTCTACTATTCTTTTTCATAGGACTTGACTTTTCTAGTACTCACAACACTTTATAAGAAAATATCTGTGTATTTATTTGCACTCCAACTCCCCCATGAGACTGCAAGGCTTAAGAGGGCAGGGATCATGACTTTTGTATTCACTGCTTTAACCCCAGCATCCACCCAACACAGTGCCTGCCTGGCACACAGCAGATGTGAGAACAAAAATATTGAACAAGTGCAGTCAATGCCCTCAAGGACCATACAATAGAGCCAGAAGCCAATTTTACCAGAGGATCGGGGAGGCTTCAGGAAAAGCTCATGGCTGAAAGATAAGCAGGTAGTTGCTAGGAATGTTACCAACTGAAATGATCTAGGCCAGCAGGGGTGGACTGCAGGTAAGGGGGAGCAAGAAATGCATGGTGTCTCTTAGAATTTGGGCTTTGACATCTGGGTCCATGGTGGTACAATTATTCAATACAGAGGAATGTAAGATAAGGAAACTCTGTTATTATTGTGTATTACTGGGGTACAGGACCCAAGGAAAAGAATAGCTTGACAGAGTTGAGAATTTGGATGGCAGGAACTCTCTTGCCTACCTGTCTCTCACCATTCTCAAAGCTAAACAGGAAAGATCATGATTTCAACCTGGGAATATTCAGTGCTGAGTCACAGGTGGCCACAGGTAAGGCCAGACCAAAGGGAGGGCAGTGGAAGGGCCAGAAGATTTAGCATAGACAGAGCCAGGGTTTTCTTTTGCATCTGAACACGTTTTTTGGCCAGAAGATGTCAACGATGTAACTTATCGTGCTTGTCTTTGGGAAGGAGGGACACAGAAGAAAAGAAAGAGAAAACTTCAGTGTCTAGTATCTCACATGCCTAGTAATATCGATTTCATTTCCACTGGATGGTCCCTGTCCTGCATTTATTTCTAATTGCTCTATGTTTTAATTTCTGTGTTGTTCTATGTTCCTCCTGGATGTAGTCAGGGCAGAAATCCTAAATAAATATAATAAATTGCCACCTAATGCCAGAATGGTATTGGGTTGAAAATCATCAAAATATGACATTACTAAGGGAGACACTTCATACTATTAACTCCTCAACAGCTTCTTTGGCCTGACCATGGGTCTATAAATACTGGGTAGTTAAGAGAAGGTAGGAAGGAAAAGAAGAAGGAGAATCTGGCATTCGTAGCCACCAATAATGAAACTTTCTAGTCCTGCCTCCCCCAACCCTTGACACACAGAACAGCATTACATGAAACAGGAAGCTGAATCATAATTCTGGTTAAATAATAAGAATTTATAGTTTATTTCATAAGCTAACATAGTGAGAAGAAGGGGAAAAAAAACATCCTGGAAGCCTCAATGGAAAACCTATTTTTGAGGGGAGAAAAAAAACTAAACGTTTCACGGTAGCAGTAAAGCATAGTAGGAAAAGACTAAGATTCAACAGAAAACTGTAAGATACCCAAGCCTGGGGAAGGCAGTGCAATGCAGTAGGACCAAATAGGTAGACAGATTGACAGAGAAAGAGCGGGCTGGGCAGCACTGATTATCAGGAGCCCCAGGGTCTAGTCCTGGCTTTGGGTACGATGTGACAGCTGTGTGGCCTAAAATAAGTCTCACTGGGCCTCAGTTTCTTCCTTTGCAAGATTATACATCTGAAACAGATCACCTCTGAAGACCCCTTCCAGTTTAAAAATCTCTTTAATAATATACCTAATTTTATTTTTCATGCCAAAACTTATAATCCAATCAGAACAGCTATAATGGACCAGGCATTCTGATGACTGACTCTCATCTAGAAGCACGTGCAGTAAATATTATCATAACCTTTCACATATTATAAAGGCCAGCATGTGCAAGTGCTTTGCTGCATTTGTATTCACTCACTACACTACATCCTCCCAATAATCCTGAGTAGGTATTAGTATTAACCCCATTTTACAGATGAAGAAGGTAAGGCACAAAGAGATTAAATAACCTGCCCAAAGTCACATGGCTAGTAGTGACAGAGCCAGGATACAAATCCAGGGAGTCTGTCTCCAGACATGACACTTGACCCCGGATGTGACAATTGAGGCTTCTGGAGTTTAAATAACCTTGGCTACCAAATGGCAGACCTGGGTTCAGATTCAGGTTATCGCACTCCAAGACCTGTGCTCCCTCCACAACTGTGTGCTTGGGAAAGAATAACTGACTCTTAGAGAATAATTTTTTGAAAGGTTGTTTTCGTTTACCCTCTATTCAATGACTTCCATCAGAATCCATTCCCCACCAATTTCTCCCCACTGAAGAGTTATGGAAAGGCAAAAGGTGAAGAGAGACAAGGAACTCATTTCTTTTTAAATTTTTTAAATTTATTTCTTTATTATTTTAATTGACAAAGAATTCGCTTCTTGAGTACCTGCTGTAGGTGAGGCACTGTGCCAGATAGAGGAAAAGGGGCTGGGGGTGGAGGCTGCCTGCTTCTTTATTCCTGCTCTAACAACCTGACTTTCTTTCAAGAGTTACCTACTTTTGTTTCGGTCAACAAGCAGGACCAGATGGCTTCTCTTAGGTGATAGTGGTCCAATTAGCAAGCCACATGGCTACCCAGATTTCACACTAAAGCTTTCTCGTCAATTCACCCACTGCTTTGTGAGGCTCCCTCTTGCTCCCCACCTCCCATGTGTTGGCTAAATCACCAGAGTGTTTACAAATACACTGCAATGTGCCAAAAAAAAATCTGCACAGTCAAAACATATACTTCCTTTCAATTTGAAGAACAGTTTCTCATTGCAACTATTTTATTCTGATTTTCCTCTGCCTTATTTTCACACTTAGCCTGACGTATATTTTGCCACCTCACCTTATTCTGCAACCTCTACATTAGATACAGTGTAATTTGCCATCTTTTGCACATCTTCCAAGAGTTTTTTGTAGTCAATGGGAGAGACAGCCAAAAATTACAAGAGTACTTGAGGAAGTATTAATAGCAAAAAACCTGTTCTAACCAAACCCTCAGGGGCCTGGTTTCTTCTCTTTTGCTCTTTTGCTGGAACGTAGAAGGGGACACAGAGTGGCTAAGCAGTTGTCCAGGGGGCCACACATGCTGCGCTCCTTGCTGCCAGGTACTTGTTGAGAGTCTACTGACTCTTATATCTCATTTTCAAATCACTTGTTTTCTGTTATAAAAGTTATACACATTATTGCATAAAAATTGAAAGTAAATAAAAGTATAAAAAAAGGAAGATAAAAGTAACTGTATCCCATCATCTGGAGACAGCCAGTGCAACAACTTTGGATCATTTCCTTTCTTTCTGTACTTATCTTCACTTCATAGGTGTATATGTAACATGTAAACACAGAGAGATACATAAACCCACACTTGAGTTAAAAAGAGAGAGATGGGTCCAGGCATGATGGCTCATGCCTGTAATCCCTGCACTTTGGGAGGCCAAGGCAGGTGGATCACTTGAGCTTAGGAGTTCGAGACCAGCCTGGGCAACAAGGCAAAACCCTGTCTCTACAAACACTACAAAAATTAGCCAAGTATAGTGGTGCGTGCCTGTAGACCCGGCTACTCAGGAGGCTGAGGTGGGAGGACTGCTTGAGCCTGGGAGTTTGAGGTTACAGTGAGCCAAGATCCTACCACTGCACTCCAGGCTGGGTGACAGAGGGAGTCCCCACAGCATCAGTCTTTTTTTTTTTTTTGAGACAGGGTCTCAATCTGTTGCCCAGGCTGGGGTGCAGTGGCGAGATCATAGCTCACTACAGCCTCAGTCTCCTGGGGTCCAGTGATCCCATGTCAGCCACCCGAGTAGCTGGGACGACAGGTGTGCACCACCATGCCTGGCTAGTTAGCAAAACTCTGTCTCAAAAAAAAAAAAAAAGTTTTCTTTTAGTAGAGATGGAATCTATGTTGCCCACGCTAGTCTTGAACTCCTGAACTCAAGCAATCCTCCTGCCTTGGCCTCCGAAGGTCCTGGGATTACAGGTGTAAGCCACCACACCCAGCTAGTCTTTATTTTTAATGGCCAGATATTATACTGTTTGGAACTATCATAATATACTTACATTCCCCTAGTATGAAAACTATGTCTTCAGTTTTTTCACTATAAATACCTTAGCATATAAAGCTGGGTACATATATCTGATATTTCCTTCAGAAATTATACTTTTTAAAATTAACAATCCATGATATTTACAGAAAAGTGGAAAGATACATGTAAGCAAAAATAAAGTCAACTATAATTTCTTTTTTAAAATACTTTTGCATATATCCTCTCAGACTTTTTTTTATACTATCCATACATGGACACAAACACATAAATTAAAATGGGATCATACTATTAATAATTTTTAAATAGCAACAATAATAATAATAGTTACCATGTATTGAGTACTTACCACATGACAGGCACTGTGATTTTCTCATTTAATCCCTTCAACAATCACCTCAACAACTGCTCGGCTTTCTCAAACTTGTTTGCACATTAGAATCACCTGGGGAACTTCAAAAATACTGTTCTCTGTCCCGTCCCCAGAGATTCAGATTTAATTGGCTGAGTGAGGCCTAGGCTTGGGAAGTTTGGAAAGATCACCAGGTGATCTTTGGGCACACTAGCTAGGAACTATTAGGTTAGCTACTATTTTATCCCTATTTTACTGATGGGGAAATCAAGGAACACTAAGACAAGTAATATACCCAACAGCACACAGCTGATAAAGGTGTAGCTGGGATTTGAATTCAGATTTAAGCCCAGAGTCCATACTTTTAATGACAGTTGACCCTTGAACAATACGGGTTTGAACTGCACAGGTTCACTTACACGCAGATGTTTTTCAACCAAATGCACAGATGGAAAATACGGTAATCTCAGAATATGACACCCATGAATATGGAAGGCCAAATTTTCCTATATGCAGGTTCTGTAAGGCCAACTGCAGGACCTGAGTATGCTAGGATTTTAGTATACTTGGGGTCTTCAAATCCCCCGAGCACATGGAGGGATGACTGTATCAACAGTTCGGAATCTGCTTTTCCCTGCTCCCCCACTCCCTGACCCCTGGGTTTAACATTATGTTATGAACCTATTTCTGTGTTACTAAATAGAACTCTACATTATCATTTTTGGTAATTACCATATTCCATTGTATGGATGCATCAAAATGCAAGTGTTTTCAATTTTTCCCATTATAGAAAATGCTGCAATTAATATCCTTATTGATACATCTTTGTGCATACCCTTAATTACTTCCTTAGGATAAATTCCAAGAAAATGAATTGCTGGGTCAGAAGGTAAACATATTTTTTAAAGCTTTTAATAAATATTGCCAAACTGACATTCCCACCACAAGTGTATGAGAACATCTGCTTCCTTGAGTCCTTGCCAACAGTGAGTTCTGTCATTCCTTTTTAATCTTTGCAAATTATACTGGAGAAAATGGTATGCCATTCTAATTCCCCTTTATTTGACTGCTACTGAGATACATGTTTACTGGCCATTTGCATTTCTTCTTTGATGTATTTTCCTTTGCACATTTTCCCTCGTCCTTTGTACATTTTTCTAGTAAAATACTTGTTTTTTTCTTATCCCCCTGTTAAGTCTTTGTGTTACAGATAATAAATCTTGCTGCAATTGTTTCTAGTTTTCTCATTAACTTTATTTATGGTTTGTGCAGAAATTTTAAATTTTCATATAACTGATTATATTAATCTTTTTCCTTATTATTCTACCTTTGATATTATGCACACAAATATCTTCCCTATCCCCAAGATTATATATATAGTCTTCCATATTTTTTGAGTTCCTTTATCATCGCCTTCTCCAAAAAAAAAAAAAACAAAAAACCTATATTTATTGCAGCAGTTCCAAAACAGGATTGTAATGCTCAGGTCTTAAGACTGAATCACAATTTGGGGGAATGGGGACCTGAGTAGGAATATTTTTTAAAGCACTACAGGTAATTCTGATGTCCCCTCCTTTATTAAGAAACATTATATTAACCCTTCTAAATTTATGCTGTCATTTTTTCCAAATTACTTCAGCATATGTGTTAAATAAATCATTTCATTAATTTGAAGTGCTACCTTTATCCTGGTTCTTAAGTTCCATTACAGTAGAGACCATACTTGTTTCCACTGACCATTGCGTCTCTAGGGCCCAGCAGAGTGCCTGCTGCACAAGTAGTGTTCAATAAATGTTAATGGAATAAATAAACAACACCTGACAACACAAGTCTCCAACCTCAAACTGGCTGGAGGTTATTAATGATAACCCTGAGTTATCAAAAATATTAAATTATGCTCAGTACACTGTTTAAAGTGGCCAGAAAATATATTAGAGGGCTCCATTAAGTGAAGTCAAAATAATGTTGGCCCCATTTAAGAGGTATGGGAATTCAGATCAAATTCTCCATGGAGGAACCAGACAGCAATGAGCCAAGAACCTAAGGAGATTTGGGCTCCTGTAGCCCTTAGGGTTCCTCAACAAGCTCTACAGACTGACTCAGAAGCTTCCTTGAGCTGAGAACAGACTCACACATTGCCTCTTCCATGAGCCCACGGAAAGAATACTGGAATAGGGAATTAGGTGACCTGGATTTTAATACTAGCTCTAGGATCAACTACTACCTGTTTGACGTTGGGCATATCACTTAACCTCTAGGAATTGAGCTAGATGTTTGTTGTTGTTTTTTGAGATGGAGTCTGGCTCTGTCGCCCAGGCTGGAGGGCAGTGGCACGATCTCGGCTCACTGCAAGCTCCGCCTCCTGGGTTCACGCCATTCTCCTGCCTCAGCCTCCCGAGTAGCTGGGACTACAGGCACCCGCCACCATGCCCGACTAACTTTTTGTATATTTAGTAGAGGCGGGGTTTCACCGTGTTAGCCAGGATGGTCTCGATCTCCTGACCTCGTGATCCGCCCGCCTCGGCCTCACAAAGTGCTGGGATTACAGGCGTGAGCCACCGCGCCCGGCTGCTAGATGTTTTCTAAGAATCTTTTCAAGTCTAAACTTCTACTTAAAGACCCAAACAGACAACCACAGGACAGGGCTTCCAAGGACAACCTAAAATTACCTCCACAGAACAAGGTCCCAGTCCCACCCCAGGTTATAAGAAAATAATAGTGATAGTAGTAATAACGGCTATTGCTAAATTTTACTGAGCACTTATTATATGCTACACAATATTCTAAATGTTTTACTATTATAATAATGGCATACACTTATATGGCATTTACTATGTTCCAAGTGCTCTGCATATATTAGCTTAATTTCTCTTCACACCAAGCCTATCAGGTGTTCTACTTTTCTCCCTTTTCAAAAATTGATATATAATAGCTGTACATATTTGGGGGGTATATGTGATATTTTGATACACGTATACAATGTGTAATGATCAAATCAGGGTAACTGGGATATTCATCACCTCTAACATTTATCTTTTCTTTGTGTTAGAAACATTCCAATTTTTTACTTCAAGCCATTTTGAAATATATAATTATTGTTAACTGTAGTCTCCCTACTGTACTATTGAATACTAAAACTTTTTCCTTCTCTCTAGCTGTATGTTTATAACCATTAACCCACTTCTCTTCATTCCCCAAACTCCTTCCCTTCCCAGCCTCTGGAAACCACCATTCGACTTTCTACCTTCATGAGATCCACATTTTTTAACTCCCACATATGAGTGAGAATATGCAGTATTTATCTTTCTGTGCCTGGCTTATTTTACTTAACATAATGACTTCCAGTTCCATCCATGTTGCTGCAAATGACAGGATTTCATTCTTTTTATGGCTGAATAATATTTTGTTGAATATATGTAACACATGTTTTTTATCCATTCATCCAGTGATGGACACTTAAGTTGATTTCCTATCTTGGCTATTGTGAGTAGTGCTGCAATATACATGGGAGTGCAGCTCTCTCTTCAATACTGATTTCCTTTCTTTTGGCTATATACTCAGCAATGGGATGAGTTATATTACTATCTCCATTTTGTAAAGGAGAAAACTTCCACACAGAGAGATTAAGTTACTTGCCCAAGGCCTCGTAGCTACCAAGTGACAGAACCAATGGAGTAGAACTCAGACCCACACATTTAACTATCATACCACACTGCTTCCAAACTATCATCGTACTTTGCTGGTTACTTCAGAGGTTAGCCAAAACAAAGGATAAGCTGCAGTTATCCAAAGAGCTTACTTATATAGAATACTCCCCTCTTCACTAATGCTGGAAAAATGAGGTTTCACTTCAATGTAATTTTAAGCACATCTGATTTCAGGGCCTGGGCTTGCAAAATACATTATTTACTATGAAAATATGACATTTTGATTAAGAGTTGTTAAACATTAAAATGTTTTTATTGTAAAATAAATCATTAACTAGTAATGACATTTCCATTAACTACAGAGAAAAAAATACAAGCTCTTTATGCATCATTAGGAACAAAACTTTAGATCCCCATCTGTGCCAATATCAGTTCTGTACTTTCAAAACTGTCTTTGAAACATTGACCTGACAGTACATAGGTGTCTCAACCCAAACAGGTCATCCAAATCCAGTGCACCACCCCCATGCCCATCAGCTGCCTCCCATGCTCCCCATCTCAGAGAATGGCACCAGTGGCCCCCAGGCACCCAAGCTGGTAGTTAATCCAGGCCCATTTCTTGCCACATCCAGTCACAGAACATTCTAGAATCCCATTCTAACCTTACTGCCCCTGCTTCTGCTCAGACCCTTACCATCTCTCCCCTAAACTATTCCAGAAACCTCCTGACTGACTCCCAGTTTTCATCATTTCCAGCTCAGCACTGCTGCCAAAGTAATCTTTCTAAAACAAAATCTGATTATGTTACTTCCCTGTTTAGAATCTTTGTCTTCAGGATAAAGTGTAAAATCCTTCCTAGAACATACAAGGCTCTTTATTATCTGGCCTCCAACTACCTTCCCTGCTTCATCTGAGGTCGCGCCCCTACACATCTCACATGAGGCAAACAGAGCAACTTGGAACTTCCCAAACAGTGCTGCTCTGTCTGCCCAGAATGCAATTCTCTCATTTGCTCCTACTCATTTTTTTAGACCAGCTCAAAACTCAGACTTCATCAAGCTTTTCTCGGGGCTTCCCTTGCTTTTTGTACCTCTCTATTCTAACACTTATTCAACATGGCAAAATTATTTGTTTGTATGTCTGTCTTTAGATGACAAGGAATCTTCTAGCATCCTGCAACTTATTCATCTCTGTATTTCGTTTGTTGAATGAAATAATGTCTCAGGATTTAAGCAAGAATATCCAAACTGCTCTTGATAAATGCCCATTGTGTGAGTCAAAGGAAGCATACAGGCCAAATCCCGTTTCCATAAATGTCTTCTCATTGATAATCTTTATACATGGAAACTACTTGTTACATTTGTGTGCCTACATAAAGTCACAACCAACACAATGAAACATTTTTAAAAGATACATTAGACCACCAACTAACCAACCTGCTGAATATTTCTAGATATTCAAGCTATTTCATTCCACTCCATTTAAGTGGTCTTTAACTTTTTGTGGGTCACAGGCCAATTTTGGTAGTGTTTGTCTATCATTTCTTAAACCCACACTCACTTTTGATAACAATAAAAATCCCACATACCCGTGGAGACTCCTAAACCCTCCAAAGGGCACAAACCGCAACTCCGCTCAAAATAAAACATAACTTTGTATGTGGTAGGAATTCACAAGTTCATGAGAGATGTAATACATCAGCTAAGATACTACTGAGCTTTGCTCTCAGGTAGTTCATATTATTAAAACAGGCGTTTTCCTTCTCAATGTTTATATTGTATCAAATATAAACACTGTAACATTAAATATGCTCTTTCAAACTGCATACATCACAAAGTTTTTATTGGGAAGATGAAGCTGGAGAGGCAGTGACATCTGTCTCCCCAACCTTATGGTGGGGAATCTTATGATAGAAATTTGCCAGAAACAAATGAAAAACACAAATGGGAAAAAATATCCTGTCTCCTGGCATATAACCCCCAATGATCACTTATTTAAATGAAGGGAGTTCTTTTAAATGCTGCTGGCATGGCATTTTCCTACTTCTCCTACAACCCCACTTTTAAATAATTTAAACTTATAGCTAGCAGCAGCTTCTTTTTAAACTAATGTGTTTTGTCCCTGCAAAGACAAAGGGTTAAATTAAAGAACAGCTGGCTGCCTGCCATTGGCTGGGTGGGGAACGGTTGGGTGAGGGTAGAGAATAGAGTAGGAGGAAAAACCAGTTAGAAGAATAAGTGCTAATTTCTTACCCTGCCACATGGCCATCTTGATCCTATCTTCACCCACGCTGGGGTCACAGGCTGAGTTTCCCAGAGCCTCTCAGTTTTGTAGGGAGACTTGATAGAAAGGCAGCTATGTGGCCCTGTTTTCTCCAAGGGGCTAAAGCCCCAAACCTGAAAATGTAAACAGAAAAATGAATACCTAAAAGAAACTATACACTTCAAATGCTTGAAAATTATCTCCTGCTCCTCTCTGAACCTCTCTTTCAAAGATATGCAGGCATGGGTAGTGTCAAGTTTCCCTCTAAGCAGCAAGGTATCTCTGAAGAGAGAGAGATCTGGAGTGAGTTAATGTTGCCACTCAGTGCTATACATTTCTGCATGAATCATTAGAGCTTCAGTAAATGAGGTCTGAGTCTCAGTTGATGAGTTGCTGGATGAAATCACCGTTAAGCACCTTTCCTACCTTGAAGTTTCATGCTTTGGAGACTGAAGAGCAACATTAATATCCAGTGCCCTAACCAACCCCCAAAATACCCAACTTTACATTTAAAAATCAGTAGAAGGAGAGGAAAGTTTATGAATAAAGTTTGGAAACAGATCTTGTATAGGGGAAAAAAAAGGAAGCGGAATAAAAAGTGAAGAGTGATGATACCCTTTGAGTAGTAGTTCTCTCTCCTTGTGTCATTATACTTTCCCACCCTTTGCAAATTTCCTATAGTGAGCGTATATTGCTTTTATAATCAGGGGGAAAATGAACCAAAGAAGAAGAAAAATGTAAAAATGGAATACCAGTTTAAAGAAAACCAAATTAATTCAGCTAATTCCTGTTGTTAAAACTTCAAATCCAGTCCTAGGACAATATTTGCAAAGATATTAAAGGAGTTAGGGGCCGGGTGCGGTGTAATCCCAGCACTTTGGGAGGCCGAAGCAGGCGGATCACCTGAGGTCAGTTCGAGACCAGCCTGGCCAACATGGTGAAACCCCGTCTCTACTAAAAATACAAAAATTAGCCAGGTATGGCGGTGCACTATAATTACAAGTGACGCCTGTAATCCCAGCTACTCGGAAGGCTGAGGCAGGAGAATCGCTTGAACCCGGGAGGGAGGCGGAGGTTGCAGTGAGCCAAGATTGTGCCACTGCACTCCAGCCTGGGCGACAGAACGAGAGCCGGCTCAAACCAAAAAAAAAAAAAAAAATAGGAGCTAGGAATGGGAGAAAAAATGAGAGGTCTGACGACTTAGTTTGACTTAGAGGCTTAACACTCTGCTTGCCCATTTAAACAAGATCTCAGTTAATAAACTGGTCTTCCCTACTTAGCATACAAGCCAATCTGTTTTTTCTAAAAGTCTTCACCTTTTTGACCTGGTGAACATCAAAGTAGATTGTTATTTCCATATCTTTTATACAACCAACACCTCCACCTCCTAAGTGAAAGTGCTAAAGCACAAACACTGAAGGCTAATACTAGCTTGAGAATCGTGTTGGCCTTCTTTAATGACAAAAGGGTTAATGTGTACACCAGTCCCAAAACACCAACAGAGAAAAGACAGTGCTTTGGACAAGGAAAAGTTCGCGAAGTCCAAGAAAACTAGGAACTCACAAACTCCTAGGGTGAATTCAGCAGGAAAAAGCGCTCCGATGACTTCTCTGAGACCTGGGACAGTCTGTTTTGATTTGCCTTTTTTCTTCTCCTATTTCGCGTGCAGTTAAGAAGTAATGATCATCGTCCCGTGGGACTAGGCGAAATTTAACATCCCTGAAGTTAAACCCGAGCAGTTGCTAATAAATGTATGAAGTTTATGTAAAGTTGATTCGTGCTGGTTTTTTATGCTCCAAACTTCTAGATTTCCCTCACTTACTCGGGGCAGCTTCCACTGACGTTATCGCACGGGCACAGGTACAACTTCACTGGGAACTCCAGGCAACTGATTTGCTCTGAAATGTTAATCAAAGGAAACGTGCGTCAATGTAAAGGCAAAGCTTTTCCCGTGTGGATCAAGGCGCTCAAGAGCAAGGCTCGAAAGTCTGGAGAGAACCAGCTACGCGCGTTAAGTGGCAAAAGGAAAACAGCGCAGCAACTACTTTTCCGAGAGTTTCTCCACTTTGCTAAGACCCATACAAAACCAGCGGCAAGTCCAGAGCCGGAGGGAGAAGAGCCGGGCCTCGGCTGAGCTTTGCCAGCCTAAGTCACCCTACCCCAGTCCGGGAAAGGGGACGCAGGCGGCTAAACACTCCGATTCAAAAGCGGGGCGGGCTTGGCGCCGCTCCGCAAGGAAACTTCGCTCGGGCAACCCAGGGACCATAACTCGGAGAACAGGGCTGGGCTCCCGGGAAGACGCCGCTCAGCACTGGCTGGAACTAGCCTGTCTACCTCCTCTAAGCGCCGGGCTGCCAACGCCGGGCGCGGGGAAGCCCCATCTCCGGGGGTCCAAGCCAGCGGGATTGCGCTTCCCCTGTGTCGCTGCGCTTAGGGGGTGCTCCGGGGGTGGGCCGGGGGCCAGCGGCCCGCCAAGGACCTGTTGGGGAAGGGACAGCCCGTTTGCCTTTACCTGTCGCCGAGGTCCGGAGCGGCGGAGCCCGTGTCCGCCGCCGGTGGGCAGCGCGCTCGGTCGGCTCTGGCGTCCAGGACACCAAGTTGAGTGAGCGCCCCACGTAGCCGGCAGAGCTTCATTCACACAGCCCAGCCGGGGAGGAGGGGGAGCGAAGCGGGCGCGCGGCTCATGTGACAGGGCGCCTCGCGAGTATCGGCTCAGCCCAGCCAGCGTCTGCGCGTGCGCGCCACGCCGAGCTCACACCCGGCACCTCTACCCAGCCGAGATGAGGGGAGGCCCGCCGGGGAGGAGCTGCCAGGAGGAGTTTCAACTTGCGCAGCCGCAGTACGTCGGCCCCGCTCGCTGCCATATTTAATGAGGACTGGGCGGGCGGGTCCTATCCCAGTGCTGGGCGTGTCAGTTGCCTTTGAAAACGCAATGCCCCATTGTGTTTCACTATTTCCAGCTTGCAGTGCCTTTTTTTGCTGGGGAGAAGGTTTGTCCTTAGAATGAAACTGTCTATCCTGAGCTTTCGGCCCACAGAGTAATTAGTAGTAGAAATCTAATACTAATAACATTAGATCACATAATTTGAGCTGCTTCTTATGTGCCAGGCACTCTCCTAACCCCTTTACTTTTTTCGTCTCATTTGGTGTTCACAATAACCCCGAGGGTTATTTCTCCATTTTTACTCATAAAAATACACAGGCACAGAAAGGTTAAGTAACTTGTCTAAACTCATATAATAGTAGGAATAGGAATAGTGATCAAACGTAGTGATACTTTTAACAGCCAACTTGATGTTTCCAGCAACGCTGCAAAAACTATACTGCAGTTGTTAGTACTGTATTATCTCCATATTAATCATTACAAAACAGAGGCTCAGAAAAGCTGAAGTCACAGGACTAGTACGTGGTAGAACTGGGAATCCAACCTAGGTCTAACTTACTCCAAAGCCCTTACCCTAGGTTTGAAAGAAACAGCACACCGTTTTGCAGAAGAGAAAACTTAGGCCAAATGGGGTGCACTGACTCACTTAAGATGATCCAGCTAATTAGTTCTTGGCAGACCTGAGACTGGAATCCATATAATCCAAGTAATCTAACTAGAACCAGGGTACTCTACTGCAGTGAACAATTTGGAATGCCTACTTTGGACAAGCTAAGTGGTCAGGGATTTAAAAACCCCTATCCTAGCCCAATCAGCATAAGGCTACCGGGGACAAATTTGTAATCCGACATAGTCAGGCTTTGACCCATTGCAATATGAGAGACTGCACACGGTAGGCATTTCATCAAACAGAAAAACATGGAGTCATTATAGGATTGGAGAGAAGAGTGGAGTTTAGGTGAATTTTAAACAAAGCAGTGTTTTTGGTAAGCTCAAAGCAAAGCAGTACTGTCATTTGGGGTCACCATCAGGTCTGAACTGCAAAGTGAACCCAGAGTTGTGTTTCCTTGGGAACCACAAAATAAAGATAGATGTGGAATGTTGTGTCCAGATACCCCTTATCTGAAGCTCTGCACCTGGGTTGGAAATTGAGGCTGCTTCTCTGTGTCAAAGAAACTTATGTCCTCCAGATGCATGTGGGATGTTTCATTCTTACTGATACGATTTCAAGCAGAAAAGTTTCTGATAATCTACGATTTTAGAGAACAAAGTCTCTCAGTGAATAAAAAAGTGGTGGTCACTGAAATAAAAACATCGTTACCACTTTACAGCTGCAATATGTCCGCCAAAGAAATATTGTTCTCTGTTAAATTTGCATCTGGTTTTATCTGTGTGTTATTCCGGCCTGATGAATGGCCGGATTTTTATTTTTTCAGTCCAAAATTTTTTTGCTTTCTGAGCTGGTAACATTCAGTCCCTTCCTTCAGGCACTCATGGTGTATGGGATAGCCACAAATAACTAGAAAATATCAGTACAGGCCTCTAATAAAGGTAAATCCAAGTGGAGGTAACACCGTTGGCAAAGGTGAGCAGGCAGGAAGTTATATGTGAGGACCCGTGAGTAGTCCTATGTGGTTGAAGTTTAGGGTAAGGAAGTACAGGGGAATTGTGGAAGATAATACCCAGAAGGTAAATTGGGGCCCAATTTTGGAGCATCCTGAATATTGGACTAAGATTTATACCTAATTCAAAAAGTGACTGAGAAAGAATTGAGGTTTCTGAGCAAGGCAATCCTCTTTTGGAATTCATCTTTTAAAAGGTGAATCTAGAGTAATTGTTCAAGGAAAGGTTTGATTGTTTGCTTGATTTTTTTTTTTGTCATTGAAGTAGAAGAAACTGGAGCTTATATGTAGGTCGAGCAGAAAAACTACTGGTGAAATCAATAATAAAGAGGCAAGAGGCCGGGTGCAGTGGCTCACGCCTGTAATCCCAGCACTTTGGGAGGCCAAGGCAGGTGGATCACTTGAGGTCAGGAGTTCGAGACCAGCCTGGCCAACATGATGAAACCCCATCTCTACTAAAAATACATGGCTAGGCATGGTGGCT
Source organism: Homo sapiens (assembly GCF_000001405.40). Lineage (NCBI taxonomy): Eukaryota > Metazoa > Chordata > Mammalia > Primates > Hominidae > Homo > Homo sapiens. Next base: position 49,920,314 of record NC_000023.11, on the reverse strand, counting down.
GGCGCCTGTAATCCCAGCTACTCAGGAGGCTGAGGCAGGAGAATAACTTGAACCCAGGAGGCAGAATTTGCAGTGAGCCGAGATCGCACCACGGCACTCCAGCCTGGGAAACAAGAGCGAAACTCTGTCTCACATACACACACAAAAGAGTCAAGAAAAGGAGGGGATAACTAATGGAGTAAAATAATTGAGAGGCGAGAAATGAGATTCAAAACACAAACTAACCTCGGACACCTCTTCCTCTGATACAGGAAAAAACGGTTTGAAGGATGGCAGTCTGGTTGGAAGGAGACATGTCACGAAACTGCCTCTGCAGAGCAAACATATTGGCTTTACTTAAAGTACATACAGGTTTATTTGGGAGAGCTGGGGAGCGAGTAGGAGGGGTTGGGAGGGAGCAAGGAATTGGGGGGAATTGGGAGTTATAAAAGGGCTGCAGTACACCCAGTTTACCACTTGGTGTCGCCACTGACCGATGACAGCTTGGAGGGCTCCAGTTGGGGGACGAAATCTCCCCCTCCCCCCAAAAAATGTGCATTTCAAAAAAAGAACATTTTATCTTTTGCGAATTGCAAAACAAAACAGAGTGAGCTCCAGAGCCAGACTGCCTGGGCTCAAAGCCAACCATACTCAGACGCTTACTAGCTGTGTCACCTTGTTCAAGTTATCTAACTTCACTGTTTCGGGTTTCTTACCTATAAAATGGGATAATAGGAGTAAATGTATTAACAGGTGTAGAACAGTTAGAACAGATTAAGCACTCAATAAATGCTAGCTTGTATTACTATTGATAATGATAATGATGATAATGAACAAGGCTCCTTCAGCCTTTGGATCCCCAAGTTTTTCGGAAGCTATTTGTGTGGTGAGTATAAATGTCTGTACAATACCTTCCCAAGCGAAGTGGTGAGAGTGTGGTGCTAATGTGGCAAAATTAACAGTTCAATCAAGAGGTACAGATTCTGACTGTTAACTTGTTTTCTTTCCCATGGCTCAGACCACTCTCTACAGAAATCCAGCCAGGTGTCCCATGTGTTTGTGCCCATGGAAGTGAGTGGGTTTGGCCAAGAGAGTGAAGATAGATCAACATAATGAGTCCTCTGCTCTCCTCCCCCTACCCTGGACAAAATTGAAAAGATGTTCCCACCCCACCTCCCATGATGGTCAACAAACTGTTAACAGGTCAAGAGCCATTTCAGGTCTTACAGAGCAAAGAGTAAATACATTGTGATCTTAAAGCTTATTAAAAAAAAACGGAATTTCTCTGTATAACAAAAGGTAGCACTTCAGACTTAATATTGCAAAAGAAAAAGCTTTAGAACAATAGACCACAGTGACATCTAAACTATCATGTCTAAATGCAGCTTTAACTTTCATTTTAAAATTGGCATTGCAAATAGAGACAGTTAGATGAGTACGTAGCCATGTAGAGTGGTAAGTGAATGTTTCTTGTATGGTTCTTATTTATTTGTTTCACATTTTTTGAGCCCTTACTATTATGCTAGCCATTGTGCTAGCCGCTAGAAATACTGATTTTAAAGTAAAATTTCCCGAGTGCCTAAGAAATGCCTGGGATAGTTCTAGAACAAAAAATGGGGCAGAATAAAAGAAAATGAACAAAGTTCTCTAGCTCAGGGGATCTATCAAAACAGTAGGTTAGGAAATGCTGATGATAAAGTGATCTGAAGTCATTTGTAATTGCCCTGTGCCTGGAGAGCAGGGTATCAAAATTAACAAATGGCTTCTATACCAAAAATGGATAGCCAACCTCATAACTGGAGAAATGCTAATGAAAGCTACCATGAGATACCACTGGCAAAGTTTTAAATATTTATAATAGATTGTGTTGGCCGGGCACAGTGGCTCATGCCTGTAATCCCAGCACTTTGGGAGGCCAAGGTGGGCAGATCACTTGAGCCCAGGATTTTGAAGCCAGCCTGGCCAACATGAAGAAACCCTATCTCTACTGAAAATACAAAAATTAGGTGGGTGTGGTGGTGCATGCCTATAATCCTAGCTACTCCGGTGGCTGAGGCAGGAGAATCACCTGAACCCAGGAGGCGGAGGTGGCAGTGAGCCAAGATCGCACCACTGCACTCCAGCCTGGGCGACAGAATGAGACTGCTTCAAATAATAATAATAATGATAGTAGTAATAATAATACACTGTGTTGACAAAGCAGGGGTGGGAGGGTAAGTCCTCTCATAAATTGTTGGTGGGAGTGCAATTAGTCAATTGAGGGCAATTTTGCAATAACTATAAAAATTAAGAATATATGAGACTTTGATCCCAAAATTTAATTTCCAGAAATATTTCCTTCAGTTATGTTTGCATGGGTGTAAAATGTTATATGAACGAGGTTATTCACTGTAGCATTGTTTGTAATAATAAAAACTGGGAAGCAACCAGATGTCCCTCAATAGGGGACTGATCAAATAAATAATGGTGCATCTCTCCAATGGAAAAAAAAAAAAGAAAAAGAATGAAAGGCCGGATGCAGTGGCTCACACCAATAGTCACAGCACTTTGGGAGGCCAAGGTGGGAGGATCGCTTGAGCCCAGGGGTTCAAGACCAGCCTGGGCAACGTAGTGAGAACTTGTCTCTAGAAATAATACAAACATTAGTCAGGTGTGGCATCACACCTGTGGTCCCAGTTACTCAGGAAGCTGAGATGGGAGGATCACTTGAATCTGGGAGTTCAAAGCTGCAGTGAGCCTTGATTGCACCACTGCACTCCTTCCTGAGCAACAAAGTGAGACCTCATCTCAAAAAAAAAAAATGAGAAAACTTTTTTATGTACTTATATGCAAAATTCTCTACAATACAGTATGTGGATGTAGAGCTATGCACCTTCTCAATTTTGTGCCATGGATGTGTATTACCCATTCAATTATATATCTTTAAAAGTAATATAGAAAAACAAGAATAGTGTTTGATTGAAGGATAATTTTTGACAAGTGACCTTCATGAGAAATTTTACTTTTTAAAAATTCCACGTCAGGCCAGGTGTGATGGCTCATGCCTATAATCCCAGCATTTAGGGAGGCCGAGACAGGTGGATCATTTGAAGTCAGGAGTTCGAGACCAGCCAGGCCAACATGGTGAAACCCCCGTCTCTACTAAAAATACAAAAAAATTAGCCAGGCATGGTGGTGCACGCCTGTAGTCCCAGCTACTTGGGAGGCTGAGGCAGAAGAACTGCTTGAACCCGGGAGTCGGAGGTTGCAGTGAGCCGAGATCACACCACTGCACTCCAGCCTGGGCAGTAGAGTGAGACTCTGTCTCAAAAAAAAAAAAATCCCATGTCAGGCTGCCCTCCATGTGAGAGAAGTCCAAGTCTAGCTAGAGTTGCTACTATTCTATGGCAGCAGATATGAGGGTTTGTTTAGGGAATGTTTTTGAGGATTTGAAGATCTTTCACTTGTAAGTTCCTCAGCTCTGTATAGACTTCTGTTCCATAGAGGAGTTAAAGCACAGTGGAATAGTGGTAGTGGCGTCTCTGAACCACTCTGCTACCTGTTCACCAACTAGCCTGCAAGCTCCTTGATGGCAGGCCCATGTCCTATATTTTACTTTATATTCCTTACAGCAGTGCTTTTCAAACTATTCATAGGAAAAACTCATTTTCCCTAAAATATATCGTGTATCAATACTTTTATAAAATACAATACCAATAAATTACTAGAAAAATGAAATAAAAACAAAAACACAAAATACAAGTGCAACTCTTTCATGATTATATTCAACAGACATAAAATTACTCTGACAAATTGTTAAGGTTTTGGAACACTTTCTTTCCATTTTATCCCATTCGATTCAAACCAACAACAAACAGTTTGTGGACCAGCAGTGGGCCATGGACCACACTTTGAATAATACCACCTGACAGGACTACCGCAGCACCCAGCTCATTGTAGGAATTCGATAAATCTTGGGTTTAATACAGCATTCCTATAGAATGTTTTCTACTTTGTGTTTTCACATCTATTTCCCTCTGCTATCCTCACACCACTTCCAGAGTTAAGTGGAGCAGATTTTGTCATTCCCATTTGGCAGAAGAGGAAGTTGAGTCACGCGGATTAAACGATTTCCCTGATCTGAAACAGCTACTTTATGTCAGAACCCCAAATTCGCCTCCGACTCTTACTGCATCTTGTGGCAGTGGCACTAAGAAAGCCTCCCAGTCAAAGAGTCCCACCAATTAGAGTAAAACCTGCCTTAGGTTTTCCAAATAATAGCAAGTTGCCTGCCTGGTGCAATAGAAAGAGTAGAGACTCAAATCTGGGCTTGAGCCAGTTTTACCTGTAATCCTGTCTCCTTATCTTTAAAGGAGATAATAGCAAATTCTCCCAAAGCTGCACTAAGAACTATATGGTGAATTAAATAGCCAGGCACGTAGTTCAGAAAGAATGATTGATATTAATTTTAGGCTCAGTTTAGAAGCCCTGCCTTGAAGAGTTTGCTCCTTAATCCTCATCACATGGAATGTGCGCCATCTACTGGTAGAGCAGGGAACATGGCTCTAGGAAGAGGCTTTGCTCTCCGTAGGAATCATGCCCTTTATTTCTTTTTTTGCATTGGCTGCTAGAAAGCTTGGAGCCAAATATTTGGTATTCCCCACCCCCGGCAAGTGAACAGGATTTTACAGATTGCATTTTATATTAAACTCACCTCTAGTTTCATTTTATTTTTCCTATCTGAAACCCTCCCGTGGCTCCCAAGCCATGGCTCAAGCAAGAGCAAAAGTCAAAGTCCTTACCTTAAGACTTCCATGTACACAGCTATGCATGATCGGGCCCCCTGTTAGTTCTCTGACCTCATCACCAACTACTCTCTTCCTTGCTCATACTGTTCCATTTTATTTTTTTCTTGACCAGATTATCTCATTTTTAAATCCATTTTGTAGTCACTTTGAATACCCTTTAGATTATGTAGAATAGTGATTTACTAAACTGGATAAAGTTTGACAAGAATATATTCTATTTTTTGTTATTGTTGATCTGTTATCCTGGCAACCTCTGTAATCTAACAATAGATACAAGAGTAGATAAGTTAACTCTAAAATATAATGCAGATAAAATAATTAAAATTTAAAATAAATCTTTATGACTCCAAGCCTATGTAGATTTAAGTGGCCACTGCCAATAGTACTGGGACACCATAACCTGAGTTAAGTGATATATGCATTTATTTATGTGCTGAACACTTACTGTGTGCCATTCACTGTTCCAGGTACAGAAAACTCTGTATCTTGGCCTGGGTTTCTTGGGGTTTATTCTGCTAGGGGTTTGGTCAGTTATTGAATCTGTAAGTTGTCTTTTCTCAAATTTTGGAAAATTTTTGTCATGATTTCTTCAAATACATTTTCAGCACCACACTTTTTTCTTCTCTCCTGCTGGGTCTCCTGTAACATGAATGCTATATCTGTTGTTATAGTTCCACAGGCTCTGTTCATCTTTTTTTTTTTTTTCCCAGTCTATTTCTGTCTGTTGTTCAAACTAGGTTATTTCTACTGTCTTATCATCTAGTTCTATCATTGTTTCCTCCATATTCTCCATTCTGCTGTTGAGCCCATCCAATGAGTTTTCAAAGTTTAGTTATTGTATTTTTTGGTTATAAACTTTCCGATTGGTTCTCCTTTATATCACTTCTTTGCTGAAATTTTCTATTTTTTCACTCATTTTTCTATTTATTTCACTCATCATTCTATTTTTTCACTCAAGTCTGGTCATAATTGCTCTTTGAAGCGTTCTTATGTTGGATGCTTTAAAATCCTTGTAATATAATCCCAACATCTGTGTCACATAGGTTTTGATGGCTGTTGATTTTTTTAAATTTGAGATTCTTCTGGTTCTTGTTATGACAAGTGATTTTTGTTTGTATCCTGGACATATTAGGTGTTATGCAATGAGACTCTGGATCTTATTTAAATCTTCTGTTTTAACTGGCCTTCTCAGATACCCTGCCAGGAAGGGGACCATCATGTTATTTCCAGTTGGAGATGGAAGACCATGTATTTACCATGGGACAGGAGAGGCACCTCATTCCTATTGGGAAAGGGTGAAAATCCAAACTCTCCATTAGGCCTCCACTGATAGCACTCAAGCACTGTGCCATTCCTCAGGTTCCAAGGTCCCTGGTTGGTCTGCCTTCTCTTCATCATTCAGAATCATCGTGTTTGTTTTACATATAATCTCCAGGGTTTTTCTTAGCAGGAGGAATAGGGATGAGTGCATTCATTCCATCTTGTACACAATCAGAAGTTCCCTCTTTTCCATTTTCTTTTAAATGCACTCTTATCAAGCTTTCATCTTCCATGACTCTACCAAAATGGATCTCGTCAAAGACACCAGTGACTTCCACATTGCCAAATGTAATATTGTTCTCATTTTATTTAACCCATCAGTAGAATTTAACTCAGCTGATCTCTCTCTTCTTCTTGAAACATTTTTCTTCACTTGTTTCCAGGACACTGTTCTGGATTTTCTCCTATCTCATGGCTACTTTCTTAGTTTTCTTATGAGTTCCTCCGTGGATTCCTGATCTCCTAAGGTGGGAGTGCTCGAGGAATCAGTCTTGTCTTCATCTCTCCTCTCTCCCTTGGTCATTTCATCTGATCTGATGGCTTTAAACACCATCTACTATCAACTCTCAAATTTATATCTCTGGCCAAACCTCTTCTCTAAATTACAACTTGTACATCTAGTTGCCTATTTAATATCTCTACACTTGTATACCTAGTACATATTTCAAATTTTAATATGTTAAAAATGACACTTCTTATCTCTACCCTCCCCAGACTCGCTTGTCCTTCATTATTCCCAGTTTCTAAGGCCACAAGAGAGGTCATTCTTGACTTTTCTAACACCTTTTTCCAATCCATCAGCAAATCCCGATGTGCTACTTTGAAAATAAATGCACAATATGACTCCTTCTGATCACTGTCATTATTATCACCTTGGTCCAAGCTACCATGCTCTCATCTGCCTGCATTGCTGAAATCACCTCCTAACTGCTGTTTCTCCTTCTATCTTTGCCTTCCTGCTTAACATAGTAACCTGGGCAATCCTTTTACAAGAGAAGTCAGATTCTACCATCCTTTTTATGAAACCCTCCCATGGCTCTCAAGCCATGGCTCAAGCAGGAGCAAAAGTCAAAGTCCTTCCACTGGCTGTACATGATCGGGCCCCTGTTAGTTCCCTGACCTCATCATCAACTGCTAGCTTCCTCGCTCATACTGTTTCCACCACACCAGCTGTTTCCAGTCACGCCAGCATGCTTCCATCCAAGAGCTCTCCCACTTGCTTTCCCTTGACCTGGAATCCTCTTTCTCCAGGTACCTCCAGGAACTTTCACTTCCTGCAAGTGCTTTCTCATAGGTCACATTTTCAAGTGTCACTTTCCCTCAAGGCCTTCTCTGAGTACACTATTTTAATTTATAACTCTCCAGATCTCCTTATGTACATCTTCACAGCTTATTTTTTTTCATAGCATGTACCTCCTACATATACCATGTAATATTCTTATTTATCTTATTACTCATCTGTCTGTACTTCCACCCTTCCCTAGTGTAAGCTTGGTGAAGGCCTGAACTTTTGTCTTTTTGTTTACTGATGAATTTACTTTTCTTTTTTCTTTCTTCTTTTTTTTTTTTTTTTTTTTTTTTTTTTGATGATGGAGTCTCACTCTGTTGCCCAGGCTGGAGTACAGTGCTGCAATCTTGGCTCACTGCAACCTCCACCTCCCAGGTTCAGGCAATTCTCCTACCTCAGCCTCCAGAGCAGCTGGGATTACAGGCATGCACCACCACACCTGGCTAATTTTTGTATTTTTATTAGAGATGGGGTTTCACCTTTTGGCCAGGCTGGTACTGAACTGTTATGGAAAGTAGTGTTGCAGTTTCCTAATAAACTAAACATACATTTACTATATGGTCAGGAACAAGTTCCAGATCCTGTATGGGAAGAAATTGAGGGGGCCCATGACTGTCCTGTGCCCTGCAATGGCCACCTGGTGTCAGTCATCAGCCAGAAGAGCTTCCTGTGGATCCTGAGGGCCAGTGAGCCGACAGGCATGGCCTTGGTGGACACCAGCTATACATCCACCAGATGAGTAGCGTGAAGAACTTCATCTGGCTGCAGATGTCACTACCAAGAGGAGAGCAAGATACTGAGCCACATGTCCCAGGACGCCAAGTTCCTCAAGGTGTACACCATGGACTTCATGGCAGGCAGTGCCTAGCCAGTATCCTGGGGTCCAGCAGAGACCGCAACCTTATGGTGTACATGTACCCATCAGAAACTGCTAAGCTGGGCAGACTTCCATGTAGCCACCTGCGTGTACACATTCTGGAGGACCCTATGCCAGGTAGTCCCCCAGAGGCCCAGCAAACAGTCGGTGCGGGGGTGGGGAGAACACACTGGTTGGTGGTATTGGGCGTCTGCTGCTGGTGAAGAAAACCTCCCAGGGGCTGCTGATGCTACAGAATGCTCCAACCACCATGCTGCCCCACCTTGCCGGCCTCAACCTCCTGTGCCTTTCCGGTGCTGCACATGGACCATTGCATCCTAGAGAATACCAAGTAGAGTGTCCTCAACCAAGAACTGCTCAACCTTTGCCTTTGCCTCAGCACCATGGGGTGTGTGTGATTAGCTGATGGAAAAAATCCACGGCACGCCTGACATTGTCCTGAATGACTGTAGGAGGCATACAGTGTCACTGCCTCTTCTAGCCCATGGATGCCGCTGCTGCCCCTGTACATTGCTTCCCAACCCCTTATTGTACAAAACACAAGGAAAGTGGGAGAAAGAAAACAAATGATAGACACATACATTAACAAATGGATGTCAAGGATATTACAGTGAGTGCAAAAAGGCAATCTCAAAAGGTCACATATTATAGGATTCCATTTATATCATATTTTCTATTTGAGAAAATTACAGAGATGGAGAGCAGATTAGTGGTTGCCAGGGAATAGGGAAGGTGGGTGAGAGGGGAGTATGTGTGGCTATAAAGGGGTAGCAGGAAGGAGTTCTTTGTGGTAATGGATCAGTTCTGTATCTTGATTGCTATGGTTGTTACACAAACCTACATATATGATAAAATGGCATAGAATTATTCACACACATTGTACCAATATCAATTTCCTGGATTTGAAATACTGTAGTTTGTAGGATGTGACTATTGGGGAAATCTGGGTAAAGTTTACAAAGGGCCTCTCTGTACTATTTTTGCAACTTCATGTGGTTTATAATTATTTCAAAATAAAACGTTCAAAAAATGGGCAAAGAGAAATGGCAGAGATTGAATATAGAAAATTCTAGCGAGTAATTTTGCTGTAAAGGGGAGCGGAGATAGGGGCTAAATAGTGAGCAAGGGATGGTAGCTCAAAAGATGTTTTAAATTTTTGAGTGGGAGCAAAAATAGCATGGTTAAATCTGATGAGAAATAACCTGTTGGCGGCCAGGGTTGGAGGGGTGGGGGTGGGATTTATACTACAAGGGCAAGAGAGGAGGGGACTGCCAGAAGGGGATAGGATCTAGTGAACAAGTAGTGGGGTTGACCTAGCTAGGAGCAGAGACGGTTCATCCATCATAATGGGAGAAAGGGTAGAGTACACACACAGATTTAGGTAGGTGAAAAGATATGGTGGTAGAAATTTGTGGGCTTTGTTTTCTGATTGCCTCTGTTTTCTCAGTGAAACCGGAAGCAAGGTCGTGGGCTGAGAATGAGGATGTGTGCTGAGGCATTAGAGGCTTGAAGGGAGAGGAGAAGGTATAAAATAGTTGTCTAGGAAACCAGCAGAGTAAATGGACTAGGATAATATTATGTGATTTCCTGGCAACATTAAGTGCCCACTTGAGGTTTGTGGGCTTGAATTTAAAGTGAGAGTATCATTTTGTGTTTTTCCCCAGCCATATTCAGCTCTGGGGTTGGAGGAGAGGAGAAGGAGTTATTAATAAGGACAAGAGAGAGGCAAGGAGCTGCGACTAGGTGGAGGATGAAACTGGAAGCGGGGAGTTTCAAGGAATTGAGAGGATGAGATGTTGGAAGGATCAGGTATTGAGATATTAGGATCATAAAGAATTAAGACAAGATTAATTGGAGAGAGTGACAGTGAGACAGAAGCCAAAACTTTTGAGAAACTGGAGGGGCACTGATGTTCTATAAATAACAGCAAGGTAGGATGGTGGGTAATATACTCCGTGACAGGGAATTCAAAGATTGGGGATTTTTAGGGAGGAGAAAGGGAGAATGATCTGGAAGCAGCAATGAGGGGCCTCAGGATATGGGATAAAAAAAAACACTGCTTGAAAGGGCTGTAAAGTCCTTGGGGGGATCCAGATTTCAGTTAACTCAAGAAGGTGAGGGGAGCATTCAGCAAACAGGGAATGGATACAGGGGATTTCGCTGATGACTTTGGGTTCTAGATGAGGGGACTGTATAATTTATCATCCAGTCTTGGACACTCTAGAGAATGACAGAGGCAGGACAGTGGTACATCATGTGTAAACTGAAATTGTCCTGGGCAAACCAGGACTGTGGTTTTAGAGGACACAATAGAAGGATTTCAGGATCTGGAGAGGGCTAAGAGGTAAGAATAGGGAAATATACAAAGTTGTATGAGGATTAGAACATGAGATACACAGGTAGTGGCCAAGGAGTTCCAGGGTTCTTGTCATGACTGACATAAACAAAGTTGAAAGGTATAAAGGACTTAGTTCTGTGATCTTAAGGCAGATAGTCATGGCACCTCTGTGATTGTTGATGGGGAGGAAATGGGTGGGTGATCAAGGCTTGCTCTTCACTTCTGTTAATGGAAATGCAGAGTCCTGGAGAGGGGAGCTCTATTCCTAGCCAATAAAGACAGCAATGTGATCCTAAGCCCTGCTGAAGAAGATCTAGATATTTCTGAAATTCTTCATGCTTCCAATATGAATTGTTTTAAAAACTGGGACTGGACTGACTACAGGTGAGGAAATTAACTGACCTAGTTGTGAGAAGCTAAGGATGGCAGAAACAAGAGACTTAGTGGTGTTTCCCACATAAACTATAGGAAAACACACTGACATTGGCAAATGTAGAAAATACCAAGCTTAAGAGGAGAAAGAACAGGATCCATCACTTGGATCCAAAAAAACTAAGTGATCAAGAACAAAATGGTTCACATGCTGTTTAACTAACTACTCAGGGTGCTCAGTCCTTATTTGTCTTTTCTTTTCTATGTTCGTTCCTAAGATTACTTTATCCAGTCTCCTGGTTTTAATTACCATCAAGAAGCTGATGGCTTCTAAATTTACCTGTTTAGACCTAATTTCTCCCCTAAATTCTAGATCATATATCTAACTGCTTTCTTGACATCTCAACTTGGATGTCTAACAGATGCCTCAAACTTAACATGTTGAAAACTGAATCCTTAACTTTTCCTTAAAAACTTGTTCCACCCCTAGCATGCTCCATCTCAGTTGATGGAAAACTATCCTTGCAATCACTCAAGCCAGAATACCTTGAAACTACAGTCAGCCCTTATCCGCAAATTAACCAACCTCAGATTGAAAATATTCAAGGGGGTAAAAAACAATTAAAATACAAATAAAATAAAAAACACAGTACAACAACTATTACATGGCATTTACATAGTATTAGATATTATAGTCTAGAGATGATTTAAAGTATACGGGAGGACGTGTGTATGTTATATACAAATACTACGCCATTAAGACTGGAGCTTCCACAGATTTTGATGAGGGGAGAGCTGGAACGAATCCCCCATAGCAGATATAGAGGGACGACTGTATCAGCAAATCCCTTTGCTTTCTCCTCGGAACATATTCAGAACTGAACCACTTCTCACCTTCTCTACCACTGCCACACTGTTCCCAGACACCATGATCTCTCACTTTGTTGCTGCAATATTGTCCTAACTGGCCTCCCTGAGTCTACGTAGCCTTACCACCCTATATTCTATTCACAACACAAAAGTCAAAATGATCCTTTTGTAACACAAATCAAATTGTGTTACTCCTCTGTTCAAAACCCTCCAGTGGCATTCCCATCTTACTCAAATGAAAATCTATACTTCTTATGTCCTTATGATAGCTTACAAGGAAGGCCCTATAATCTGTTCCATGCATAACTCTGTAACCTCATCTTCCACCATTCTCCACCTCACTCACTCCTCTAGCCACAGTGACTTCATGTTGCTGTTTTTAGACCTGCCATGCTCTCTCCACCTCAGGGCCTTTGCCCTTGCTGCTTTCTCTGCCTGAAAAGCTATCCCCCCCTTACCCCCACCTTTGCAAGCTCCCCCACTTCACTTGGGTCTCTATTATATGTCTTCTCCTTTCCTTCTACCACTTACTCTAAAATACCACCCCTCTTTGTCCTCCATTTTTAAACTTGATTTATTTTTCTACAATGCTGTATATTTTTCTCATTTTATTTCTTATCCCCTTCTCTCACTAGAATATAAGTTTCATGAGGGTGGGAACTTTGTCTCATTTATCACTACATCTCCTAACAACAGTACTTGGCACATGGTGCGAACTCAAAATTTTGATTGAATGGAGATTAAAGTATAAATAATTAAATAGATCAAATACATTTTAGATGAGATCATTTTAATATATTAAGTAAAATATTACTTTTAGACTTATTCCTAGATACCTTATAGAGTTTTATTCTACTGCAAATGAGATCCTTCTTTAACAATTACATTTTATGTGCTAATTGCTACTATGTAGGAATTCTAATGATACTATATGAAATTCTTGTATCTAGCAACCTTGTTGAATTCTCTTATTCTAATAGTTTGTTTATAGATTCTCACAGATTTTATACATAAACATATCATCTGTGAATTATATTTTTATATTCTTTTTCTTTTTGTTTTCTTTTTGTCATTTTAGTGCATTCGTTAGAACTTTCAGTATCATGTTGGAAAATAATGGCACTGTTTGCCGTGGGTTTGGAGTAGCTATCCTTTTTCACTTTTGTGTCTGTTTTGTTGTTTGTTTTTAAATTATGAATGAATGTTGAATTGTAGTTGCTTTTCTACAGCTAACATAATCATATGGTTTCTCTCCTTTTTATCTATTAATGTGGTGAATTACATTAGCAGATTCTCTAATTAAGCCACTCTTGAAATAAACCTTACTTGCTTATATATTTTAAAAAACATTCATTAGGGAATAAATCTGCTTGTATTTTAGCTAGGATTTTTCACTTATGCTTACACTCAAGATTGGCCCATAAACTTTTCATGTGCTGTCTCAGTCAGGTTTGGGCATCAAGATCATTTTAGCCTCAAAAATATGTAACATTTTTCTATTCACCAAGAAAGTTGAGGTTAGATATTTTTTGAAGATTCGCTAAAAATAAATAAATAAATAAATAAATAACAAAACAAACAAACAAAAAACTATGATGAAGTCGTTTCGGCCTTCTTCGAGGGGATTTTTATTTTCTAACAATCTGACTTATTTAATGGTTACTAGTCTATTCAAATTTGAAAGTTCTTTATATAGTTTTGATACAAATCCTTTATATTGAGTATAGATTTTTAAATATTTTATACTAGCCAGTGGCTTGTATTTTCATTCTCTTAACTGTGTCTTTCTAAAAACGGAAGATTTAATCTAATTTATTAGTTTATTCTTTTATGGACTCTGCTTTTGGTGTTACATATAAGAAATATGTGCCTAACTCAAAGTTAAAAAAAATCTTCTACTATGTTTTCTTCCAGCGGTTTTATAGCTTTTGTTTTTTTCATTTAAGCCTATGACCATTTTGAGTTTTTTTTTTATTTTTTAAATTTTGTTATTTATTTATTTATTTATTTATTTTTTGAGACAGAATTTCACTCTTGTTGCCCAGGCTGGAGTGCAATGGCACAATCTCGGCTCACCGCAAACTCCGCCCCCCAGGTTCAAGCGATTCTCCTGCCTCAGCCTGCCCAGTAGCTAGGACTACAGGCATGCACCACCATGCTCAGCTAATTTTGTATTTTTACTAGAGACAGGGTTTCTCCATGTTGGTCAGGCTGGTCTCGAACTCCTGACCTCAGGTGATCCGCCTGCCTCAGCCTCCCAAAGTGCTGGTATTACAGGCATGAGCCACCATGCCTGGCCTGAGTTAATTTTTTAATATGGAAAAAGACATGCATCAAAATTTACTTTTTTCCATATGAATATTTAATCAGTTGAGCACCATTTGTTGAAAATATTATCACTTATCTAATAAATTGCCTTTCCATTCTTGTAAAAAATCAATTCTGTGGGCCTATATTTGAACTCTCTATTCTATTCCATTGATCTATTTACCTATATTCATGCCAGGACCACACTGTATTGATCACTGTAGCTTTATAACAAGTCTTGAAGTCAATTATAAGTATTCCAGTGTTATTCTCCTTTTTCAAAATTATATTTGACTATTCTAAGTTCCTGGAATTGGTGTATGGATTCTAAAATCAGCTTGTCAATTTCTACAAACAAATTTGATGGGATTTTGGTTAGAATTGCATTGAATCTATAGACCTATCTGGAGACAATTGACATGCTAACAATATTCAGTCTTCAGCTCCATGATCATGGTACACCTCTCAATTTATTTAGGTCTTCTGTAATTTCTTTCAGCAATGTTTTGTAGTTTTCAGTGCATAGATATTACACACATTTTGTTAGATTTTTATCTCTAGGTTTTTATATATTTTAAGCTATAGTAAATGGCATAGATTTTTTAATGGAATCTGATAATTCGTAACTAGTATATAAAAATGCAATTGATCTTTGTGCATTGATCTTGTTTACTACAATATTGCTAAACTCCTTTAAGAGTCCTAGCAGCTTCTTTTGTGAATTCCTTAGGATTCTTTACATACACTGTCATGTCATGTGACTATAAAGAGAGTTTTACTTCTTCCTTTCCACTCTGTATACCTTTTATTTCTTTGTCTTGCTTTATTGCACTAGCTAGAGCCTCTAGTAGAATAATGAATATAAGTGGAGAGCCCATATTCTTCCTTTGTTCCTGATCTTGGGAGCAGAGCAAAAATATGCTTTCACCATAAATATGATACTACGTGTAGATTTTTTCTGGATGTTCTATAATGGGTTGAAGAAGTTCTCATTTTTGTTTCCTAGTTTGCTGAGATGTTTTTTATTATGAAGGATGTTGGATGTCGTGAAATGCTTTTCCTGAATCTGTTGAAATGCCATATGGCTTGTTTTTTTTTTAATCTTTTAATATGGTGAATTATGTTGATTGGTTTTTTAATGTCACACCCTCCTGGTATGCTTGGATTAAATCATTTGTTCATAATGTATTTGATGATTTACTCAAATTTTGTTAAGAATTTTTGCATCTATGTTCATGAAGGATAGTGATCCATAGTTTTTGTTTTTAAATTTTTTGTCTCATTTGGGTATTAGAGTAATGCTGGCCACATACCATTAGTTAGGAAGTGCTCACTTCATTCCATCCTCTTTTATGTTCTGGAAGCATTTATGTAGAATTTGTGGGGTTTTTTTCATAAATGTTTGGTAGAATTTATTAGTGAAGCCATCTGTGACATGAGTTTGAGAAGGTTTGTAAATAAAAATTCAATTTCTTTTTTAGTATTGGGGCTGTTCAGATTATCTGTTTCCTCAGAGTGAGCTTTTGTAGTTTAGATCTTTCAGATTATTTGTTCATTTTATCCATGTTGCTGGATTTATTGACAGCATGTTATTCATAATATGCCTTCATTTTCCTTTTAGCATCTCTAGGATCTATAGTGATGTTCCCCTATTTCATTACTGAATACCAGTAAATTGCACTTTACTCTTTTTTTCTGATTAGTCTAAATAGATATATATGAATTGTATTGATTTTTTCAAAGAATCTACTTTTGGTTTCAATGATTTTTTTTCCTTGTTGTTTTTCTATTTCATATTATAGTGATTTCTGCCCTACTGTTTGTTTCTATCCTTCCGTTTAATGTATGTTTGACTTGCTTCTTTTTTTCTGGTTTCCTAAGATGGAAGCTTAGGTCATTTATTTGAGACCTTTCTTCTTTTCTGATGTAAGTGTTTAATGCTATAAGATTTCCTCTAAGGGATGTGAAGAAATAGGAATGCTTTTACACTGTTGGTGGGAGTGTAAATTAGTTCAACCATTGTGTAAGATAGTGTGGCGATTCCTCAAGGATCTAGAACTAGAAATACCATTTGACCCAGCCATCCCATAACTGGGTATATTCCCAAAGGATTATAAATCATGCTGCTATAAAGACACATGCACACGTATGTTTATTGTGGCACTATTCACAATAGCAAAGACTTGGAACCAACCCAAATGTCCATCAGTGATAGACTGGATAAAGAAAATGTGGCACATATACACCATGGAATACTATGCAGCCATAAAAAAGGATGAGTTCATGTCCTTTGCAGGGACATGGATGAAGCTGGAAACCATCATTGTCAGCAAACTATCACAAGGACAGAAAACCGAACACCACATGTTCTCACTCTTAGGTGGGAATTGAACAATGAGAACACTTGGACACAGGGCAGGGAACATCACACACTGGGGCTTGTCGTGGGGTGGGGGGTTGGGGGAGGAATAGCATTAGGAGATATACCTAATGTAAATGACCAGTTGATTGGTGTAGCAAACCAAAATGGCACATGTATACCTGTGTAACAAATCTGCACGTTGTGCACATGTACCCTAGAACTTAAAGTATAATAATAATTTAAAAAATAAAGTACTATTGACCATAACAAAATTTCCTCTAAGCACTGCTTTAGTTGTCACCCTCAATTTTTGATATGTCATAGTTTCATTTTCATTCAGCCCAAAATGCTTTCTAATCTCCTTTATGATTTCTTTATTTTAAAATCAAGAGGATTTTTTTAATTAAGATACAACAGGAAATATAAAGGAAAAATATGAAATAATCTTATTTTCACTGAAGATAATTAGTATCTGAAATATAAGTTCATAGATATCAAGATTCATATATTTTCATATTTGTACTCTTGGTATCTAGCATAGATTATGGCATGTGGCAAATATTTATGTTTAATGAATTAAAACTTTAAAATAGAAATGAGTTTATGCTTTACATATTAAACTCCACTCCTAAATTTTGCATGAATTTAAATGACTAATGACTTTCCCCCTCATTTTTATTATTTAATAAACATGCTGACCAGGCACGATGGCTCACGCCTGTAATCCCAGCACTTTGGGAGGCCGAGGCAGGTGGATCACAAGGTCAGGAGTTCGAGACCAGCCTGGCCAACATAGTGAAACCCCGTCTCTACTAAAAATACAAAAAATTAGCTGGGCGTGGTGGCAGGCGCCTGTAATCCCAGCTACTCGGGAGGCTGAGGCAGGAGAATCACTTAAGGTTGCAGTGAGCCGAGATCACGCCATTGCTCTCCAGCCTGGGGGACAGTGCAAGACTCATCTCAAAAAAAAAAAAAAAAAAACAAAAAAGCTAAATTAATGTGAGTTCTAAAAGAAATCAAGATTTTTTAAATAAGAAAAAATATATATTTATCTAAGTAATTACCTTTTTCTGTCCCTTTATTTCTTTATGTAGATTCACTGCTTTAAGTAGGTATTTATCTATTTTTTTTGTGTAGACCTGGTATTTTCCTTCTACCTGAAAGACTTCCTTTAGCATTTCTTGTGCTGGTCCACTGGTGATGATTGTTTCAGCCTCTGTGTGCCTGCAAAGGTCTCCATTTTTCCTTCTTTTTGAAAGTATTTTGGCTAGGTAGATAATTCTAGGCGGACAGTACTTTCTTTCATTCTTTTAAATATACCACTTCATTGTTTTCTAGCTTACATGGTTTCTGATGAAAAATATACTATCATTTTTGTCTTTGTTCCTCTGTACATAATGTGTATTTTTTTCTGATGCCTTTTAGGATTTTTTCATTATTACTATTTCTTGAGCAACTTGATTTTGACATCTTTATATTTCTTGTGCTCAGAGTCTGTTGAGTTTCTTATATTTGTGGGTTTATATATTTATCATATTTGGGGAAATTTTGGCCATCACTTATCCTAGTAATTTTTCTTTGCCTGCCTCTTTCTCCTCTCCTGGGAATTACACACATATAAGGCTGTTTGCAGTCATCTTACAGCTCACTAATGTCCTGTTCATTTATTTTCAGACTTTTTCCTGTTAATGTTCTTTTTTGGATGATTTTTATTGCCATGTCCTCATGCTCACTAATCTTTTTTTATTGCAGTGTCTAATCTGCTGTTAATCCCATCCAGTGTATTTTATATCATAGACATTATATTTTCATCTTTACAAATTCAATGTGGATCTTTTTTATATCTTCCATTTCTCTTCTTAACATGCTTATGCTTTCCTCTACATATCTGAAATATATTTACAAGTTGTTTTAATGTCCTTGTCTATGAATTATATCATCTGTGCAATTTCGGGGTCTGCTGCTATTGATTTTTTTTTCCTTATTATGGGTCATTTTCCTGTGTCTTTGCATACCTGATCATTTTTTGTTGGATAGTAGATATTGTGAATTTTATATTGTTTGGTACTAAATTTTTTATATTTCTTTTAATAATTATTAGCTTTTTCTGAGAAGCAGTTAAGTTACTTGGAAAGAATTTGATCCTTTTGAAGCTTGCTTTTGATCTTTGTAAGATGAAATCTGGAAGAGTAAACAAAAATAAAATTGAACTTTTCTTGTTGCCAAAAGAGAAAGAGACCTTTTCTCTCTCCCTTTTCGGTAATATTTCCTTGAGAAACTTCTCATTTGTGAATCCTTCTTCTGTCCCTTTGATATGTATGTAAATCTCTTTAAAGACTAAATAAGCCTCTTGCCAGCCTTATAACTCAGGAATGTTTTTCTTAAGGGACTGGAAGCCATCTCTTTGAAATGTAAACATCAAGGAAGATAGCAGCCCTATATCTCCCTGTCATCCTGGGAGTTTAGCCTAGGTGCCTTGCTCTAAGCTGTAAGCACCTGCTTGTCATAGAGATATGAGAAGTTTCATATTTCCTTCAGATAAAGGCAATTAACTACCACAGATGGCTACTCCAATTACCAGGTGAACTTAGGATGAACTATAAAAGAATGTATAGCAAACAGTGCTGTCAAGTTCTCTTACATAAGAACAATTTATCATTTATCTTAAGAACATGTTTATAATGGATACATTGCATACATAAGAATGGGGTTATTTTTGTTTTTGCAATCTCATTAGCAGATTGCCTGTGATGCAAAAGAGTCTGGTTTAATGCTCATTCAATATAACAAAACTGTTTTCTTTCTTTTCTACCATTCATGGAGAGAATTTCATGGGTTGGCAGGAAATTTTACTTTTAATTTTTCCGTAACAGATTAAAGCAGCAGTTTAAGGCTAATATTGCCCTCCACTGAAGCAGTACTTCTTTGAGTACTCAACCCAAAGCCCCAGCCCTATTTGAGCTCCAAAACGTGTCCTCCATGCTCGTCTTTTGTGATCCGTTCCCTGGCCTTGGGTAATTTTCCCACATGCATGTGCTGACTGGCAATCAGCTAAAGATTCAAGGGGACTCTGTGCATATTTCCAGAGTGCTCTCCTTCACCCCCTTTCTTTCTCTTCACCACCCACATCCTATCCTGTGAATCTCATCACTTTGTCCACTTTCTTGAATTTGCTTTTTTTCTTGCTTTTCCCCCAGCTTTATTGAAATATGACTGACAAATAAAAATTGTATATATTTAGCATGTACAACATGATGTTTTGGTTTTTGTTGCTGTTGTTGTTATTCTTTTTTTAAATTTGTGTTTTAATTTTTCCCTGCCCCCTCCCATGCACCTCCTCGCTGCGGGCAGGGAGGGAGTGGGAGAGTGGTCACACCATGGGAACAACATGATGTTTTGATATGTGTGTATGTTATAAAATGATCGCTGTAATAAAGCCGGTTAACATATTCATCACCTCACCGTGTGTGTGTGTGTGTGTGTGTGTGTTTAGAACACTTAAGATCCACTCTCTTAGTAAATTTCAAGTAAACATTACTAACTATTGTCACTATGCTGTACGTGAAGTCTCCAGTACTTGGTCACTTGTGTCTCCTTGACTCAGGGAGTCCGCCAGATTCTAGTTAGATTCCCCATGCCTGTGCTGTGACCTGAAAGTGAGCTGAGATGATCATAGGGCTTACTTTGTTTCCATTCTTTCAAGGATCAGTGTCCTTTGCTGCCTGATGTCCAATGCCTGATAACCATTGTTTTATATATTTCATCCATCGTTTTTAGTTGTTTAAGACAAAAAGATAAACTCAGTTCCTTTTGCTTCATCATGAGCACAGGAGAATGTTCTTGTGTTTTATTTTAACCATATTTTATTCTCCCACCACCCTTTCTTGACTCTCTTGGTTTAATCACATTTTCAAAATCCCTGCCTATTTCCCTAATGATTTTGAAATGATTAATTATATGCCCTTTCTTTTAGACATGACTATTTTTCCATTTATTGTCCTAAACAAATGGTGAGCTTTCTTGCTATATTTCTGGCCCTGTGGGTGAAACTTTACCAGTTTTCTTTGTATAAAAGGGTGGCTCATGGCTTAATGGATGGAACTCAGTTCCTGCTTTATGGCCTCATTGTTTGTCTCTGTGAGCATATTAAAACTTCAGCCCCTAAAATGTAATCGTTCTCAAACTTAAAAATTACTGGGTTTTGTTCTGGGTAAAATGAAGTGAGCAAACTGCACAGTGTCTCCCTCACTAAATACAGCTATAAAACATAGACAGAACACATGGAGCAGCTATTTGAGTACTTTGAAAATAAATACAGAAGACTTAATTTATTTGGAGAAGACTGGATTTGGAGAAGACTAGATTTCATAATACTCTAAATTATCAGTGAGTTTACCACTTTATTTTTTCATGAGTTCTTTTGAACTCATGGCAGTCCCAAATCCAAAAGTGTATAATAAAAACTACAAAATGCTGATGGAAGAAATCAGTGAATACCTAAATAAATGGAGGGACATATCAGGTTCATGAACTGGTAAATTTAACATAGTAAAGATGTCAATTCTCCCCCAAGTTAATGTATATACTTAATGCAATTCCTGTCAAAATCCAAGCAATATTTTGGTCAATATTAACAAGGTATATTAGTCTGTTTTCACATTGCTATAAAGAACTTCCCTGAGACTGGGTAATTTATCAAGAAAAGAGGTTTAAGTGACGTACAGGTCCGCATGGCTGGAGACACCTCAGGAAACTTACAATCATGGCAGATGGGGAAGTAGGCATCTTCTTCAAAAAGCAGCAGGAGAGAGTGTGAACATGTGAAGGAGTAACTGTCAAACACTTATAAAACCATCAGATCTTGTGAGAACTCACTCACTATCATGAGAACAGCATGAGGGAAACCGCCCTCATGATCCAATCACTTCCCTTCCTCAATGCATGGGTATTACAGGTCCTTCCCTCCACACATGGGGATTACAATTTGAGATGAGATTTTGGTAGGAACTCAGAGCCAAACCATATAATTCCAGCCCTGGCTCCTCCCAAATCTCATGTCCTCACATTTCAAAACCAATCATGCCTTCCCAACAGTCCTCCAAAGTCTTAACTCATTTCAGCACTAACCCAAAAGTCCAAGTTCAAAGTCTCATCTGAGACAAGCCCCTTCCACCTAGGATCCTGTAAAATCAAAAGCAAAATAGTTACTTCCAAGATACAATGGGGGTACAGGCATTGGATAAATGCTCCCATTCCAAATGGGAGAAATCGGCCAAAACAAAGGGGCCCCATGCAAGTCTGAAATCCAGTTGGGCAGTCATTAAATCTTGAAACTCCAGAATAATCCCCTTTGACTCCATGTCTCACATCCAGGACATGCTGATGCAAGGGGGGGCGGCTCCCATGGCCTTGGGCAGCTCCTTCACCAGCTGGTGTTGAGTGCCTGTGTCTTTTCCAGACACACATTACAAGCTGTTGGTGGATCTACCATTCTGGGGTCAGGAGGATGGTGACCCTCTTCTCACAGCTCCACTAGGTATTGCCCCAGTGGGGACTCTGTGTGTGGGCTCCAACCCCATATTTCCTTTCCACACTGCCCTAGCAGAGGTTCTCCATGAGCACTCCACCCCTGCAGCAGACTTCTGCCTGGACATCCAAGCAGAAGGTGCCAAGTCTTGGGGCTTGCACCCTCTGAAGCAATGGCTCAAGCTGTACCTTGGCCCCTTTTAGCTAGATCTGAGCATCTGGGATGCAGGCTACGAAGTCCCAAGGCTGCACAGAGCAGCAGGGGCCCTGGGCCCTGCCCAGGAAACCATTTTTCCCTCCCAGGCCTCTGGGTCTGTGATGGAAGGAGCTGCCACGAAGGTCTCTGACATGCCCTGGAAACATTTTCCCCATTGCCTTGGTGATTAACATTTGGCTCCTCATTACTTATGCAAATTTCTGCAGCTGGCTTGAATTTCTTCCCAGAAAATGGGTTTCACTTTTCTACTACATCATCGGGCTGCAAATTTTCCAAACTTTTATACTCTGCTTCCCTTTTAAACATAAGTTCCAATTTCAAATTACCTCTTTGTGAACACATAAGACTGAATGCTTTCAGAATACTCCAAGTCACATCTTGAATGCTCTGCTGCTTGCTGCTTAGAAATTTCTGCTGTCAGATACCTTAAATAATCTCTCTCAAGTTCAAAGTTCCATAGATCTCTAGGGCAGGGGCAAAATGCCGCCAGCCTCTTTGCTAAAGCATAGCATGAGTGACCTTTACTCCTCTTCCCAATAAGTTCCCCATTTCCATCTAAGACCACCTCAGCCTGGATGTCATTGTCTTCATCACTATCAGCATTTTGGTCAAAACCATTCAACAAGTCTCTAGGAAGCTCCAAATTTTCCCACATCTTCCTGTCCTCTTCTAAGCCCTCCACTCTGTTTCAACCTCTGCCTGTTACCCAGTTCCAAAGTTGCTTCCACAATTTAAAGTATCTTTATGCAGTACCCCACTCTCTGTGGTATCAATGTACTGTATTAGTCTGTTTTCACCTTGCTATAAAGAACTTCCCTTAGACTGGGTAATTTATAAAGGAAAGAGGTTTCATTGACTCACAGTTCCATATAGCTGGGGAAGCCTCAGGAAGCTTACAATCACGGTGGAAGGGGAAGCAAGCCCTTCTTCACAAGACGGTAGGATAGAGTGTGAGAGTGTGAAGGAAGAGCTGTCAAACACTTGTAAAACCATCAGATCTTGTGAGAACTCACTCACTATCATGAGAACAGCATGGGGGAAACCGCCCCCATGATCCAGTCACCTCCCTCCCTTGACACGTGGGTATTACAGGTTGCTCCCTTGACATGTGAGAATTAAATTTGAGATGATATTTGGGTGGGGACACAAACCCAAACCATATCACAAGGTGATACCAAAATTTATATGAAAAGACAAAAGAATGAGAATAGCTAAAACAATTTTTAAAAGAATAAAGCTGAAGTAATGAGACTACCTGACTGTAAGACTTACTATGAAGTTATAGAGTCCAGAGAGTGTGGTGTTAGTGAAGGCACACACATGTAGATCAATGCAGAACAGAGAGTTCAGAAATAGCCCCACACCAGTATGGACATTTGATTTTTGATAAAAGTGCAAAGGCAATTCAATGAAGAGAGGATTATATTTTCAACAAATGAATGAATGGTATTGGAACAACTGTACTTTCATATACAAAAAAAAGAACCTCAACCTTAACTTTACACCTTATGCAAACATTAATTCAAAATCAACAACATATATAAATGTAAAATATAATAGTGTGAAACTTTTAGCAGAAAACAGGAGAAATATCTCTATAATCTGGGATTAGGTAAAATTTTTTGACATGACGCAAAAAGCATGATCTATAAAAGAAGAAAGATTATAATTTGGACTTCATCAAAACCAAAATCTTTTGTTCTGTGAAAGACACTGTTCAGAGAAGGATATGAGAAGCTACAGATCAGGATAATATACTTTCAAATCACATATCTGACAGAGGACTTCTATCCAGCATGTATAAAGAACTCTTACAACTCAGCAGTTAGAAAATTTAAGCACCATTTTAAAATGGCCAAAAGACTTCAACAATCACATCAACAAAGAGTGTATATGGATGAAAATAAGCACATGAGGCCAGACACAATGGCTCACGCCTGTAATCCCAACACTTTGGGAGGCTGAGGCAGGAGGATCGCTTGAACTCAGGAATTTGAGACCAGTCTGGGCAACATGAAGAACATCTCCCTCCAATAAAAATATACAAAAATTAGCTGGGCATGGTGGCACATGCCTGTAGTCCCAGCTACTCAGAAGGCTGAGGCAGGAGAATCACCAAATCCCAGGAGGCAGAGATTTCAGTGAGCCAAGATGGCACTGCTGCACTCCAGCTTGAATGACAGACTGAGACCCTGTCTCAAAAAAAAAAAAAAAGAAAGAAAGAAAAGAAAAAATGATTATCAATATCAATAGCCATTAAGAAAATACATATTAAAACCATGATGAGATACTACTACACACCTATTTAAATGCCTAAATTAGAAATACTGACAAAACCAGGCCAGGTGTGCCTGTAATCCCAGCACTTTGGCAGGCTGAGGTGGGTGGATCACTTGAGGCCAGGAGTTTGAGATCAGCCTGGCCAACGCGGTGAAACCCCATCTCTGTAAAACAAACAAACAAACAAACAAAAATACAAAAATTAGCCAGGTGTGGTGGCAGATGCCTCTAGTCCCAGCTACTCGGGAGGCTGAGGCAGGAGGATCACTTGAACCCGGGAGGCAGAGGTTGCAGTGAGCCAAGATCATGCCACTGCACTCCAGCCTGGGTGACAGAGCAAGACTCTGTCTCAAAAAAAAAGAAAAGAAAAGAAAAAAGAAAAGAAAAGGAAGGAAGGAAGGAAGGGAGGAAAGCAGGAAAGAAAGAAAGAAAAGAAAGAAAGAAAGAAAGAAAGAAAGAAAGAGAGAGAAAGAAAGAAAGAAAGAGACAAAACCATTGTTAGCAGGGATGCAGAGCAGCTGGAACTCTTACAATGCTCTTCAGAATGCAAAATGGCACAGCCACTTTGGAAAGAAATTTGGAGTTTCTTAGGAAATTAAACATACACTTACCATATGATCTGGCAATCCCACTCCTGTGTATTCACCTTGGAAAAATGTTCAAATGAAACCTGTACATGAATGTTCATAGTAGTTTTATTTGTAATAGCCCCAAAGTGGAAATAACCCAAATATTCTTCAATGGGTGAATGGATAAATAAACTGTAGTAGCACTCAGAAATAAAAAGGAACTATGGATTCACCCTACAACTTGATTGTATCTCAAAGGCATCATGCTAAGGGAAAGAAGAAAGTCTCAAAAGGTGACATATTGTATAATTCCATTTATATGACATTCTCAAAAAGTTGTAACTATAGTGATGGAGAGCAAATCAGTTGTCAGGGCTTAGGGTTGGGGTAAGGTGTGACAATGGAACAGCACAAAGGATTTTGAGTGTAATAGAACTGTTCTTTATTCTGTTTGTGGTGGTGGTTACATGAACATATGCAAGTGCTAAAATTCTTCAAACTGCATGCCAACAAACTCAGTTTTACTATATGTTAATTTTAACATAAAAATAAATTATTTTGAACATCCTAAAGAACTTTTGTTTAGGTGGGTTATATCTATCAATATTTGCCATAATAGAACTTAAAAGTGATAAAATTTTTAAATATTAATTTGTTAATTCATTTAAAATAATACTGAAAACATGTTACATGTTACATAAATAACATACTTTTAGTGAAAAATAAGTATATATTCAAATATGCAAAACATTTAATTGCATTGTTTTACATTTTTACAAATCTGGCTGGATTCTCATATCTCCTTCTATATTCAACCTGTTGTAATATCATAGCCCCAGGAAAACTGCACTATGTACTTAATAAAGAAATCAATAAATTCAAATAAAATCTCGGTATTATTGTGAAAATAGTTTTGACTTTGTGAACCCCCAAAAGGTTCCCCCCCGGGGTCCCCAGAGCTCCCTTTCATTATTACTGCTAGTATATACCGAAGTGCCATACCCTCCTTAGGTGGTTCAGCTTCAGCTCAGGGTCATTGATCTAAATTTGCCTTCCCTTTTTGTCCCTGGTACTCATGATCTCCTTTCTTGACTGAATGTTGCTATACCTATCTTATTTCTGTTACATTTTATACAGAATTTATTTATTTGGGGTGAGATGAAGGGTTTCTATTTGGGGTGAGATGAAGGATTTCTTTATTTGGGGTGAGATGAAGGATTTCTCACACCAGCTTTACCTACCTTATAGGCTGTAGTTCTCTCTATAATTACGGTGCTATTTGCTCTCTTCCATTTTGTTTGGTGTGATTTTCTTGAGCTTTTTCACAGTGTATCTATTTTTTTAGCTGTGAGGTTTGTTTATTTGTTTGCTTCTCATGTGGCTTTGTAATTTATTTTTCTTTTCTATTTTGTTCTGAGATTTACAAACTTGGTTAAAATATTATCTTAATTGTCTTCTTTGAGCTCTTATATTTCTTCATTATGCCCTCTGACCCATTATGATAGTATGATATCTATACACCATCATGATATTTATAATACTTCCAGTGTTTCCTTGGGTAAACTTTGCCATTTGCTCTTTGATTATGTTCCTTTCTCTTTCGTCATTTTCTCCCAGTTTCTACGCATAGGTATTGAACTGGTCCTTTTCCAATTCCCACTCATAATTTGATGGGCTGGCTACCTGTTGAAAAATACTATAAACTGGTCCACATCCTCAACATAAGTTTCTTATATCAAGGCTGGGCACAGTGGCTTGTGCCTATAATCCCAGCACTTTGGGAGGCCAAGGTGGGCAGATCACTTGAGCCCAGGAGTTTGAGACTAGCCTGGGCAAAATGCCAAAACCCTACCTCTACAAAAAGTACAAAAATCAGCCGAGCATGGTGGCGCATGCCTGTAGCTCTAGCTACTTGGGAGGCTGAAGCAGGAGGATCGCTTAAGCCCAGGAGTTCGAAGCTGCAGTGAGCTGTGATGGCACCACTGCACTTCAGCCTGGGTAATAAAGTGAGACCCTGTCTCAAAAAAAAGTTTCTTGTATCAAATACTCTGTCCACAAACTGTGTGAAATAATTCATTTCACCAGTAATAGTATTTCAGACCTAACCCAGTCTTCCACAAAGATGGTGCCACAATCCTAATATCTTAGTACCAGGATATGAGAGATTGGGTAGGGTGTGGGGGAAGGGAATCAGTCTATAATCTTCTGATTAATTATCAGTCTTTGAGTGTGCCTGGGTCTCGGGGGTTGTAGCCTACACAAATGGTTCCATCCTTCCTTCAGGAGCCTAACTCATCTCCCTACTCCCCTTCCTGATTGCAGCATTTCCAATCTATTTCCCTTAAGCCTGTTCCCTATTTACTGTTTTTTTCCCTTTAGGTGATACGGAAAGCCTGGAGCGGAGTGGAAATCCCTTCTCCAGGTGGGATAAAGTTTCAGTACTACTTTATGATGAAGGATCCCGGAACCCAAGAATAGACTTTTGTTATGAAGAAGTATCTAGGGGTTACGCAATAGCTACACTTCCCCCTACATCAGCCAGATCCTCAGGGGGATTTTTCTCAGATCCTTATCATGAGAACTTGGTGAAGTTATTGCAGGGAAAGCCCTCAAAAGTGTGAACTTCTCCTATAAGTGTGGCCTTCAGGTATTTCTCAGTCTCATGCTAGTCCTCACTCAGTTTCCAGCAACTTGTCAAAACCACTAGTCAAGTAAGTGGTCCTACCACTTATGGCTGTCACCAGCTTTTATTCTAGGTAAGCACATCTCAGGTGCTGAATCTCTTTGGATCTCCCTGTCTCTCCAGATTTCAGGGTAGTAATTTGCCCTGTGACTTCAATTCTCTGATGGGTCTAGGAAAAATAATCTATTTTTAGTTTACACTACCTTCTTACTGTAGGGACAGGCATGATGATTTCCAAGTTTTTTACATGTTGGAGCTGAAACCAGAGCTGGTTCTAGACCCCTTAATTTTATTGTTGCTGTATACAAACTCATTCTTCCTGTCTCTGTGGATTTGTTCCATTTTAAATTCCCTTTACTAGCAAATTAGTGAGGTATTGAGAGAGAGAAAAAGCTAATGTGAGATTCAGCCCTCCATCTTTAACCAAAAATTTTAATAAACTTTCTAACATTAAGCCATCCTTGTATCCCTGAGATAAATATAATTTGGTCATGATATAGCTTTTTCATATACATTGGTAATTCAGTTTGCAAGTATTTTTAGGGTTTTTGTATCCAGGTTTATGAGACTGGTTGAAAATATTCTTGTCTTGTACTATTCTCACCAGTTTTGATGTAAAGATTATATACTAATTGCATAAAATGATGTGGAAGTATTTCCTCGTTTTACATTTCCTAGAACAGTTTGTATCAGGTAGCTTTGGTAGATCTCACCTTAGAAACCTTTTTAAAAATTTTCTGGGGGAGAGTAGATTTTTAGTTATTGATTCAATTTTTAAAAATATACATCTTTCAGTCTTTCTAATTTTTCTTAAATAAGTTTTGCAATATATATATATATATATATATATATATATATATATTTTTTTTTTTTTTTTTTTTTTTTTTTTGAGATGGAGTCTTACTCTGTCGCCCAGGCCGGAGTGCAATGGCATGATGTCAGCTCACTGCAACCTCTGCCTTCCGGGTTCAAGCAATTCTCCCACCTCCGCCTCCTGAGTAGCTGAGATTACAGGTGCACACCACCACGCCCAGCTAATTTTGTATTTTTAGTAGAGACAGGGTTTCAACATGTTGGCCAGGCTGGTCTTGAACACCTGACATCAAGTGATCTGCCCGCCTCGGCCTCCCAAAGTGCTGGGATTACAGGTGTGAGCCACTGCGCATGGTCCCCTCTATTCATTCTTAATATTATTCACTTGAGCCTTTTAAAAAAATTTTCTTCTTCAGTTCTCACAGAATTTTGTCTTCAAAAAACCAAGTTTTAGTTGTATTGATATTCTCTGTTTTTTTCTTTCTCTTTCTTTCTTTCTTTCCTTTTCTTTCTTTCCTTCTTTTTTTATTATTAAACAGAGTCTCCCTCTGTTGTCCAGGCTGGAGTGCAGTGGTGCGATCTCGGCTCACTGCTACCTCCACCTCCCAGTTTCAAGCAATTCTCCTGCCTCAGCCTCCCGAGCTGGGATTACAGGTGCCCACCACCATACCTGGCTAATTTTTTTTGTATGTGTATTTTTAGTAGAGATGAGGTTTTGCCATGTTGGCCAGGCTGGTCTCAAACTCCTGACCTCGAGTGAGGCGTCAGCCTCTCAAAGTGCTGGGCCTCACCTTCTGTTTTCTATTTTATCAATTTATGATCTTATGTAGATTATACCTACTTTCATTAGGCTTAATTTGTTGTTGGTTTTCTAACTTCTTTAATTAGATGTTTAAATCATTAAATTTTAACTTGCTTTTTAATAAAAAAAATTCAAGGCCATACTGCTCCCTTTAAGTTCTGCTTTAGTTCTATCTCACAACTTTTATAGCTATATTTCTATCATTCAGTTCTAAGTATTTTCTAATTTACATTATGACTTTTCTTCAACCCTTGAGTTACTCTAATTTTTCAATGCTTCTTTATTTTTCCTCTTCTTTCCTGCCTTCAATTTGATTGATGGAGTTTAACCCCATTTTATCCTTTGGTGGCTTGGAAGTTATATATCTCTTATTATCATTCTGTTGCCCCCCTCTGCTAGTGTGTAAGTTAGGACATTGTGCCCTCTGTTTCTATTTTTTAATGGCTACTTCAGAAATAACAATATGCATAATTTACTTACAAAAGTCTAAAATTTGAAAAAAAAATTCCTTTACCCTTCTTTTAGATAACTCAATAACTTAAAACTCATATGCTAATGTTATCTTGTATTTCAAGTCTCCATTGCTTTTTCAAATCCCACTAGCAATGATTGTGATTATTTTATACTTCAGTGTTTATTTGCATTTGTCCACATGTTTACCATCATCTTTACTTTTCATTCTTTCACCCATCACAGACCTTCTACTTGGGATAATTTTCCTTCTGCTTTTTACTGAATTTCCCTTAGTGAGGACCTGCTGATGAAGAATTATCTCAATGTTTGCCTGAAAATGTCTCTATTTTACTCTCATCCTTTATAAATATTTTTGCTGAGTATAGAATGCTAAGTTAACAATAATCAAATTGAAGATCATTTCATTATTTTCTGATTGTTGAGAAGTCAGCTGTCAGTCTAATTGCTATTCCCATGAAATGAGCTGTCATATTTCCCCTGGCTCCATTTTCTCTTTCTCTTCGTTTTTCTGCAGTATCTGGGTGTAGATTTCTTTTTATTTATCCTACTTGGTATTTGTTGGGCTTCTTAAATGTGTGGATTGATTTCTTTCATTGGGTCTATTAAAATACTCAACCATTATTATTATTTAATATTAACATTGTCAACTTTTGAATTATTGAATATTAAGTATATGAATAGTAACAGTATTTCGTAGTCATATTATCTTCCTCTCATATTGTAATCAATGTATGCTAGATTTCCTAATTACATCCTCCACATCTCTCCTCTCTATCCCATATTTTCATTTCTTCACTTTTAGAAGTTTTTCCCCCTCTTTTCCCCACAATATGCCATGTCACTTTTTATGGGTTCCTCTTCTCTGCAGATATTTTCAGATTAATAATCTATTTCTTTAAACATAGAACACATGGTCATTTTAAAATGTGTCTAATAACTCTGTGATATGAAGCCTGAGCAAGTTTGTTTCTATTGTTTCCTTTCCCTGCTGGTTCTAAGTCAAGTTACCTTGTTTCATTATGCAACTGACTATTTTAGCCTGCTTTCTGATCATTGCCTGTGACAATTTATTTGTGGCGGTTCCCTGAGGCCTGAGATGGATTTATTCTCCTCCAGAGATTTTGTATTTGTTTCTACTGAGCACCTTGGAGTGCTACCTGTCTGGCAGCCACCCACAACTAAGTTCATGGTTTGAAGTTCTGTAGCTGACCCAGGCCATGGATAATAGGGGAGTCAATCTGTCTGAGGGCTGGAGTGTGGCCTCATCTTCTCAGGAATAGATTTTGTAGCCTTCTTTTTAACCCTTTCTTTTTTAGCAAGAGAGCTCTACTTAGCACCAAGGCAGACTTCGGTATAGTTCTCAGGGAGTATTGGGAACAGAAGCTCCTACTATAACTAAATCTATAATAGGCTTAGTTCTGGATGGCCCTCAGGCTGCAGAGATAGTCCCTTGGGGTCTCAGGTTAATGTGGAGAGGGTTCCCTATTAAACTCCTACCTTGGGTTGATCCTGAGCCTTGCCTTCTTTCCCCCAATCCTGTGTGGCCATTGAATCAAAGCTCAGGTGGGCAGTGTAGGCAAATGCCCTTAAATCAAATTGGCTTTGATGCCTCTATATTCTGTTTACCTGTTTGGTTGCAGCTGTCATCCAAAAGTTGGCCTGGAAGTTTTCCTTTGTCCTCTCAGCTCTTCAGTGCTTTTAAAGTAGTTTTGAAATATTTTATTCAGCATTTCTTCATTAATTCAATAATGAAGTCAAATCAAATAACTAATTCTGCCATTGCCAGAACCTAGAAGTCCATACTCTTAAATGGTTAAACATTCATACTTGACTTAACAAGGTCTAAATTCAGGCAATATCCCTACTGTCTTTCCAAACAATACAACCACCTTAGAATGCTTTAAATATGAATAGTGCCCTGCTGTCTTACATGTTTATTTTTCTTTTTATGAATACATAATAGTTGCACATATTTATGGGGTGTGTCCTACATGTTTTTGTGTGCTTCTGTGTTTTTAGTGCCAGCTTGTTTTTATACTCCCATATTCTTTAGCATTATTATTGCCTTATATAATTAATGCTCATTTAGATTTCCCCACGTTTACAATTTTTGTTCACTGTTCCTTGCCTCCTATTCACCCCTTCTCCCTACTTTCAAGTTCCTCCTTCGTGAAGTATCTCTTGTGGTAGTTATTCTTGTGAGAGGCTATTATTGCTAAATTTTCTTAGTTTAGTTTTGTTTTTTTTCCCTGAAAATTTCCTCATTTCACTCTCAAAAAAAGAGTAGCAGTTCTTCTCAGCAGTATTTCTTGGGGGTACTAATTCTCCTTATGGCAACTGGTGACTCTCCTTCATGGCGTATCATTTATATGCAAGGACTTGATTTTTATTGTTGCTTATTTCTGAGCCCATCTTCAGCAGATCCTTTCTTTTTCTGTGGGGTTCCATTACCCTGGATCATAAAAATGTATTGCATTTGCTTTTGCTGAGATTCTATAGGTTTCAATGGTTCTGTCCCAGCTTTTAATTTTTCAGCATGTGATTCCCATACCACACAGTAAATTTTGACCCCACATCCACATAGAACATAGGCCTGGGATTTTTATTTCTCCTTGTGGTTCCAGAGACAACATAAGCCCTTTCATTGTTTATTCTTCAACCCCCTTTTAATGGACAAGAGAAGTTACTAAAGGCTTTACCCAGAGGTTTCACCTATAGCTCCTCTGCCTGTGGTGGACCTGAAGCTGTGTTGTCAGCACCTGGATGGGTATTGGACTCCCAGCTCCAAGTCCCTAGCCCTCAGGGCCTGATATCTGGAACCAATACCACACAGGACACTGCAGTGTCTGTTTACAACTACTACACTGCCTTTTGTTTTTCCTTTTGTTTCCCTAGAGATTTTGATTTTTATTTTTTAAAGCTCAGCTAGAAATGTAAATTTTTGTTCTAGTTGATCTAGTGTTAATCTATGTTTGTAGTGGGAACGAGGCACTAGTTATATCATCTTAGTGTGCTGTGTTGCCAGAAGAAACCATGTTTTATACACACAATTTGGCACCTTTTTATAATTAAGCATTCTTCCTTATCATTTCCATCCTCATAAATATCCACTTCTTTAAGTTCTAAAGAAATTAAGTCTCCCCTCAGGACCATCTAGATTGTGAGTGCACATGAGGCCAGGCCTCTGTAGCAGGCTGGATTACTTTCCAGACACACCACCAGGTCGTTTAAGTATATCATTCCCCTGGGGTCTAAAATTTCTTACCACAGTGAGTTTCAACTTTAAAATAGTTTAGTAGCAGAACCCTTTCTGCAAGTATTACCTGGAACCCCCAAATACCAAACAAATAAGAGGAGAGCTTCTCTGGTTGAAGTGGGGTTGAGAGTTCTGATCTCACCAACTTATTTTCCTTGCTCCCTGCAGTGCTCTCCAAGGTGCTCCCTGGGCCATCTTCATAGACTCCTTGGACTCCAGGAAGGTGAGATAACGAATAGATCAGTGGTTCTCAAAGTGTGGTCCCAGAACTAGGAGTATGGGCATCACCTGGGGATGTGTTAGAAATGCAAATTCTCAAGCCCCCATCCCAGATCTACTGAACCAGAAACTCTGGGGGTGGGACCCAGCAATCTGTGTGTTAATGAGCCCTCTTGGTACATGAGGACCTCTGATGCATATTAAAGTTTGAGAAATTACCAGAATATTGCATTCAGGAGCTACTGGAACAAGGCTGAAGTGTTGCCCAAGATTAACATTTCTTGGGTGCTTAAATTAACCCAAGCTTCTTTGGAAGGTTATTTTCCATCCACCATTTTCTTTTACCTGAGTGATATTACAGACACTCTTGAGACACTTTCTTGTACCTGAGTGAGATTATAGACATTCTCAAGGCAAAGACACAACTTTGCAATGGCCTGAGTCCCTCCGAATTGATTCAATATCAGGAGGCTGAGGTGGGAGGATTGTTTGAGCCCAGGAGGTCGACACTGCATGATTGCACCATTGCACTCCAGCCTGGGTGACAGAGTGAGACCCCATCTCAAAAGAAAATAAATAAATAAAACAAACAAACAAACAAATAAATCACAGGGACGAGTAGGGATTCCTACTCTTAGTTCATTAGACAGAAATAATGAAGTTCCTCCTAATTTTTCTTGACAAAAAGACTTCAGGCTGATCTCATTTCACAGAGGCCAGCCCACTCTCTCCTCTCTGAGAGGGTATTACTTTAAAAAAAAAAAAGACTCGAGGTCTGAAGTTCATAAAATGACTATCGAACAAAAGAAGCCAGACATAAAAGAGTACATGCTGAACAACTGCATTTAGAGAAGGTCTAAAGACAGACAACACTAATCTACAGTGAAAAGAAGTTAAGATAGGTGTCTTTGAGTTCTGGGGAATGTTTTGTTTCTTGATCTGGATGCTGCTTACAGGGATATGTTTACTTTGTAGAAATTCATCAAGTTATAAATGATATGTGCACTTTTCCTGTATATTTGATATACTTCAATATAAGAGTTTAAAAATGGCACTGGGTCTCACCTGCAGAGCAAGTGTGTAATGACACACTGTGGTGAGTGCTGGGCTACATACTTTCAGAGGATCTGGGCCTTCGTTTCTGGGTGTGAAACATACATTTGGAGGAAACACAGGTTTCTGGCACCAGGTCTACTGGATTTGAAAGTAAGAGTTGCGTGGGGGCCACTCTGTTTCTTGATCGGAAAAAGGCCTTTTGGTTGATGGCGTCCCTGATCAGAATTCCCTGTAGACAGTGAATAAGTGAGACAGTTACCAATGTGACCTGCAGGCCAGAGTCAGTTTTAGCATCTGGCTACTCCAAGAAATGGTAAATGGCAGGGTCCTGGATTTCTAATCAAATTATGCCACGAAATTGTGGGAAGAAATGTGTAATGGGTGACAGGGCAGTATCTCATTGTTTGGTACATGGTTCTGAACTCTGTGGGTGGTTAATGCCCCCAGTTGTGAGCACCCATATTTCACCTGTGCCCCTCTGAGTCCAGATCACAAACCTACATACGAACCAAGTCTCCCAGTCCTAACAGTATGTGGATGTAAATGAAGTCTCTGCTAAAGAATTAGCTTAGCTGGGCGCAGTGGCTCACACCTGTAATCCCAGCACTTTGGGAGGCCAAGGCGGGTGGATCACCTGAAGTCAGGAGTTTGAGACCAGCCTGGCCAACATGGCAAAACCCTGTCTCTACTAAAAATACAAAAAATTAGCTGGGTGTGGTGGTGGGCGCCTGTAATCCCAGCTACTCGGTAGGCTGAGGCAGGAGAATTGCTTGAACCTAGGAGGCAGAGGTTGCGGTGAGCTGAGATCACGCCATTGCACTGCACTCCAGCCTGGGCGACAGAGCAAGACTCTGTCTCAAAAAAAAAAAAAAAAAAAGAATTAGCTTAAATTTCACTGGTTCTTGTCCCATCTGCTCATCTAGGAACTCCAGCCCACATGAAAAATAACCCAATTGTGTCTGCAAGTCCCCAGTAGGTTACAAACCAATCCGTTTTCACCATCTCCCATGTTCTTTCTTACTTATTCTGGGCCCCTATCTTTGTGTACTCTGACCATGAAGCTGTTTGAGAACTAGTTACCCCTTCCCTCCCCACCCCTGCCACTGCTGTATTTGTGCTCACCGTGGGAACGTTAGTGAAGGTGCCAAGGGTGCTACTTCCTGATACCCCTAAAGGCCCTAATCGTGGAGGTGCCTGACCATGTGCCAGACATTCTCAAACATGCCTGGATCTCAGTTTGAGCTCAAGGTTAACACATACCTGCTGAATACATGATGCCTTGGGTTCCACGATGGTATGATCTGAAGGCAGGCTCTGGCTGCTGTTACATTCCATTGCTCAATTTGGGGGTTAGTGACTCGTAGGGGCATAGGACTGGCCTTGAATGGCTGCCCTGTTGCTAAGGGACAATGCTGTTTTCCAGATATAGGAGGCATGAGGTTCAATTAGAAAGTGCCCAGCACAGCTGCTCCCCCTGGCGGTCTGTGCCTTCCACCAGCCGAGACAGGGAGGTCAGGTTCAGCATCTCTTGCCATTCATAGCTCTCAGTGAGTTCCTCTTAGAACTATGGTTGAGTGCAGGGTATTTAAAAGGGTTTTCTGTATCAGACAAACCCAAAATGAGGAATGTGCTATTAAAAATGTGAATGTCATACAAGATGAAGAAAGGTTGTGGAAATGTTCCAGATTAAAGGAGGCTAAAGAGAGATGACAACTAAATGCAATACTTCACCCTAAACCAGATCCTGCAATAGAGTGGGAAAATGCTATAAAGGACCTTACTGGGTCACCAGACAAAATTGGAATACAAATCGTAGATTAATGTATTCTATCAATGTTAAATTTTCTGAAGCTCTACTGTAGTGATGTGGGGAATATGCCTATTTTTAGGAAATGCACACTGACATATTTAGGCATGGAGGGCCATGATATATGTAATTAATTTATCTTCATATCGTTCAAAAATACACACCCCCATTTATAAAAGAGTGCACATGTGCAAATGATAATACAAATGAGGTAAAATTTCCCAACAGGTAAATCTGGTATAGAGCATACAGATGCTCTTTATACTATTTTTTATAACTTTTCTGTAAACTTGAAATGATTTCCAAATAAAAATGTTTAAAATTTTTAAAGGTCAGTTTCTGTGCAAGCAGTCAGGATCTGGTGGCACAGGCCTGCCTGGACTCTTCCCCTGGCAGAGATGAAGAATGAGGACATGGCTGTGTTCTTCCAGGTAGGGATACCAGACCCATCCCAAAAGGTAGTCAGACACCCTGCACGAAGTTGCCAAGTGCCATCCAAAGTCACCCATCTCTTGAGCTCCCCCATCCTACAAGACACCAAAAATAACAACTTTTTACATTTTCTCCTGAAAATTATGAGCCCTAGGTGTTAATGAAATCTCGGTTATGAAAGGAAGGTGTATTGGTTCATTAACTCATCCATCCATTCATTCATTCAGTAAATGTTTTGAATACCTACTTACCATGTGACAGGAGCTAAGGGAATGAGAATGCATCCCAAGGTACAAGAGGAGACACAACTCCTGTCCTAAAAAAGCCTATAAGCTAGTTGTGATGCACCCACAGCCACGTAAATAAACATATATTTCCAAATGAGTTGACCATGAAGTAGACTTGGGAAGCAATGGGGAGCCCAGCCTTTTACCAGAGCCAGTGGATCCAAGCCCCATGGATGTGATACGCATTCAATTTCCCTCCAGGATTATCTAGGTAACAATTACTTTTGTACCTGATGCTGATGAGAGAAGGACTCATAGTGCTTACCCCATCCTGGGTTCATCCCATCTGTTTTGGCTTAGCTCTCTGCAGGCTGCTCTGCCCTCTGACAGTATCAGGGAAGGGGCCAACAAGCCACTCTATCAATATCCCTGGGCTGATGGGCCAGTGAACTTTGGAAAACAGTCTTTCTACTGATCTGTGCCTGTGAGTAAACATAGCAACCGAACCCATAATGTTTTTAGAAGACGAAGACCACCAAATTCCCTCGTGTGCAAGCCTGGCAGCCTACTGGCCATGAGAGTCCCATCACTGGGATCTGAATCATGAAAGCAACATGACTGTCCTCCAAAAGGACAGAATAATGACCTTATGGGACAGCTGTGGTCCTTTCCACCCCCAATCCCAGGTGGCACCCACTGTGATGCCCTGCACACAAGGGACAAAAGTGGAGTTCATTGCCTTGGTACTCTAAATAGACAGCATTGGGGAGGGAGTTGTGGAGAATGTGTGTGTGACTGTATGTGACATGATGTGTGTCCCTTCTGTCCAGGGGTCTCAGGCAGGACTGACCCCCACCTCTGATGCATTCTGGGCCTGGTCCAAAGAAGTTTCAGGTTTGGATCCAACAAACGTTTACTGAGTCCCTACAAAGTTCCAAGCCTTTTACTTTATACTTTGACACATTTTTATATCATTTTATCTTTAACAATAACCCTTTAAGGTAGGAATTATCTGCATTTTACAGATGATAAAACAATCGCAAAGAGGTTCATTGATTTGCTCAAGTATATCATACAGCTTTTTTTTTTCTTTTTTTTTTTTTTTTTTTAACACACACACACTATACTCTTAGCTGAGGCCTGTCTGCGTTGGTTGCTTATCTTACAGCATTTCTTGTCTTCTCTACTTTTGGAGCGACGGCTCCCCTTTTACAAGCCCCCTTATTTCCTCTCCTTTCACTAGCCCAGGTGGGCTTTTCTTGTTTTAATACTGCATTTAATAGCACAAAAAATCACGAATACAAAGAAACTGGCAAAGGTGTTTGTCAATGATATCCCTGCCTCCTCCACTTTTCTGCTTTCATACCCATATATGTAATGGGCTACATTTTTTAGAAACTTTTCTTTTTCCCCCCAAACATATAACTGTTATGTGATTGGTCAATTGAAGCTGAAACACCCATGGAGAAAGATGTTTTACGGTTACAAGGGCACACTCCCCCCCCACCACCCCCCTCCCCCCCACACTTTCCCACACAATCTTTTGGAGGAATATAGGATATGTACCAGTGTCAGCATTTTCCTGCTCCTGCCTTCCTCACCCAGAGTGTTTCTACCATTTAATTTCCCTTTCATCAACTGCTTAGACTAGAGCCTCTTCTCCCTCCCCTTCTATTTCTCTTCCAATCAGGACCTTTTGGACACTGGGTACTGTTCAATTCTTACTCTGTCAGGCCCATGGGCCATGGTCAAGTAGGTCCTTTAGATCTCGATGCCAGTTGTAGTATTGGTGTCGTCATCTTCCATTGCAGGTAGGTCTGTGTGTCACTTCAGTAGGCTTGTGTGTTCATTTCTTTCACTTTTTCTGACTCATGTTCTAGCACCTGTTTGTGATAGAACAGTAAATACCCTTCACTGTCCAGTACGTCCTTAATACTGGCCTTAGTGATGACGGCATCATCACACTTGAACCACTGGTCCTTGTGGTGCCGGATGAAGCTGGTATAGTGGCCACTCTCCAAGGTTCCTTGGTGATTAACCACAGCAAACAAGGAATACTTATTTTCGTTGTTTCCACTATTGGTTGGCAGCTGCAATTGTCCATTCATTCTGCTCTCTTTACTTGAGGCCATAAACGGCGTCATATCCAGCTCCAGAGGAAAGGAAATGTATGTAGTGATCTTGCGCCTCTGTTTCGCTGAATGTTCAAACCGTTTGAAATGAAAACAGGCAACGACAGGTAATTTATTCATTGTGAGCTGTTTGGTAGATTCCTGGTAGCTTTGGCAACTACCACATTTGATTTTGGCACTGCTTCCTAAGTGCTCTGGCCTCGTAAACCTCCGCAAGCAGTCCGTGAGGGTGGTGATTCCTGGTATGTGGCTTTCCCCGTTCACACTGCTCTCCCTCCCTGGGCTCATGGGCCAGAAGGAGGTGCAAGAGCCAGGCAAGTCCAAACTAATGTCCCAGCATGGGTCTATCGTGGTGGAGACGCCATGGCAGGCTTGACAGGTGACATCAGACTGCAGGCCACCTGTGAAGATTTGGTCTATGATGCAGTTACAGTGGTTGGGATTGTTGGCCGCCTTCCCGACATCATCACCTTTGCAGTGCCTGTGCAGGACATCTAACGCTGCAATGAGGAACTCGTGGGCATCCTGTTGCCTGTACCCTGCTAAATGGCGGGCATGTATCCACACCAGGTGCAGTAACTTATAGGGCACATGAGGAGACGGGTTTCCAGAATACAACTCCCGAAACAGCGACGACATCTCACAGACCAGACACAACTCGGGACTCGGCATCTCACATCGGTGCCTGTCAGAGAGAAAGAAATCTCTCAGTATCGGCGTGTGGGTGAGGGCCTGGACAATGCAGTTCATAAAGCACGTGTTGCCAAGATTGATGAGTCCTCTTAAACCGATCGTAAAGCTGGAGGTGATTCTTCTTCTCCTCGGGTTGTGCCCCAGCAGTTCTAATTCTGGTTTGGTTGTTTCCCAGGTTGGGAATTTCTCACCAAGGCCTGGCACTGAACACTGCTGGTGAGAAACCTCTGTTGAGGTGGAGGCTTGTAATTTCAAAGCTTCTCCTTGCTCTTCTTTGGCAATTTGCTCAATGTCTTTGTCATATACATAGTCCTTACACATAAAGCAGTATATACCTCCGTAATACAGGTCTACTGCTAAGTTGTGTTGTTTCGTCTCTGCGTGCTCGTGAATGTGTTTCTCCGTGAAGCAGCCAAAGAAGACACAGGAAAGGCAAGAGTGGAGTCTGTTCAGATGGGTGCCACACACATGGCAGATGCAGGACTTTGCCTTGCTTTTCCTGGTCTCTGGGGTTCCACACCACACGAAGCACTGGTAGATAACCCGCAGTTCCTGCCTCCAGTTCTCTCCCACCTTAAAGCTGTTCACGTGAGAACAGCCTGGTGGCCCCACGGCAAAATCCACATCCAGGCATCCGCCCCCAGGGCCGCGCCGGGGCCGGGGCCGGGGCGGGGGCCGGGGCCTAGGCTGCGGCGGGGTACGGAGCCGGGTCTGGGGCCGGGGCCGGGGTCGGCGGCGCGGCGCACGACTGCGACGCGGAGAGGGATCGGGGGGCCGCGGTGGATCGGAGGGAAGGGTGGGGGGAGGAACCTCGTCGCTGTTGCCGCCACCGCCGCTCCGCGCTGGGTTCTCATCCTCCAGCTCCTGCTTCGGCTCCTGCTCCGCCTCCCGGACCGGCTCGGGTTCGGGCTCCAGCTTGAGCTCAGCCCGGCGGCCCGGACCCTCCGCCGTCTCCACCTTCCCAGCGGCGTCCACCTTCCCCGCCGTCTCCACCTTCTCGGTGGCGTCCACCTTCCCCGCCGCCTCCGCCTTCCCCGCCGCCTCCGCCTTCCCCTCCACCTTCGCCTCCGCCTCCACCTTCCTCTCCGCCTTCTCCGCCGTCTCCGCCTCCTCTACCTCCTCCGCCTCCACTGGCGGCGGCTCCTCCCCCTGCTCGCAGGGCTCGGGCGGCCACTGGGCGTGGCGGCGCGGGGGCCACGCAGACCTGGGGTGTCCCCCGCCCGGCCTGAGGGAGCGCGGTGGCTGTGGCAGCTGGACCCAAAAGGGACTTTCACTGAAGGAGGCGGCGGCGGAAGCAGGCGACGCCCCCGGGAATCCTCCCGCCGAAGCCCCCTAGTGGAGGCTGCTTCTGCAGCCAGGCCCCGTTTCCTTTAATTCAGTATTTTCCAAACTTGCTTGTTCACGAGAATCACGTGGGGAGCGTGTTAAAATTACAGATTCCTTGGCTCCACCCGCAGGCCTACTGAATCAGAATCTCGAAGGGAGGTACTCCGGAACCTGTATCTCTAACTAGGGCCCCAGAGGCTGCTTATGATCAGGCAAGTTTGGGAAACACAGCTCTAATTCATTGAGGCTGGCGGGAAGGGGGGCGGGGACCGCGCAGTCTCTTTAAGGCGCTTCCAGCTCTCGGCTCCAATCGCTGCTCTGACCCCCTTCATCGTCTCCTCCCCTCTCCTCGTCCTTCCCCTCGTCTATGCAGGCTTCCCTCGGCCACTGCGGGGCTGGGGGCCGAGCGGGTGCCAAGTCCAGAAATGTTTCTGAGGCTGTGAAATGTCCCCTCTGAGGGGGGTCCTAGGGAGCGCAGGCAGAAGCCGTGACAGGCCATCATTTCGGCGGCCGAGCCTGCCTCTAGCCTCGTCCCTGTCTCCCTTCCCACGCCAGGTCCTGCGCTTCCCGAAAAGGATGAAGCTCCAGCTGCAGTTCTGGGGAGGCCTGGACCCCAGCTCCGG